>NC_000002.12:111732042-112035072 GCF_000001405.40 Homo sapiens
AATTATTTCTTACAGCTCTGAAGGCTGGGAAGTCCAAGGTCAAGGAGACTGCATCTGGCAAGGACTTTCTTGCTGCGTCATCCCATGGGGGAAGGTAGAAGGACAAAAGAGCAGGAGGGAGCAATAGAGAAAGGGGACTGAACTTATCCATTAATCAAGAAACCACTCCCTCAATGATTAACCCACTCCTAAGGTAACACTATTAATCCATTGATGATGGCAGAGCCCTCATGACCTAATCACCTCCTGAAGGTCCCCCATCCAAACACTGTTGGTGTTGTGAATTAGGTTTCCAACACACGAACTTTGGACACACTCAAACCACAGCAGTGGGTGAACACTAAAGAGCACCTACACTATTCCTGACACTTGTATTTACATCATCCACTCGTTTAAACCTCCCAACAGCTCTGAGCTAGCTCTCACTACCCTCATTTAGTATATGAGGAAGCTGAGGCACAGAGAAAGGAAGGAGCTTGCCCAAGGACGCAGAGCAAATTAGTGACCAGCCTGGGACTCAGACGCTGGTCTGCCTGAGCACATCCCACCAGCCGCCTACCTGGCCATTACGCACTTGACCACTCACCAAGAAGCTTGTCACACCGTGAGCCCTGTGTCTCTCTCCCCATCATTCTCAGCTCTCTGCCTTCTGCTGACTTGCATCTGCCATATAACCTCTCTCTTCAGAGATGCTCGAGAGTTGTTGTTTTTTTTTTTTTTAAATAAGTGAATCTGGGAATAAAAGGCTGGCCCACAACAATGTATGGCAGTTAAACAACTTCAAGAGAATGTTTTGGAGGTAACCAAAGGATATTGTGGGCAGACATTTCTGGAGACCCCTGTCCTTTGGATAAATGTGGGTGCGCCATGTCCCCGGCAATGTAATGGAATATTTGAAGGCCAGACTGAGGATCTAGAACTTCCCACCCTCCTACCCCCACTGTGAGGAGTGTCTTGGCGAGGGGGGCTCCTGGGACCATCTAACCTCTAGGGCAAAAGGGTGACGCAGCGTGGTTAATAAATCAGCCTGCCTTGCTCCTGTCCCCAGAGGGTCTGAGGCTGTGTACTCTTCAAAGCAATGGTCTGGTGACTTCCCAGAAGATTCCTGTGACTGAAGATTGTTCCAAATAAAGTCACTCTCAAGTGGGTTCCTAGGGTGGAGACACCAACCCAGAAGTACCCACACTCAGCAGGCTCTCTAGGCAGAGCTCTGAGGGGAGGGCAGAAGGGGAAATGTCTGGGTGGGTTGGTTGGTTGGTTGGTTGGTTTTGAGACAAGGTCTCACTATGTCACCCAGGCTCCAGTGCAGTGACTATTTCCAGGAGCAATCATAGTGCACTGCAGCCTCAAACTCCTCAGCTCAAGCAATCCTTCCACCTCAGTCTCGCGAGTAGCTGGGATTCCAGGCACGTGCCACCACGACCAGCAGGAAAATGCCACCTTTACAGTAACACCACTTTCAGAGGAAGGGATCAGGGAGCCTTGCCCACTCCAGAAAAAGCCCTAGAAAGAGCAAACTTGAAGTGTCCACACACCATCTCACACTCATTAGGATGGCTACCATCAAGAAAAAAGAAAAACAGAAAATAACAAATGTTGGCAAGGATGTGGACAAATGGGAACCCTTGTGCACTGTTGATGGACATGTAAAATGATGCAACCACCATGGAAAATAGTATGGCTGTTCCACACAAAAAAAATTAAAAATAAATTCTGCATGAACAAGCAATTCAACTTCTGGGCATATACCCAAAGGAGTTGGAAGCAGGGTCTTGAAGAGGCATTTTACACCATGTTCATGGCAGTGTTATGCACAATGGCCAGAAGGCAGCAGCCTGAGTGTCTGTTGGTGAACGGGTGGATAAACAAAATGTGGTATGTACATAGTCTATTAGTCGGGGTTCTCCAGAAAAACAAAACCAGTAGAATATATACAGATACATAAGAGGAGATTTGTTACAGGCATTGGCTCATCCAATTAAGGGGGCCAAAGAGGCCCACCCTATGCCATCTGCAAGCTGGAAAACTAGGAAAGCCATGGTGTCGTTCAGGCTGAATCTGAAGGCCTGGGAACCAGGGGAGCCATTGGAGTGACCAACGTTCAGCTGAAGGCCTGGGAACCTGGGGGGCTAAGGGTGATGAGTCCCCAAGTCAGAAAGCTCGAGACAGGAGCTCCAATTCCCCAGGGCAGGAGAAGACGGATGCTCCAGCTAAGAAGAGAAAGAGAGAATTTGCTCCTCCTCTGCGTTTTTTTTTTAGACGGAGTCTTACTCTGTCGCCCAGGCTGGAGTACAGTGACGCGATCTCAGCTCACTGCAAGCTCCACCTCCTGGGTTCACGTCATTCTCCTGCCTCAGCCTCTCAAGTAGCTGGGACTACAGGCGCCCGCCACCACGCCCAGCTAATTTTTTTTGTATTTTTAGTAGAGACGGGGTTTCACCGTGTTAGCCAGGATGGTCTCGATCTCCTGACCTCGTGATCTGCCTGCCTTGGCCTCCCAAAGTGCTGGGATTACAGGCGTGAGCCACCGAGCCCAGCCCTCCTCTGCCTTTTTTATTCTACTTGGGCCCTCAACAGATGGGTTGATGCCCACCCACTGGCGAAGGCGGACCTTCTTTACTCAGCCTACTAATTCAAATGCTCATCTCTTCTGGAAACGTCCTCAAGGACAAACCCAAAGATAATGTTGTACCAGCTATCTGGACACCCCTTAACCCAGTCAAGTTGACACATAAAATTAACCATCACGCATGCAATAGAATATTATTCAGCTTAAACAGGAAGGAAATTCTGACACATGCTACAACACGGATGAACTTTGTGGACATTATGCTGAAATATCCCAGTCACTAAAAGACAAAATAGTGTGATTCCACTTATATGAGGTACCTAGAGTAAACCAAAAATAAAATTCTAAGCATCCCCCCATGCCCCTGCAACCATCTGAAAGGGCTTCCTTCTCAGCCAGGGCTCTTTTAAAATTTAACCTGAGAGACTGTTTCAGGCCATGATGGAAAGCAGGGGTCAGACATGCCTCATGATACCTCTCCAGCACTGACATCAACACAGACTTTAAGTCTGATAAGAAACATTTTAAAACCTGTTCCCTCTGAAGCCTACCACTTGAAGGCTTTCTCTGCAAAATAAAAACTTGGGTCTCCATAATCCTTTATCTTAACCCAGACATTTCTTTCCGTTGGTCCCAGGTCTTTAGATAAACTCAGCCAATTGTAAACCAGAAAATTTTTTAACCTACCTATAAGCTGGAAGTCCCCCCGACCCAGTTTTGAGTTGTCCCACCTTTCTGAACCAAACCAATATATTTCTTAAATGTATTTGATTGATGTCTCATGCCTCTCTAAAATGTATAAAACCAAGCTGCGCCCCGACCACCTTGGGCACATGTTCTCAGGACCTCCTGAGGGCTGTGTCGGGGGCCACGGTCACTCATATTTGGCTCAGAATAAATCTCTTCAAATATCTTACAGAGTTTGATTCTTTTCTTTGACACTAGAGTAATCAAGTTCATAGAGACAGGAAGTAGAATAGTGGCTGTTAGGGGTTGGGGGAGAGAAGAACAGGGAGCTGTTGTGTAATGGGTAGAGAGTTTCTGTTTTACAAGATGAAGAGTCCTGGAGATTAGCTGCCCAACAGTGTGAACGTACTTGACACTACCGAACTGTACACTTAGAAATGGCTAAGATGGTAAATTTTATGTTATGTGTATTTTACTACAATGAAAATTTTTTATTTAGAAAGTGTACACATGTATTAAAGTCCTCATCGCCCCGTTGTTGACCACGTTCCACTTTTTGTTTTGCTGCAATGTGTCTCTTCATCCGCTTCGTATTTATCTGGTGCCAATGTTATTAAGGGTAGAATGAGATTCAAATAAACTTTCCTCCAGGGAAACGACAAACCCAAGAAGCAGGCAACTTGCCAGGACAAAAGAATAAAAAAATAAGCAAACAGCCCAGAAGGTGCAGCCCGGCCCTGCTGGGGGTCATGAGGTGGGTAAGCTGACTCCATGCAAGGGGATCTTGTCTCTCCTTCCTAAACTTCACAGCTGAAGGAAGGTGGAGAGGGCAAGGTGGACCTTGGACCAGGTTACAATCCACAGGATGTATTCTCATTGTCCTTCTGGGTTCTAAACGTTTCTCTCCATGAGTCACAAAGGTTAACTGGCTCTAAAATTTTAAAACCCTCAGGGTTTTCCTTTTTTAGATTGTCCTCAGGAGACCTCTCACTGAGTGTTCCCTCCATCCTCATTTCCAACTGGCAGCTGCTTCTTAGCATGCATGTTTACAGAAATACCAGTAGTTATTGCATGTTCCCTTCCATGTGATTAAGCATTGCCATAAAGCCAGGACTGGATTAGAAATAGATCTTCCCCTTCTGAGAAAGCACCCAATGGAGCAAAGCTGGCGGCAGTGATGGACAACTTGTGCCACCTACTGGCCATCGATGGTATCACATGCCCAATGCCAAAGACTAGACAAGGTTTTGCCACCTGCCAATGAACTGGCCAGAGCCACTGCCTCACCCACTTTGCATGGCAGAGGGTGACTGGGAAATATGACCAACTGTCCCACACTGGAACCGACCTCCAGGTCTGTGCTCCCTAGCCAAGGTTTCCAATCACCTAGGTTATTATCTGAGGGAACAGCCCCTTGGAGCTCTTGCTCCAAAAGGGCCTGGAGGAATGGCATTTCAGGACACAGGGCCATAGATTGTGGCATTATTCTACACGTAAGTTCAGACTTGGGAATGAATGAAATACACTCCACTGTGTTATGCAACTTTTGTCACAACATTTTACCTCCTTTGATCCCCCTTAACAGTTATATGAGCTAGGTTCTATTATTATTTTAGAGATGAGGAAACTGAGGCACAGAGAGGTTCAATCATTGGGTTAAATGCCTTTCCATTGCTACACAGAGGGATATGATGCCTTGACGGGGTACTCACTAGAAAGCGGAGCTATAACATAATGGTTCTCTTTCATGTTTATTTTTCAAAGCAAACACACCATCATAATGATATCCAAGTGTTCTCTTAACTGTTCGGAAGATCTTGTTTAGAAGCTTCACAAGCAAATGAACATCCTCAACCTTATAGCCACAGTCTCATTTCTTGGTTCATTTCAGTGAATATGGATTGTCCACCTTCCGGGTTCCAGATAGAATGGCAAGTGGGGAGTACGCCATCACCTACCCTGCGGGGCTATTTCTCAACTATAAGGTAACTTGAAATCATGAGACTCTGCCACCACTGAGGCTGTTCATGTTCTGTAGCCCATTCACAGAAGTTTCACCAGTAATAGGAGCAAGTACATAAAAACCCCAAATGTGACCACTTCAAACAGGATTACACCCATGAAAATGCATGTCTTGATAGGTTCATTTTTTAAAAAATCAGTGGTGTCCTGTTTAGAATCCCACCTGAAATTTAGGAAAAGAACCTTCCCTGAGACAGGCTCACCTCCTTATTATAAGAAGGGCAGCCTCAGCTTGGCAGGAAGCAGTGCCTCATTGACTCCTCCTCACGTGGCCAACCTGACTGACAGGGAGCCCAATGTGCCATCAACCGGCAATGAGCTGGGGAGACACCAGAGCAGAACCCAGGCTTCAAGAGAGAAGCAGGAGGCGGCTGGGCGTGGTGGCTCATGCCTGTAATCCCAGCACTTTGGGAGGCTGAGGAGAGCGGATCACGAGGTTAGGAGATCAAGACCATCCTGGCTAACACGATGAAACCCCGTCTCTACTAAAAATACAAAAAATTAGTCGGGCATGGTGGCGGGCGCCTGTAGTCCCAGCTACTCAGGAGACTGAGGCAGGAGAATGGCATGAACCCGGGAGGCGGAGTTTGCAGTGAGCCGAGATCGCACCACTGCACTCCAGCCTGGGCGACAGAGGAAGACGTCTAAAAAAAAAATTAAAAAAAAAAAAAATGAGAGAGAGAGAGAGAAGCAGGAGGCTTGTTTTTATAGGCTCCTTCTACTCAGAGTTTGCCTGGGGGCTGCAGCCTGCCTATGGCAAAAATTAACAAATAATACCTGCATGCATTTATTGAGGACTTTACATCCATCAGAACTCTCTGGTTCCATTTTCATATTAGGTCTCTGTTGCTTGCCCCAGAAGGCTGTAGGGTGGGGACTGTTACTCCCAGGAGGAGAGTGAGGCAGAAGGTTTGGGCACTTTGCCCAAGGTTCCAGGCAGAATCAGGATGGAAATTCCATTTCCTGGTGCTGTTGTCAAACAGCCACTGGATATTAAACCCCGCACGACAGAAAGAAAGAAGCTTGAGTCTACAGGAAATTGGAAGATGAGACTAATAAAAAGCTCTTAGACATGATCTCCTTCCTGAAAATTTCCTTTCTCTTTGACTTTTAAAGAAATCTGGAAGTTGGGGGTGACAGGTTGGGAGTGGGACGAAGGAACATCCTCAACCCTCAGGGAGCTGTTTATGTTCTGGGGAGGCAGGAGAGGGAGGAAGCATAGATATCTGGAGAGAAGAGAGAAATGTGACCAGGATTGAGGCCCATCTCACCAGCACAGTGACTTTTTTTTTTTATTTTGCAAAGCTGGATATGGCCTCTCTGAACAAGGTTTGCTTCTATGATTCTGGGACAAATTCTGGAAATGTAAGAGATGGAAATGGTTGTAGGTGGAATTTAATCCAATCCACCTCACATTCCTCTTGAGGAAACAAAGCTCAGGGAGTTTCGGCCATTTCCCCAGAGTGATTCCAACCTTGTAACATATATTAAAGGCCTTAACCCCAAGAACAATGGGAGCTCATGAAGGCATGTCACAATAGAGACATGATCAGAAGTCAGTCTACTTGGTCACTTTCTACTCCATCGTGCTTCTGCCAAAATTAAGGAATGGCTTCTTTCTGAAGTTCAGGTGAAACTGATGATTTATCGGTGCTGCAGAGAGAAAGGCAAGGAAATGAGAAGAATAGATGATAAACTCCCGTGAGAGAAAAACGACAGTGAGAGGCTAGTGTGAGAGCCAAGTGGCACACATTCCCAGTCACTGTAGCTGACGGCCTGAAAATGACAAGGAAGGCAAATGTCTGGAGAGGCAGCAAGGGATGGAGGCATGAGTGGAGTTGGGTAAAACCATCCAAAGGAGACTCAGAGCTTCAAGGAGTGTTTCAGAGGAAGCAACGCCCAACAGTACTGGCATTTGGAGTCTACAGTAAGGATCGAGAACAACCCCACTCCTCAGTATTACCCTCAGTGAACATCTATTCAAAATCTATTCAGTTTATTGAGCACCTCCTATGCTTCGCCCTGTAGATTCAGCAGCATAACATCCAAGCCAGCCTAGACCCTGCCCTTGTAGAGCATACAGTCAAGTGGAGGATACAGACATTAAACATGGAGCGATTTAATGACAAGAGGAGAGAGCACCAACAAGGAAGACACAGAGTGGTCTGACTGAGCCAGGGCAATGGGCAATGGGAGTGGAGGAGGCTTCCCTGGAGAGGTCACATTTAAGAGGCACTTAATGAACATGGGGATCTTTGCTAGCAATGCAAGGCAAGAACAGTGTTCCAGCAGAGAAAAAGCATCTGGAAAAGCCTTGGGTATGAGGGACTCAGCTCATGACCACTGGACAGTAGGTCATGGTGGCTGGAACATAGGAAGGGAAGGGGAAGGGGGCTGGCCATGACCTTCCCCATGAAAGATGCCACACTGACCTCAGAGCAATGGGAACTCATTAAAGACACAACCAAATTTGAGCTTTTCAAAAACCATACCAGCTTCAGGGTACAGAATGGTTTGTCGTGTGCGTGAGAGAATGAAGGGAGACCAGTGTAAATTCTACTGAGGTTACCCCAGCGAAAAGTGGTTGGGGCTGGGTCTGGTGGGCACATGGGAGGTAGAAGTGAGTAGGTTCAAGGACACTTTAGAAGTTAGGATCAAGGGAACATGCTGAGGGACTGGATGTGAGGGGATACGGTGGGGAGGTGTCAACTCCCAGGAGGATGGTTGCAGCATGTCTGAGACAGAGCGCATTTGAGCTGGAAGGTCTGAGCACAGCATTGGGTATATTGAGTTTGAGATGCATGAGGTCACCAAGGAGGGAGCCAGGGCATGGAATCAGGCATCCTCTGCAAGTAGGTGCCCCATGGTAAGCAGAGGCACAGGGAAGAATGAAATTGAATAGAAAGAGAATATAGTGGCCGGGCGCGGTGGCTCACGTCTATAATCCCAACACTTTGGGAGGCTGAGCCAGGAGGATCACTTGAGATCAGGAGTTCGAGACCACCCTGGCCAATATGGCGAAACCCTGTCTCTACTAAAAAATACAAAAATTTGCCGGGCATGGTGGCTCATGCCTGTAGTCCCAGTTACTTGGGAGGCTGAGCCAGGAGACTTACTTGAACCCAGGAGGCGGAGGTTGCAGTGAGCCGATATCATGCCACTGCACTCCAGCCTGGGTGACAGAGCGAGATTCCGTCTTTAAAAAAAAAAGAATATAGCAAGAAATGAAGGAGACCAGCCCCAAGGATGTTCAGTGTCTGGTCAGGAGGTGGCAAAGGACTAAAAAGGGACAGCCAGGGAGGTGGGGAAACCAGCAGAGCCTGAGATCTCCAAGGCCAAGGACACTGGCCCTGGGGCGTGGGGAATGACAAACACTAGGAGGTGCCCAGGGGATGTCACAGGATGGCCTCAGAGGGCTCGTCGCTGACCCCTCCACCCAGGGCGACAATGCCTAACCACCCCTGAAATAAACAAGCCAGCCAAGGGCCTGCATCCTCATGACATGCGCACTTCCCACACTTTCCAGTGCTTCTGTTTTATATCAATAAAAATGCACAACGAACACACACACAAACTATCACCTGCGCTTCTCGCAGGTCTCATAAGGAATTCATCCCACCCAAGATTTCCACTTCCTGAATAAATTAAGCATGTTTTCTTTGGTGGCTTTTGTTAAAAATCCTGAGTATTTATTCACTCATTTATTCACAAACGATTTATTGGGCACCTAATATGTGTCAGGTACCATTCTGAGCAATTAGAATACCTCATTGAACAAAAGAGATAAAGGTATTTCCTACTGAGGACTTTACATTCCAGATCTGGAGGCAGAGATGGCATAGGAAAGGGTGATAAGCGCTATGGAGAAAGAAAAAATAGGATAAAGAGGACTAGAAGTGCTGGTCAGGAAGGAGGAGTTATGATTGCATTTTACACAGAGTGGTCAGGGAGAAAGAGACGTTGGGTAAAAATAGGGCTCATTTAATGTTGGACTTCTCCCTCTCACTACACAGGCGAAGCAAAAGAACAGAAAAGTCCAGAAGCACCTGGAAGATTCCATCCACAAGATTTATGATGGACTCATCCACAAAACTGGGCACAAAACTCAGGAAGGGGGACCAGAAAGCTCTCCAAGATGCAAACCTGACTTTGCGACAAAACACGACAATGATGAAATAGGAAACCTGCACACAAAGTCTCCAAAGGTCAGGGTTTTAAGCGGCCTTAACCAAAGCTGGACAAACAACACACGATCAAGCAAAAACTCTACAAGTGGTGACAAGCCTCAAATCACAGAAACTTACCAAGTAAGCCAAACAGATGACAGCAAAAGCAGCCTCTGAGTCTCATCCAAATGCAGTGGTGAAGGGAGAGAGACCTGCTGCTCATAGCCAAAGAGGGCGCTGGCATGCAACAGAAAAGGAGAAAGCCCTTGGCTTCCTGCTCTCCTGGCTGTTTCTCATGGATATAAAAAGGGAGATTCTGCTTCCAAGGAGAAGCTGCCTCCTCTCAATGGATTTGTGTCTCCTGACCACATCAGTTCCACTTGGCCAACATCAGAGCTGCCCTGTATGGCCTGTTGAGCACCACAGGGAAAAGTAGTGATGCCCGAAGACTAGAGATGGAAAGCAGCACCAGATCGCAAAGGGGAAGAAGCCGCACAACAATGAGTAGAAGGTGGAAGGAACTGGCTTCTTCACAATGCTGCTGAACGGCTGACTCGCCCACCCTGGACCACCTCCCCTGTGTCTCCTGTTATGAGCAGGCCATTGAGTGTTTAGTTGGGAGCTTTCCTTTCTTTTCTTTTCTTTTTTTTTTTTTTTGAGACAGAGTCTCACTCTGTCACCCAGGCTGGAGTGCAATGGTGTGATCTCGGCTCACTGCAACCTCCACCTCCCAGGTTCAAGCAATTCTCCTGCCTCAGCCTCCCAAGTAGCTGGGACTACAGACACACACCACCACAGCCAACTAAATTTTTTTGTATTTTTAGTAGAGACAAGGTTTCACCATGTTGGCCAGACTGGTCTCGAACTCCCGGCCTCAGGTGATCTGCCTGCCTCGGCCTTCCAAAGTGCTGAGATTATAGGTGAGAGCTACTGTGCCCAGCCAAGGAGGTTTTCCTAACCATTAGATAGAAATGCACTGGTGGGGGTTATAGACAACAGAATCCCCTCTACCAGGTTTCAGGAGTGAATGATTTATTACAGGACAAAGATAGCATGCAGGAGGAGAAAGGTAGCTGAAGACGTGGGCCATGACAGAGAGATGGATGAGACTGTTGCTGAGTTTATTAAGAGGATCATCTCAAACATCCTCATGGCTGGGTGTGATGGCTCACTCCTGTAATCCCAGCACTTTGGGAGGCCAAGGCAGGAAGATCATTTGAGCCCTGGAGTTCAAGGCCAGCCTGGGCAACATAGTGAGACCCCATCTCTACAAAAAATAAAATTAGCCAGGCGTGGTGGCACATGCTGTAGACCCAGCTACTCAGGAGGCTGAGGTGAGAGGATCGATAGAGCCCGGAAGGTCGAGGTTGCAGTGAGCTGAGATCACACCACTGCACTCCAGGCTGAGTGACAGAACAAGACCCTGTCGAAAGAAAAGAAAAGAAAAGAAAAGAAAAGAAAAGAAAAGAAAAGAAAAGAAAAGAAAAGAAAAGAAAAGAAAAGAAAGAAAGAAAGAAAGCAGGCAAGCTGGCAGGCAGGCAGGCAGGCAAGAAAGGCAAGAAAGGCAGAAAGAGAGAGAGACAGAGAGAAAGAGAGAAAGAGAGAGAGAGAAATAAAGAGAGAAAGAGAGAAAGAAAAGAAAGAGAAAGAAAGAAAGAAAGAGAAAGGAAAGAAAGAGAGAGAAATAAAGAGAGAAAGAGAAAGAAAAGAGAGAGAGAGAAAGAAAGGAAAGAAAGAAAGAAAGAAAGAAAGAAAGAAAGAAAGAAAGAAAGAAAGAAAGAAAGAAAGAAAGAAAGAAAGAAAGAAAGAAAAGAGAGAAAGAGGAACCCCATGACGGAAATGACAACAATCCTAAAGCCTGGGATTTTTTGTCTGAAAATCAACTGCAGACTTTAAATTTCCGGCAGAGAAAGGACTCTCTCGTTCAGCACTTGGTTCTGCTGTGTGAGAAGCATGCAAATATCCCTATGACGCAGCCCTTTGAGACACAGTTTATACTCAATTTCATCAGCACAAGAAAGTTTGGGATGCTTTTCAGACGAGTAAAGGACCAGGTGAAGATGCTGACCTTTTTGATATGAAACAACTTAAAAATTCATTTAAGAAAATTCCTCAGGCCGGGCGCGGTGGCTCGTGCCTATAATCCCAACACTTCAGGAGGCAGAGGCAGGTGGATCACGAGGTCATGAGTTCAAGATCAGCCTGGCCAAGATGGTGAAACCCCGTCTCTACTAAAAAAATACAAAAATTAGCCAGGTGCAGTGGCAGGTACCTGTAATCCCAGCTACTCGGGAGGCTGAGGCAGAAGAATCACTTGAACCCAGGGGCGGAGGTTGCAGTGAGCTGAGATTACACCACTGCATGCCAGCCTGGGCAACAGAGTGAGACTCCGTCTCAGAAAAAAAAAAAAAAAGAAAGAAAAGAAAAAAAAGAAAATTCTGCAGTAAGCATTTACAAATGTGACAGCTTTAGAGACATTGAGGGGAATGCAGTCTGGATTAGAATTGCCTGGGGAACACAGTACACAAATCCAAGTCAGTACATACAAACCTACCACCTTTCTTTTTCTCTCCTTCCTTCCTTCCTGCCTGCCTGCCTGCCTTTTCCTTCCTTTCTCTTTTTTTCCCAGACTGCATGTGCCTTCACTTTTTCCTCCAAGCTGAGGTGCAATAGACCGCTTCTGGGTCAGGCACTGATAATTGCTAGCAGACAGCATCAGACTGTGAAAATGGATCTGAGAAGCTGACATCTGGACTCCCAAGCCTATTGCTTTTAAACAGTATGATCAGATCTTTGAAGCTGTCACAACTCGACGACACCTCTATAGGAAAGAAGCCTTGGGCTGGATATAAATATGGATTCTAGAATTATTCATGAAAACATAGTAGAAAAAGGAAGAGTCCAAGGAATAACTCAAAAAGCTGTTGGGGACGATCCTCAACCACAACTAGAATTTGCACAATTGAAGCTTGAAAGGAAATTCAAAAGTGATTTAAATGGGACCATCTTGGCTGAGAAGGAAGAATCCCCTTCAGTGAGTAATAAAGTTCTCTTGCTCACGTCTTTTGGAAGCAATGAAATCCTTAACCCCCGCCAGCCTTGCAGATAGACCGCTTTCTCCACCACTCACTTGCATATCCAGCAAGGGAATGAGTTATTTTAAAATTAGAGATAAATGAGACGTGGGTGGTTTTGTATGCACAGGAGCTCCTTCACTGTATGGTACATGCGTTTCAGTTCATGGCTAGCTATATGGCTTCTGTTTATACACTAGTACTTTAGAAGTTAACCCTTGGTATTGAAATTTCAGAAATGTTCATGTAATTTTTGGGACTGACTCATTCCTCCATGATATGCCTCCTCTCTCCCATATCTGCTAATTGTCACAGTTGCGAGCACTTGAGATGCAGGATATAGACGTGGCTGCACACTTGACCTTGAGTGCCTGCATGCTCTGAGGTCAAGCATACGGCGCAGTGCTGGAGACGGTGGGAGTCGTGTCCTGCATCCTTTCTCCCACTCCTGTCCTCTTTGATCCTGGGGAGGTCTGGTTCCAATTGCTGCGTTTCCAGAGACTCATTCTTAAGTCTCGGATCACAGAAAGAAGCAACAAGAAACTATATCCAACTCAAAACTTTTTAGGAGAATCATAAAAGTGGTCCATTCAGAGGGTAGAGTTGGGTCCACTACGTTATTGTTGCAAGAGGCTGCATATTCAGTAAATGGGTTGTGTAAAATAATGTTCTCTTTTTTTTTTTTTTTTTTTTTTGAGATGGAGTTTCACTCTTATTGCCCAGGCTGGAGTGCAATGGCGCGATCTCAGCTCACCGCAACCTCCGCCTCCCAGGTTCAAGTGATTCTCCTGCTTCACCCTCCCTAGCAGCTGGAATTACAGGCATGTGCCACCACACCTGGCTAATTTTGTATTTTTAGTAGAGACAGGGTTTCTCCATGTTGGTCAGGCTGGTCTCAAACTCCCGACCTCAGGTGATCCACCCTCCTCGGCCTCCCAAAGTGCTGGGATTACAGGCGTGAACCACTGCACCCAGCCAATAATGTTCTCATTGTTAATATGATACTTTTTATCATCTGTTTTTATCATATGTGTTACATTAAACTGATAAATAGCAATATTATAACGACTTGTGAATAGAGATAATGAAAAGCTGATCAAAGAAAAAAAAAAGATAACATACCAAATCGAATGCTGAAGAAAGAGACCCCCAGTGCCATACCATAGATCTAATGCAGTGAGGGGCAGCCGCTCTGGCCCCATCTGGAGGCAGCTGAATCAGGACGCCTCTGCCACAGCTGTCAGCCCCTGCCCCTGCCCCTCCACCGCAATCTGCCCCAGCCATGGGAACTGTTTGGGATCAAAGCCTTGAGTGGGTGCCTATGATCCCTGGACCTAAATCATATGTTTGCACCTCAAAAACAAGGATGGTTGTGAAATGGAATATTTGGAGACTCATTAGAAGGCAGGAGGTACACTGTGGGGAACTATCAAACTGTGAAGAGGGTGCTGAAGATTTGAGGAGCTACAAATGGCAGAGGTCCACCACAGCACACTCACTGACTCAGCCAACACATGAAAAAACAAAAGCGAGGTTAAGGTACGCCACCGGAGCGCTGCTGCAGGAGGAATGCGGCACACTGCATTCTTGCCTCCTTTGTTGGACAATGGGAGAAAACAATGCGTGGTACTAGAAAAATCAGAAAAGGATGTTGCTGTTCACTGACAAAGTGATTTCCCCGGAGGGACCCCACCACGACAGCAGCCACATCCATGGGCCACAGCTTGGAAAGTGTCCAGGCCACGCCCTCTGGGGAAATCCTAGCACTCCTCTTGTCTGTCTCTCCCTCTCAGGGACCACAGCTCTGCGCTGTCTGATGGCAAGAGTTTCGCTTTGTTGTTTTTTTCCTCATCTATTTTGTCCTGTGTTAATTATGTCAGGTGAAAGGATAAACGCCGTCCCTGCTACTCCATCTCATCTGGAAGCAGAAAAGCAGTGCAATGACCCTAAGAGTCACAGGGAGGATAAGGGTGGCTTTCACCACCCCAGCCCAGCCACCTCTGACTCTACCTGGAACCTCTCCTGACCTGCCCCCAACTCTTCCCAAGGAGAGGCTTCCTCCCTCTCTGGTCCTCTCGCAGACCCCCCGCTGCATTCTGAGCCACTCCTCTTCCCTCAGCTCCCACTCACCTCCCACATCCCCTCCATCCCCCTCACCACGGCCCCACTGCATTTTAGTGTCTGCTGTGGTTGACCCCAGATGTCTGCACCAGCCTGTCTCATCTGAACACGCTCCCCTCTCCAGCTGCCCATCCATCACTGCCCCCTTCATGCCATACTGAAGACAGTGCCTTGTTCATGTGGGTGACATTTATGTATCTGCATAGCGTGGGTTCTTTTTTCTGCTCTGATAAGGACCCAGCATGTAGAAATGGAATTCATTTCCCATACATAAACTCAGGCACTAACCAGACTGCATGGCCCAATAAATATAATTCAGAATTAGGAGCCGCAGGAGCACAGCCCTTCCTCACTTGACCATCCTATCACCAAAAGGCCCACCAAGGAGGAAGCCTTACCACACACTCAATCTCTATTGACAGCAATCAAAATGCTTAGCAACTTCTCTAAGAGACTCTAAGAGAGAAATGGCCCTAGATTAATCAACGACCATACATACATTTAAGCTTCTTAATAAATTGTCCTATAAATTCCACACATTATTTCTAATGAAAAAATTAAAATTCCTCATACTTATGTAACCATTTACCAAAACACTCTCCCATAAGTTATGGTGGTAATTCCTCAAAACCGCCATGAAATAGCTAAGCGACTGGCCTTTTTTACAACAGACATAAACAAATTCCAATGTATTAACAATTTAAGATGGTGACTGATATGGTTTTGCTCTATCTCCACCCAAATCTCATCTTGAATTGTTGCTCTCACAATCCCCACATGTCATGGGAGGGACCCAGTGGGAGGTAATTGAACCATGGGGGTGGGTTTTTCCCGTGCTGTTCTCGTGATAGTGAATAAGTCTCACGAGATCGGATGGTTTCATAAAGGGCAGTTCCCCTGCACACACCATATAAGACGTGCCTTTGCTTCTTCGCCTTCAGCCATGATTGTGAGGGCTCCCCAGCCATGTGGAATTGTGAGTCTATTAAAACACCTTTATAAATTACCCAGTCTCGGGTGTGTCCTTAGAGCAGCGTGAGAACGGACTAATCACAGTAATTGTTAAGCACAAGTCCCTTAAGCACGTATGTCCTTTGATGTGGCGTGCACGTTCAGCATCATTTCTGCCCTGTGGCAAGGATGCTCGCATTTTGCTCTTTAGACCTTCTCCCACTAGAGGGCGCGCTAAGCCAACCTAGGCCGGTCCGATCGCCGCCATCAGTGCCTGACACATACCTGGCAAAGCCTGAGCGGTTTTCAGACCCATCATGCATCAGCCAGGCCTCCCACCAACCCCAGGAGTTGCTCCCACACTGTGCAGGGGTTTGGCTGCATTGGCACGGGGACCAAGTATTCCTGAATTCATATTTGGAGCCCAGTTTTTTATAATTACATCCCGGAACAACGTTATATTTTGATCACCCCTTTCTCCCTAGGCGTTCTCCAGTCCTCAAAGCCCTTCTACCTAAAACGAAGGAACACATCCATTTTCCTTTTCTCTCACAGATCTATGAGGGGAAGAGGAATGGAGGGCTGGTAAAGACCACAGCCATGTTCTCTCCGGGGTGTTCACAGCCATGAACACCCCACCAGGCCTAAGCTGTCACAGAGACAGGCCTTTGTGGTCTAGAAGTCCCCACACAGCCTGCCTGCTGCAGACATTCCTCAGCTTCCTTTGAGGAAGAAGAGGTAGCCATTTCCAGAGGAGGAAACAAGAAAGAACGGAAGACTCTCTTAGCCCAGAATTCTCTTTCCCAGACCCATTCTGCCATAACTCAAATGCCACATGGCCCCCAGTAGCCCACACCTCCCACTGCAATGGTCCACGCATCCCAGTTCAAGGATCCATGCCTCCCAGGGCAATAACCTGCACCTCCCAGTGCTATGGTCCGCACCTCCCAGGGCAATAGTCCACACCTCCCAGTGCAGTGGCCACACCTCCCAGTGCAGTGGTCCACACCTCCCAGGGCAATGAGCTGCACCTCCCAGTGCAATGGTCCATGCTTCCTCGTGCAATGGTCCACACCTCTCATTGCAATGATCCACACCTCCCAGGGCAATGAGCTGCACCTCCCAGCCAATGGTCCACGTCTCCCAGTGCAGTGAGCCATGGTTCCCACCAATGGTCCATGCTTCCCAGTGCCACTGAGCCGTACCTCCCAGTCCCAATGCTCAATAACTCCCAGTCCTAATGGGCCATGCCTTCCAGTACCAATGGGCCATACCTCCCAGTGCCAATGGCCCATGCCTCCCAATGCCAATGAGTCACACCTCCCAATGCCAAAATCAGCCACACCTCTGTGTGAGTTCCCTCTCACATTGAGTCTGGACATTACCATGTTTTTCCTTTTCCATCCATTTACTTTCAATGTATCTGTGTCATATTTAAAGTGTATCTTTGTAAATACTGTATGGTTTGGTCTTGCTTTTTTATCCAGTCTGGCAATCTCTATCTTGAATTCATATCATACCACTTTACATCTAATGTAAGAAACTCTGGTAGCCCAACCCCAGCCTCTTGCATTGCTATAATTAAAGGATTCTTACCTTTTCTTCATGTTTGGAAGCTGGGGAGTGGCTACTGTTTCAGACAGTTTGGATTCACCTTTAGGTTCACCTTCTGCAGGGCTCCAGAACCCAAGCCTCACAGAGATGTGTAAGGCTGTCTGTATTCTCCCTGCTACCAACCCCTTCTCCAATGCCACTTTCCCAGCAAAATTCCAGGTAAGGAAGAGAGTTGTTGGGCTGAGAGATGGATATTTGCATTTGGAACTCCTCCAGAGCCACATGTTGCCCCTGACGCAGGATGCTCCTTCTTAACCCTGCAAAGCCTCCTGCCTGTAGGCAGCTGCTACTTTTCCCACCTGAACTCATTCAGGCACTTGCCCCAGAGAGCTCCAGGGTCTCTGCTCATCTAGAGGGCGCGCCCTCTGCAATTCAGTTCATCAGAGCTTCCTTACATCTTCCAATCTTTGAAAGCCCCATGAACGTACGATTCTTATGTGGTTCATTCTTGTCATCACCACAGGAGGAAAGTTTTCACGTCTTTCTACATCCTAACGAGAAGCAGGTGACCTAATCTTGTTTACGCCATTGATATTTGTGCTTTTGTTATATACAGAAAAGCTTAATTTCCGGGTTCATAATGTAGAAAAGCCAAGCACAACTTATATTGAAGCAGCTGCTGACCATCTGTGGTCAGATGTGATTATCCAGCCATCACAATGTTTAAAAATTTGAATTTGAAAACATTCATATTGAATCCAAGATCTCCAGTTTATTGACAATGCCCCATACTTTCTATTATTATTTATCCACTAACTCCTTATATTTACATTTTCTTCTGGCCCTTACTGACATTTGAGTGTGAGACATTTCATACCATCAATGAAAACTGAGAAATTCTGTGCATTTTACCTAGTAATCATGTCCACTTTACACTAAAATACATACATGAGGGTAATTTATCTGCTTTCTACCCAGATATTTTGCATCTCATCGCAAAGTTCCCATAACTGCATTCATTTTTTTGCGCCCCAATTTCTACTAAGAAAACCATTCTCTATGAAAGTCAGATGCTACAGTTCACTAATGCAGGATTATCTCATCTACCTGCCCCAGAAGGTGGGTTCTATAGTTTACCTTTAGAGATGAGAACAAACTTGAAACAACATAAAGCATCTTGCAACTCTGGCTAATTTTTTTCTCCTCCTTATACTCACAAAAGCTTTCTAGTTCACGGTATTTCTTCTGTCCTTGGCACGTGACAAAGACTTGAGGCCAAAGTCTGCATGTGATGTCAGCCTCCGTGAAAGACTCATATCTCTTCTGCTCTCCATCAATAGGGGAGGGGGCACAGAGGTATCTGGGGAGTGTCTGGCGTTTAGCATCTTTGTACAGAGCCAGTCTCAGTGGATGTAGCCTCAGGACTGTGCAGAGAAAATCACCTGGATTATTCAGAAGGGCATTAAGGACAGCAGTGGAAACCAATGGTGCCTACATAAGTCAGATTCTCCCTCTTGTAACTCCAGAATAGGACCAAATCTCCCCTCACTCACTCAAAGCCCAAACAATAGCTCATGGAGAAAAGAACAACCAACTCTTACACAATTGGGAAAAAACAGGTTCTCTATGCACACAAGAGACTATTAAGCAGAAGCCACATTAGACTGTCCATTTCCTCTTTGCACCGGGGAAGTGAGTAGGGCAGTCTGCAGAGGAAGAAAGTACAAAATAGCAAAATGCTTTGCTTTGCTTTTTAAAACTTTTTTCTTTTGAATTCATTGTAGACTGACACATACAGTTATAAGAAACACTAGAGAGACTCCCATACACCCTTCACCCAGTTTCCCCAATGGTGAAAACTTGCAGGACTATATAGTACAATATCACCAGCAGGGGAGGGTCACTGAAGTCTCTGGGTAGTGTCTGGCCTCAACCACAAAATTGCCATTGATACAATCCTTTCGTCTATTGATATTTCACCACTTTTACATGCACTCCAGTATGTGTGTGTGTCTATGCAGTTTTATTATGTGTAGATTTGTATGACCACCACCACCACAGATAACACAGTACAAGGAATCCTCATGCTATTTCTTTCATAGCCACAGCCATCCCTCTCCCTACCCTCTTCCCTAAACTGGCAGCTACAAATCTGTTCTCGACCTCCATAAATTTGTCACTTCAATAATGCTACATAAATGGAATCATGCAGCATATAACCCTCAAAGATTTTTTTACTCAGAATAATTCCCTTGATATCCACCCAAGTCGTTTCTTTTTTTGCTGATCAGTATTCCATGCTTTCTTAAAATAAGAGAGGGATGTCTTATATTCTCTTAGAATTCCAAGGATTGTCAGAACGTTATTAATGTTATTCTCTATTCTCATAACTTTTAGGTATAATAGTGAACAAATAAAAGAGAAAAGAAGTGTACATGAAGTTATCACATACTCTCAGGTTGCATTTTTCTTCCTAATTTTTTGGTACCTTATTTTTTATATAAATGCAGCTTTCAGGGTAAACACTCCCTCTGTTGAAGAAAGTTTGCTAACAGTAATGGCCTCTAGACACTCAAAATTTAATGGCAAAATAAAATTACTCTCTTGAACCTCTGGTTATGGACAAGATGGAGTAGATAAATTTCTCTCTATTCCTCCTTCTAAGTGCTGCGAAAACACTGGACATTATATATGAAGCATGAAAGACTTTGAAATATGGAAAGAAGACAAACTGAATAAGGATCCCAGGACATAAGAAATGAATGACATGGTTATAAGTTCTCTGATTGGCTTCTTTTTTTTAGACAGAGTCTCACTCACTCCGTCATCCAGGCTGGAGCACAGCAGTGGTGTGATCTCAGCTCACTCCAATCTCCACCTCCTGAATTCAAGCGATTCTCCTGCCTCAGCCTCCCAAATAGCTGAGATTACAGGTGCCTGCCACCATGCCTGGCTAATGTTTGTATCTATAGTAGAGATGGGGTTTCACCATGTTGGCCAGGCTGGTCTTGAACTCCTGACCTCAAGTGATCAGCCCACCTTGGCCTCCCAAAGTGCTGGGATTACAGGTGTGAGCCATTGTGCCTGGCCTCTTTTTGGCTTCTTATGTCTCAAACTGGGTGCCAGAGAAGCAGCAACCTAGAAATACCAACAGGCACAGCCAAAAAAAAAAAAAGGCCCCAAGAAAAGCTTCCCCAGCCAAAGGACCAGAAAAAAGTCAGCCTAACAAGGCAGAAAACTTCTGTCTACAACATAAGCACCCCCAGCCAAACACCATGAAAAAAATGTGACTCCAGCCCCACACTTGTTAGCAAAGGCTGAGTGGAGAATCTAGACTTGCATCCTCTCCTGGCTGCAACAAAGCACCCTACCCATCCCACGCCAGCCAGAATGGTGTTGGACAAAACCAGATGAGATCCAGGAATTTCATTCATGCCTGGCATTAATGAAGCATGCCCTTCCCCCTCAGTAGTGTTGGTGAAAGCTACATGGAAATCTTAGACTCTGACCTCTACCTAGCAGTAACAAGGAACCCCTTCCCAGCATAGGTGTCAATGGTGCCAAATGGGTAACCTGGACTTCCACTCCCATCTGGCACTAAGAAGGCAATGCCCTTTTCCCCTCTGCCAACACAATGTCAAAGAACACTCGCTAAAATAGAAAAGCTTCAGTGAGCAATTATGAAAATGCTTGAAACAAATGAAAGAATAAAAACGTCTCAGCAAAAAAGATATTGAAAAGAACCACATAGAAATTTTAGAATTGAAAAAAATACAATAAACAGAATAAATATTTTAGCAATATGGCTGAAGAACAGAAACAAGAGGATAGAGAAAAGAATCAATGGACTTGAATATAGAAAAATAGAAGGTACCCAATCTGAGCCAGAAAAAGAATATATACTAAGGCAGGGGGAAAGAGCTTCAGGGATCCATGGGACTATTTTTATAAGGTCTAGCATTTGCATGATCAAAAACCAAGAAAAAGAGGAGAAAGAGTATGGGGCTTAAAAAGTATTCAAAGAAACAATGGTTGAAAAATGACAAATTTGACAAAAAGCTACAGATTCGAGTAGCTGAGCAAATTCCAAATCCCAAACTCAAAAGAATCCGTGCTAAGACATATTATAATCACAATTCTGAAACTAAAGGAAGAAATCTTGAAAACATTGAAATGACATTTTACCTATAAGAGGAAAACAATTCAAATGACAATGTGTTTCTCATCAGAAACAACAGAGACTAGAGGTGACAGATTTTTTTCAAGTAATGAAAGAAAAGACCTGTCAACCCCTAATTCTATATCTAGCACAAATATCCTTTAGGAATGCAGGGAAAATCAACATATTGTCAAATAAAGGAAAACAAACAGGATTTATTGCCAACAGACCTACCCTAAAAGAATAACTAAGGAAATTTCTTGAGATGGATAGGAAATGATGATAGAAAGAATCTTCTAGTAGCAGAAAGGAAGAAAGGACAAAAAGAGAAAAAATATGGGTAAATATATGCTACACTTAGCTTCTCAAGTTTTCTAAACTATGATGGTTGATGCAAAAATTATAACATTGTCTAATATACTTCTCGAGATATAGAAAGAAACTATTTAAGATAATTATATTATCAATGTGATAGGGTAAAGTTATCTAAAGGGAGATGAAGTTTCTACACTTTATTCGAACTGATAAAACATCAACTCAAATAGACTTTCCTGAGTTACATGTACAGGATGTAGCACCTAGAGCAACCACTAAAAAATTGATACAAGGAAATACACTTAAAAAACACTATAAGTCAAAATGGAATTATAAAATATTTTCAAGCAATCCACAGGAAAGCAAGGAAGATAAAACAGAGAAAAAAAAGAGATAAACACACAAATAAGCACAGATAGATAAAATGGCAGACTTAGCCTTAATATCTCATACTTATATTAAATGTAAATTGTCTAAATAGACCTATTAAAAAACAGAAACTGGCAGAGTGGATTAAAAATCATGACCCAACTATATGCTATCCATATGAAGTTAACTTCAAATATAAGAATATAAGTAAGTTCAACATACACGGATGAGAAAAATATATACCATGTTACTATGTAACCATCAGTCAAAACAAAGCAGGAGTTGCTATTAATATCAGATAAAGCAGACTTCAGAGCAAAAAGATTATCAGAGACATAAAGGGATATTACATAATGATAAGAGTCAATCTACCAGGAAGACATAGCAATCTTAAATGTACATGCATCAAATAACAGAGCTGCAAAATATGTAAAGCAAAAACTGATAGAACCAAAAGGAGAAAGAGAGAAATCACATTATAGTTGGAAATTTCAACACTCTCTCTCAACAACTGATAGAACAACTAGGCAAAACCACCAAATAAAGAAATAAAAAGTGATAATAAAAAAGAACAACTAGGCAGAAAATCAGCAAGCATTTAGAAGAACACAAAAACAGTGTCAATGAAAAGAATATAATTGAGATTTGTAGAACATTGCCCCAGTGACATCAGACAGCACACATTATCTTTTCAAATGTCCACAAAACATTTATCAAGATAGACCATATCCAGGGCCATAAAGCAAATCTCAACAAAATTAAAATTGAAATCATACAGAGTATATTTTCATACCATAATGGAATCAAACTAGAAATCAATAACAGAAAGACATATGAAAAATCTTCAAACACTTTAAAACTATACAACACAATTATAAGTAATCCATGGGTCAAAAAGAAAGTTCTCAATTTCTCAGAAAATTTTTAAAATACATAGAACTGAATGAAAATGAAACTATCACATAAAATTTGTGAAATGTACCCAAAGCAGTGCTAAGAGGAAAATTCACAGCATTAAATACTTACATAAGAAAAGAAAAGTCTCAAATCAATAATCTAAGTTTCCACCTTTAAAAATTAGAAAAAGATCAAAATAAAACCAAAACAGGCCGGGCAAGGTGCCTCACACCTATAATCCCAGTGATTTGGGAGGCAGAACTGGGACAACTGCTTGAGTCCAGGAGTTTGGGATCAGACTGGGCAACATAGCAAGACTCCATCTCTACAAAGAATAAAGAACATTAGCCAGGTGTGGCAGCATGCACCTGTAGTCCTAGCTACTCAGGAGGATGAGGTGGGAGGATTGCTTCAGTCCAGTAGTTCAAGGTTACTGGGAGCTATAATCATGCACTCCAGCCTGGATGACAGAGCAAACCTTGTCTCTAAAATAAATAAATATAAGAAAACCAAAACAGAAAGAAGGAAGGAAATAGTAAAGAGCAGAAACTAATATAATTGAAACCAGAAACACAGTAGAGAATCAATGAAACAAAGAGTTGATTATTTTAAAAGATTAATAAAATAAACCTCTAGCAAATCTAACAAAGAAAACAAAGACACAAATTATCAATATCATGAATGAAAGAGGGGATATAGATATTTAAAACATTAAATGATAATAAGGGAATACTATAAACAACTCTACAAACAAATTTGTCAACTTAGATATATGAACTACTTCTTTGAAACTTACAAACTGCCACAACTCACTCAAGATGAAATAGATAATTTAAGAAATTGAATTTGTAATTGTAAAACTCACATAAAAGAAATCTCTAGATTCAGATAACTTCCCTCGAGAATTCTAACAAATGTTTTTAAAAGTTTAAACACCAAGTTTACAAAATCTCTTACAAAAAAAAAAGTCAGGGAATACTTCCTAATTTATTTTATGAAACTAATATTAACCTCATACCAAAACCAGATAAAAACAGTATTTTAAAAATTACAGACCAATATTTGTCATGAAGATATATATAAAAATCTTTAACAAAATGTCAACAAATAAAATTCAGCAATATATATTTTTTCTTAACCATGACTAAGTTATTCCAGGGATATAAGGCTGACTCAAAATTTGAAAAGCAATCAGTGTAATTCACCATATCAACAGACTAAGGAGGAAAAATTACATGATCATATTAACTGATGGGAAAAAAAAAGCATTTGACAAGTTCTTTTATGCATAAATGAACATTCTTATCTCTTTTCTGCTGAAGAGGAAACTTACCAATGAAATTGATGCCCCATTCTTTAATATTATAATGCCTTAATTCATGTCACTAAATAACCAACCCCTCTCAAGAAGTATAATAGAAAATATTATATAAGTGTTCCCAAAATACCTGCAATAATACCAAGTTCTTTCTCAAAGCCAAAACTGTGATAATTCTACTTTGGAAATTGTCCAAGTATTTGGATAAGTAAATATCCAAGTATTTCCTTTAATTGCCCAGCTGAGATTTGGTAATGATGATGTGAGAGAGCAAGCTTACTCTTCTCTCGTATATGGAAGAAAGTGACCATGTAGTGTATAAAGGAGGCTCTTTGGGAGAAAGGATTATAGCAGACTTCTCTCATTAAGAACTCTAGCCAGGCCATAGCTAAGTGGAAAGGCAAGACAGAGGATGCACAAGACAAAGTATCACTCCTTGAGCTGGGAATTGTGGCATGGGCCTATAGTCCTAGCTACTCAGGAGGCTGAGGTGGGAGGATCACTTGAGGCCAGGAGTTCAAGGTTACAGAGTGCTAAAATTGTATCTTTGAATCTAGGTTCCTGCACTCCAGCCTGGGCAATGTAGTGAGAGAAAGAAAAAAGAAGAGAAGAGAAGAGGGGAGGGGAAGTGAGGAGAGGGGAGGGGAGGGGAGGGAGGAGGGGAAGGGAGGGAAGGGGAGGGAAGAAAGGAAAGGAAGGAAGGAAGGAGAGAGAGATGGAAAGAAAGAAAAGAAGACAGACAAAGAAAGAAAGAGAAAGAAAGAAAGAAAGAAAGAAAGAAAGAAAGAAAGAAAGAAAAAAGAGGAAGAAAGAAAGAAAAGGAAAGGAAGGAAGGAGAAAGAAGGAAAGAAAGAGAAAGGAAGAAAGAAAGAAAGGAAGGAAGGAAGGAAGGAAGGAAGGAAGGAAGGAAGGAAGGAAGGAAGAAAGAGACAGGGCTAGGCGTGGTGGCTCACGCCTGTAATACCAGCACTCTGGGAGACCAAGGCAGGCAGATCACTTGAGATCAGGAGCTTGAGACCAGCCTGACCAACATGGTGAAACCCCATCTCTACTGAAAATACAAAAATTAGCCAAGTGTGGTGGCATGCACCTGTAGTCCCAGCTACTCAGGAGGCTGAGGCAGGAGAATTGCTTGAATACCGGAGGCAGAGGTTACAGTGAGCCGAGATCTCACCACTGCACTCCAGCCTGGGTGACAGAGCGAGACTCCGTCTCAAAAAAAAAAAAAAAAAATACAGAATGGGAGAAAATATTTGCAAGCCATATAAATGATAAAGAAATTATATTTAGAATATACAAAGACAATTAAGGCATTTACTGTTATGTAAATATGTTTACCCAATAAAATATCTTTAAAAATTATGGCTCAATAATGAGAAGACATGGGCAAAGGATAAACATTATTTGCCAACTGTGTGATGTTATTGAAAAGATATTTCAGTTAAAACCACAGTCTTATATGGTTAAACTAGAAAATAACGATAACACCAAACACTGGCAATGCGGAGAAAATGGATCACTCAGACACTGCTGGCAGGCATGTACAATGGCAGGACCACTCTAGAACAAAGTATGGCAGCTTCTTACAAAGTCAATGTGCCCTTATCATATGACTGGGAGCACCACTAGGCAATAAAAATGAATTAACTATTGATTCATGCAACAACTTGGCTGGATATCGGGAATTACGCTAAGTGAAAAACACCAATCCCAGATTATATACTGGCTGGTTCCATTTAGGTAATACTGGGGGCTTTTCATTTTTGTTTTCTTTTTGTTTTGAGACAGCATTGCTTTGTCACCCAGGGTGGAGTGCAGTGGTGCTGTTATAGTAGGTAGCTGGTCAGGTCTGAGCAGGGCAGGAGAGAGCCCCTCACAACCCCAAACCAGGAATGTTAGGCAACCACCAGGTGATGGTCAAGCAGTTGTTAACTGTCTCTCTAAAATAATAATTGGTTACAGCCAGTGCCAGAGAAAGGCAGTTTCCTGATAAATAGAAAACACCTGAACCTGGTGATCAGTAGCTTCCCAGTAAAATCTCAGGAGTTGAACAAGTAGGCTCACACATGCAGACTAAGAGGCAAGATGGCAGAGTTTAACTGGTGTATGACCTCCTAGGGGCATTCAGCTGGTAAGGGAAGAATGCCTCAGGTGAGCATGCATACAACTCCAGTCAGCACACTGCACATGCTCCTCTCACAAGCGCTAGCAGGCCACTGTGCATGCAGACAGCCCACCCCAAAGAAAGAATCAGGGGAGAAGGAACACAAAACCCCAGAAGTATGCCTGCATACCAAACCCCAACAAACCCTGCACTTTTGTCCTTCAAGTCGCCCACTTGGGCCTCTTCCAAGTGTTCTTTCCTTCCTTTTGTTCCTTCTCTAAAGCTTTTTAATAAACTTTTACTCCTGCTCTAAAATTTGCCCCAGTCTCTTCTTCTGCCTTATGCTCTTCAGTCGAATTCTTTCTTTTGAGGAGGCAAGAACTGAGGTTGCTGCAGACCCACGTGGATTCACCACCAGTAATAGTACAAACATAGATCATTGCAGGCTTGACCTCCTGGGCTCAAGTGATTCTCCCAACTCGGCTCTACAAGTAGCTTGGACTACAGGTGCACACCACCACGCCTGGCTAATTTTTGTATTTTCTGTAGAGATGGGGTTTCAACATGTTGCCCAGGCTGGTCTCAAACCCCTGAGCTCAAGTGATCCACCCACCTTGACCTCCCAAAGTGCCCGGATTAGAGGCGTGAGCCACCATGCCTGGTCAATATTGTTCAAATAACAAAATTATAAGGTTGTAAAGATTAGTGGTTGCCAGGGATTAGGGAAGATGAAGTTCTAAAAAAAGTAATAGGAAGTATTCTTATAATACAACTGTTCTGTAACTTGGTGGTGGTCACACAAGTGTATACATGAGATAAAATTGCATAGAACAAAATGCACACACACTAGCAAGTGTATATAAGACTGATGAAATCTGAACAATGTCAATGGATTGTACCAAACTCAATTTCCTATTGTGATATTGAACTATAGTTATGCAAGTTGTTACCACTGGAGAAATCTTGATGAGGGGTATCTAGAGCCCCTCTGTGTTACTTCTTACAATCACATGTGAATCTATGATTATCTCAAAATATTAAAGCTTACATTTTTAAATTTTAATATGATACTAAACACAAATAAGGCAATAGAAATAAACAATATTTGTAACTTTGTAGTATAGATGAGAGGTTAATCAACTTTTAATTTTGCATATTCTCAATTTTCTGCTATGTGAATGTAACATTTTCATTTGAAATCATTAATGGATTTGATTGAACACAAGATGAGGCCCCACGTGAAGGTCATGTTGGGGTAAGAGCAGGTGACTCCAGCATTCGGGCTGGGACACTAACCCCCTTCCCTGTGAGGCTCATGGCCTTTTCCTTGAGTGCCTTTTATAAACCAAAGAGCCATTCCTCGTGGAATGATGTGATGTCATCAGTGAATCTAGACCAACGCTCTGGAATCTTGGAAGCATTTGGTCCCTAACACTTGGCTACAGCCAGTGCTCTTTCACACTGTCATGGGCTGCACTCTGGGTAAGTGTAAGCTCCGCTTCAAGGGCCTGGAACTCCAGAGAGCCATGAAGGCACTCACTCAGGGTGGCTATCACTCATTCCTGTACTAGACCAAGTCTCGGATCCTGAACTATCTTCTCCCAAGGAGTCTCAGGGGATGGGGAAGGGACCACCTGTGAGTCTCCAGATGAATGATTGGGGATGCAGCAGGAATAAAAACAGTTTTTGAATTTTGGGGGAAGACAGGAGAGGAGGGAATGTGGGCAAAAGAGAGAAGGAAGGAGGGCTGACAGGAGAGCCAACTCCCACAGAGAACCTGGCCATCAGTGGCTGCCTCGAGAGCCTTGAGGAGCCCCAGGGACAATGGGGGAGGAGCAGGAAGAGAGCATCTGCCAGACATGAGGAGGATGCCTCAGACAGGGGTAGGTGTCACCAGCCTTCTTGCAGGGCATCTAGGCACTGCCTCAATCAGCTTCAAGGGCTATTGTAGGCAGGTCTGCGCCACTCTGGTCATATTTTTGGGCCACGCTTGATTGCCCATGAATTTATAGTGGTTCACAGGGATATTTAGACACAGCTGAGAGCACAGAAAATAAGTATGTCAGGTCATCAGTTTGACCCTACTGGAAATGAGACTGAGGCTAAGTGTCACTGTAGCAGGACGAGCTGCAGACAAAACCCCTCAGACACCAGGTTAAAGAAGGGAGCTCAGAAGCCCACAAATGTTAACAAAGTCTTTGAGGTCATTCAAGGAAAAGATGAGAGCTCAGTTCTTGAGACACAAGTCGGCCAACGCTCCCAGCCGAATAAAGCCTCTTCCTTCTTTAACCCGGTGTCTGAGGGGTTTTGTCTGCGGCTTGTCCTGCTACATTTCTTGGTTCCCTGATCCAGAAGTGAGGTGATTAATGGACAGCTGAGGGAGCCCCTTAGGCAGCTTTGGCCTGCCCTGCGGAGCATCCCTGTGGGGGACTCCAGCCAGCTTGAGCAATGCAGATCCTGAGAGCACTGCCGGGTAGGCATTTGCCCTGGTGGAACGCCTCATCACAGCAGTGCACGGCAGGGCCCCATGGAGGATCAATGCAGCAGCTGAACACCGGGAAGGAACTGGCACTTGGAGTCTGGACATCTGGAATACAGTAGGACCAGTCCTGGGAATTTGCCCGCTCCATTTGAGTGGAAGCGTCGCCTGATCACCCACAATGTGCCCTTATCAGCACTTTGATCTCAGTATTGATTTTGATTTGACTTGACTTGATTGCAATTGGCACTTTGATCTCAGTATTGATTTTGATTTGGCTTAACTTGTTTGCAAAAAGGAAAGTGAAAGTGAATGAGTGCTTGAGTTTGAGACAGGCAAGATGAGTGAGTGACCCCTTTAGACTTTCCTTCTTGTGGTGTGAGTGTTGTTTTGTCTCAGGAGGAAGATGGGTGGAACGCAAAGTAAGCCCACTCCACTAGGAACTATGTTGAAAAATTTCAAGAAAGGATTTAATGGGGACTATGGAGTTACTATGACACCAGGAAAACTTAGAACTTTGTGTGAGATAGACTGGCCAGCATTAGAAGTAGGTTGGCCATCAGAAGGAAGCCTAGACTGGCCCCTTGTTTCAAAGGTATGGCACAAGGTAACTGGTAAGCCAGGACACCCAGACCAGTTTCCGTACATAGACACTTGGTTACAGCTGGTTTTAGACCCCCTACAGTCGTTAAGAGGACAGGCAGCAGCAGTACTAGTAGCAAAGGGACAGACAGCCAAAGAAGAATCCTGCTCCACCCGCTGAGGGGAGTCAGCTCCTGAAGTCCTGTCCGACCCAACATCAGAAGATTCATGGCAAGAAACGGCACCAGTGGCCCCCCGTTTCACCAAGAATGAAGGCCTCCCACTCCTGAGGCCACTGTGCCTGAGCTTCCCAAGGCCTACATACCCCTAGGCCACCCAGGGTAGAAAAGACAGGATGTGAGACCTCAGGAGAAACCCCTCCCTTGGCAGCCCATTTGAGGCCTAGAACTGGGATACAAATGCCCATGAGAAAGCAACAGTATACTGGGGTAGATGAGGATGGGCATATGGTGGAAAGGCATGCCTTTGTGTACAAACCCTTCACCTCTGTCGATCTCCTCAATTGGAAAAACAATACCCCATCCTATACTGAAAAACAATACCCCATCCTATACTGAAAAGCCTCAAGCTATAATTGGTTTGCTCCAAACTATTATCCAGACCCACAACCCCACCTGAGCTGATTGCCACCAGTTGCTCATGTACCTCTTTAACACAGATGAAAGGAGAGTGCTCCAAGCAGCAACTAAGTGGCTGGAAGAACATGTTCCAGCTGATTACCAAAACCCCCAAGAGTATGTGAGGATCCAATTACCAGGAACAGACCCCCAGTGGGACCCAAATGAAAGACAGGGTATGCAAAGGCTAAACCGATACAGGGAAGCCCTTCTGGAAGGGTTAAAGAAGGGAGCTCAGAAGGCCACAAATGTTAACAAAGTCTCTCAGGTCATTCAAGGAAAAGATGAGAGCTCAGTTCTTGAGACACAAGTCTGCGGACGCTCCCGGCCAACTGAGACCTGGGAGGCGAGACCAAGCCCGGACAACACCTGCATAGTGACTCTGAAGAAGACGACAAGCCCTGCTCCAGTCACACTTGGAAGCTGACTGGTCCATGCACAGCTGAAGCATGAGGATAGTTAGAGACATGACAAAGCTGGCACATGTGCCCATGCAGGTTTGGCATAGGCTTGATCCTGGATTCCCGTTTGGAAAATGGTTTCCAGCTCTAGGAGGATTTAAAACTCTTATAATACGAATAATAATAGTATTAGGAACCTGCATGTTACTCCCCTGTACATTACCCATATTTCTCCAGTCACTAAGAGGCTCCGTTACCACCTTAGTTCATCAAAAGACCTCAGCTGTCTCTCAGGAAGACCTGGATAGTGAAGATGAAAGTGAGAACTCCCACTAGTGAGTGAGGTTCTCAAAGGGGGGAATGAGGAGAGAGGCCATTTCTCTTACTGTCTCCTGTCTCTGAAGAGAAGGAGGAAGTAAAAGCTGAAAAAGATTAACCCCGCACTCTAACCACATGTGCTATCTATAGATCTTAATCTATCATGACCCTTTCACGTGGACCCCTTAGAGTTGTAAGCCCTTAAAAGGGCCAGGAACTCTTTCTTCAGAGAGCTCGGTTCTTGAGACGCAAGTCTGCCAATGCTCCCAGCTGAATAGAGCCTCTTCCTTCTTTAACCCAGTGTCTGAGGGGATGCCTCTTTTCTTGTAGCTCCCGCCCATCCCCGCCTTCCCCCTCCCACAACAAAGAAGCAGTGAACTTAAATCAACAAGCAAAAAACAACTCCATTAAAAAGTGGGCAAAGGACACGCACAGACACTTCTAAAAGAAGACATACAAGCAGTCAACAAACACGAAAATATTCTCAATATCACTAATCACTAATCATCAGAGAAATACAAACCAAAACCACAATGAAAGACCATCTCACCCCAGTTAGAATGGCTATTGTTTTTTAAAAAAACAATGACACATGCTGGGAAGGCTGCAGAGAAAAGGGATCACTTACACACTGCTGGTGAGAGTGTCAATTAGTTCAGCCACTGTGGAAAGCAGTGTGGAGATTTCTCAGAGAACGTAAAAGAGAACTGCCATGTGACCCAGCAATCCCATTACTGAGTATATCTATCTAACAGAAAATAAACTGTTCTATCAAAAAGACACGTGCACTCACGTGTTCATCCCAGCACTATTCACAATAGCAGAGACATGGAATCAACCCAGGGGCTCACCACCAGTGGATTGGATAAACAATCACCAGCCTGATGAGCAGCAGGGCAGGTTTTCATTTCCTCAGTCCAGGCTTTCTCTGAACTTATGTAAGGTTGTACTGAAAGCATAGTGAGACCCACTGCTGCAGCTTTGAGATTGGTGCCACCCAGGTGAGTTTGTTCAGGGGTTAGGAAATTGCAAAGAAATTCTGGCATTTTAGAGAACAACTGAGGATTTGAGAATGGAAAAGTGAACAGCACTGGGAGCTCAGAGGAGGTAACCAGAGGGCTAGAAATTCTAGAAGCAAAGCCTAGTCCCTGAGTGGCAGTGGGTGGTTTTGGTGGGACTCGAGGATGGGGACGACTTTACATCTGAGCATTGCATCCCTCAAGGGGTCATGGATTTTGCTCAGAGATCCAAACAGGAAAATGAAGGAAGCAGAGGACAGAGAAGCTCCTGTAAACTTCCAGAAACTCAGGAGTGGTGACACCTGCCACAGCTGGTATTAGCTTCCTGCAGTCAGGAGTATGCCATCTGCCCTGTGTCTGCTGTAGCCAGTGCAGGAGAGTAAAGGCTTCACCTCCTCCTCTATCCTCCAGGCCCTGCATGGGCATCTCCCACTGGAAGACTCTCATCTGACACTACATAGGGAAAACAGCTGGAAGCTAAGGAAAGACAAAAGGAGGCACTGAAGACGCCAAGCTGACTGACATTCAGCCCACACATGGGGCACAGTGAGATGAACCACAAATGAATTAGTGCAACAGAGCGGGGAGTTTGGAGGGAAGTGACACTGGAGACAGCACCTACACCCTGCTCTGTGGATTTGCAGAAATTTGCACAGAACATGGAGTGAGAAAGGTTTGACCTCATCTTCTCTAGATCCAACGGGGCAGGCAGATGGCAGCTAGGGATGCTAACCATGATGGATTTGCTAACGCATCTTCCTTCAACTTTAGAGTTGCATACATTTACCCACATTTCCAGCTGATGAAACTGCCCTAATTTCTGAATTGGTACAGTAAGCAGCACTTACAATATTCTTATTTTTTGAGATGGAGTCTTGCTCTGTCACCCAGGCTGAAGTGCAATGGCACGATCTCGGCTCACTGCAATCTCTGCCTCCCTGGTTCAAGTGATTCTCCTGCCTTAGCCTCCCGAGTAGCTGGGATTACAGGCATGTGCCACCACACCTGGCTAATTTATATATATATATACACACACACACACACACACACACACATATATATATATGTATATATATATACGTGTATATATATATATATATATATATATTTTTTTTTTTTTTTTTTTTTTTTTTAGTAGAGACGGGGTTTTGCCATGTTGGCCAGGCTGGTCCCAAACTCCTGAACTCAGGTGATCCGCCCACCTTGGCCTTCCAAAGTGCTGGGATTACAGGCGTGAGCCACCACGCCTGGTCTAAAATATTCTTGATATGCACAAAAACGAACGTAAGACAAATGAAAGAAACACGAGTGGCACCAACTAGCTTCCAACCTCCATCCTTATGTTAAGCTCCCCTAATGAGCTAGTGTGCCTGAGTTCTTAAAGCACATGGCCTACAGCATCACAAGGAAGAGTGCCTGAGTGTGACAGATCCCTTAACTACAGAGACAAGGCAAGCACTGAGAATTAAGACTTTCCAGTTATTTATATATTTTATTGAATTTAGTATAAAAATTTTATTTTAGGCTGGGTGCAGTGGCTCATACCTGTAATCCTAGCACTTTGGGAGGCCAAGGCAGGAGAATCACCTGAGGCCAGGAGTCTGAGACCAGACGGCACCATAGCAATACTTCATCTCTACAAAAATTTTAAAAATTTAGCTGGGTGTGGTGGTATGCACCTGTAGTCCCATTTACTCAGGAGGCTGAGGCAGGAGGATCGCTTGAACCCAGAAAGTTGAGCCTGCAGTGAGCTGGAGTGAGCTATGGTCATGTCACTGACACCAGCCTGGGCAACAGAGGGAGACTCTGCTTCAATCAATCAATAACTTATTTTAAGATTTCATGTAATAATGTACCATATGAAATAGGAATAAATCTTTTTAGCTATGAGAAAAAAATGTAGATTAAGGTGGTTGTTATAATGTGACCAAGAAAGCAACACATAGATTAATTCAGTTAATCAAATTCCAATTACACAAAGCCTTTGCTTTTCCAAAGGTGTAAAGAAGAGTTAGTATGTCTGCTTCTCAAATGTGTTCATAAACTCTTCCTGGTGCCAAGTCCTTTTAACTTACATTTAATCACTGCTTTCTCCTAAGAGTCTGCTGGACTGGGAATGCAGGCAGTACTGGACCCGGTTCAGGGTGGAGTATAGGAAGTGTGGTTGAAAGTCAGCTTCATTAGGGTTGTGATGGGTGCTTTGGGGCAGTCAACCTCCCTCCCTGAGCCACAGGGATCTCACTGTAGGAGGGGCAGGACCGGTGCCATCTAAGGGATCTGTCAGCACCAACATTTGATGCAGGTGTCTGATCAGTGGGTCTCCTTGCCTGAAGCCTGAAGGTCCTGACTGCCCCAAGCAGCCCCTACTGCCCATTCCAGCTTCCCTTTCACCCAAAGACATAAGATAGAGGATGTTGGGCAGGCAAGTCCATCCTTATCCACAGGTAAGAGTTAAGGACACAGCTGTAGAGGCTTTTTATTTAAATTTTTTTTCTGCAGCTTGTGACGTAATGAGAAGCAACCAATCTATTTCAGAGAGGGGGGAACCCGGGCAGCCCTTGGAAGCAGGAAAAGGCCACCACTTGGGAACCTTTGTACACTAGCGTGGATATCTGTGGGGTGCTCGTGGGCGCTGAGAGGCAGCCAGCCCAGTTACACCGTCCAGAGTGGCCACCTCTCCCACCTCACCTCTGCTTCTTTCCCCTGGTGGCTGGAGGTAGCATGCGCTAAGGATACAGAGGGGATCAGATTCTGTGTCCTCCCCCACAGCTTAATTGGGGTGATCCTCACACAGTGAGACATTCCCCCCCAATTTGATCAGCATGAGGATGGGAGACCACAGAAGAGAGGCCTTCAACCCCACATGCGGGAGGCAACGAAGTCTTCCTGGTTTGGATTTTCACATGCTCTGGCTTCTACTCCAAATCCTGGCCCACACTCTGACCCATCTGCCCACAGGCACCCTGGCCTCCCATCAAGTGGGTGTGCACAGATCATCAGGCTGAGAGATGAAAGACCCCCACCTTATTGCTTCCTCTGGGATGTCAGGAGACCCCCTGAGCTGAGACATGCCCCTTACCATGAGCTGTGGAGTCAGCTAGTTACTAGACAAAGGGTGAGAAAATGGCCTTATTCAAGGAAGACTGGGCGGCACACGGCGAGGTTCTGTAGGGTTTCAACCTGAGTCTCCTGCTAGGTCCTTCAGAAGACCTGCAAGGGAGGAACGCAGATGTCAGCGTCTACTGGGGAAAGAACCACCACTCTGAGTGTATGTGTAAATTGTATGGTTTCTTTAATTATGTCTATGGAAGCGATGATACCTATTTCTATCTATCTAAGTAGAAAAGATGGGCATAGGGAATTAGTAAGTTAGGAACCATGATGTAACTGGCATAAGATCCTCACCAGCGTCTGCCTCTCCTCCCAGTCCTGGGCACATGAGGTAGAGCAGTGTGACTACTTCGGGCCAACAGGCTTTAACAGGAAATGATGTGTGCTATTTTGGGGCCAAAACACTTAACAGCCAAATGTTTTTCTGCAGCACTTCCCTTTGAGCCACGGCTCTAAGGAGGCTGCAGGTTCTGGATGGTGAGAGCCATACCCTCAGGATTTTTTGAGGCCCCAAAAATAGCTGCAATTGATTTATTTGATGATCCAGCAGGCCTACTCAAGGGCTGACTTCCCAGCCTCCCCTTTGCTCCCTGCTAGCTAATCAGACGGCCTAAAAATGCTGCTTCCAGACTATCTGCAGTCTTTCTGTCCTCTCTCTTTTAAAGCTGATATTTGCTTTCATCGACAATGTTCTAAAAGCTGTTCTCCCTTAGGTATGAGTTAATATGTGTGCAAACAACTAATGTCTCTCCAGTCATTCTTTATTCAGGAAAAGCACACAATCGTAAACAACGGAGAGTGAAGACAGTAACAACTGGTTTGATATTGAATTTTTAAAATCTTGATTCAAATGGAATTTTCATAATCTACCACTTAAAATTTATTTTTAATTAGAAGAAAACTATGTAACTGTGAAGAGAAGCACATTTCAGCCTCTCAGTCAGCCCCATCGTGCCTCTGCTTCACATCCAGGAAGAAGCGAGTCCTCGGGGCAGCCACGCAAATGCAAGGACAGAGAGTCCAGAGAATACCACTTGGCCTCCAGGTGCATGCCTTCCAAGTCTACTCTGCAGACGCAAATGTCATGTGGGTTTTTGCCAAAATCTCAATGGAAACATTTCTATTTGCTTTAATTTATTTTTAAAGTCAAACACCACAGTTCAGGATGTGGAAGAAATATGAAGTCAGTGGATGAAGGTCTTGCTTCTACCAGCTTATGATCCCACTGGCCATCCAGGAAGCACAGGACACATATCAGCATCTGAACAGCAGGGAGCATTCTTCCTCCTGTGTTGGCAACTCGAAGCTGGAGGTGCCTTTATATGAACATTTTTCATCATCATCTAGTCCAGAAATCCCTCCTTTTATAGACATACATTCTGTAAATCTTAGGTAAATATGGATTGTCTTGTTTTTAAATACAATTTCTAAAGAGCCCTCTGTAGTAATTTCTTATTTTATCTATTTAGAGCAGGCTTCACGTATTAGTCTGCCTGGGCTGCCATAACAAAATACCACAGACTGGGTGGTTTCAACGACGGAAATGTATTTTCTTGCAATTCTGGAGGCTGGAGGTCCACGATGAAGGTGCTAGCCAAGTCTGTTCCTGATAAGGGCTCTTCTTGGCTTGCAGACGGCCGACTCCTCACTGTCTTCACATGGCAGAGAGAGAAAGAAAAATCTCTCTTCCTCTGCTTAGGAGGCCACCAATTCTACTGAATTAAGGCCCCACCCTTATGATGACCTCACTTAACCTTAGTAATCTCCTATATGCCCTATTGCCTAATACAGTCACACAGGGATTAGGGCCTCAATATATAATTCTGGGAGGACACAATTCAGTCCACAGTACTTCATGTTGAGCAACTGAGGGCAAAAATCTCCTTCTCCTGTTTAAGGTGATCACATCATAAGAGTGTCTGGCATTGTCACCAGAAGTACAAACTTATTTTAGACAGGACAACTGTGACATCTGAGGAAATGCTAAAGCGCTCTTTTGCCACAGAAAGTAAAACTTTATGACATAGCTTCTTTTAAAACTTGGCATTTTTGGGCATAGTCACTTCACCTATACCACCACAGTTCAAAGACTTTAAAAATCAATATTCACTCCAGCAACCCCTGCTCTATTCTCTAAGTCCAAAACTAAAGCAATCATCAAGAGTTTTGGAAACAAACCAAAAACTTTATTTACAAAAGTAAATTTTAACTTGCTTTTATATGTCATATACCGTTAATGATGACAGCAACAGATTTAAAATACATTGAGGTTTGTGCAGCTCATTTCCCCCTAGTTATACCATAAAACTTTATAAACATTGCTTTAGCTTTGATGTTTGGTCACGTTTGTTGTGCAGAAGTCACGTTTCAGGGTAGGTTCACCGCCAGACACGGTCACATCACCATTGGCTGTGGATTTCCAAGAAGCAAAGGAGCCAATCTCAGCAAAGCTCGCACTGGCATTTTTAGCTGCTTAAATTTGAAGAGCAGTTCAGCAAAGCTTGTGCTCCCTAAAATGGAAATGGGGTGGGAAGGTCACATCTCTAAATAAATTCAGCCATACCTCTCCTTTCAAGGAAGCTTCAGAAACACAATCATGTTTAAAACAGGCATTTTTCCCTTTGAAAATGACTATGCAAAGACAATATTTAAAATTATGAAATTCCTTAATACACTGTAATGTAAATTGAGTATCCCTTTTCCAAAATGCTTCTGAAGAGAGGTGTTTTGGATTCTGGATTTTTTTAGATTTTGGAATATCTGCATTACACCTACTGGCTTTCTTTTTTTTTTTTTTTTTTTGGAGACGAAGTCTCACTTTGCCACCGGGGCTGGAGTGCAGTGGCGCTCTCTCGGCTCACTGCAAACTCCACCTCCTGGGTTCACCCATTCTCCTGCCTCAGCCCCCCGAGTAGCTGGGACTACAGGTGCCCACCACCACGCCCAGCTAATTTTTTTTGTATTTTTAGTAGAGATGGGGTTTCAACGTGTTAGCCAGGATGGTCTCGATCTCCTGACCTCGTGATCCGCCCGCCTCGGCCTCCCAAAGTGCTGGGATTACAGGCGTGAGCCACTGCGCCCAGCCTCGGCTGAGCATTCTTAATCCAAAAATCCCAAATCCAAAATGCTGTAATGAACATTTCCTCTGAGCATCATGTTGGTGCTCAAAACGTTTTCGATTTCAAACACTTCAGATTTCAGATTAAGGATACTCAAACCTGTATATGATTTGATAGAATTTACCCATTCTAGACTTCAGAAAGTGACCTATAACTACATGTGAAACTACTAATATTGTTTAATTTTATATATATATATATATATATATATATAAATTCTTTAAATATAATGTGCAAAAGTGCCTGTCTACCTTCAAATACTATCTAAGTGGTATTTTACTGGTTCTAATACAGTTGACCATTGAACAACCCTGTTTGTCCAGCCTGGCCTGAAAAGAAGTCTATACTTTTAAAATGTCTTCCTTTTCCTTTTAGTAGTTTGACTATTAATGTGACTAGGTATGGTTTTCTTTGTATTTATCCTGCTTAGGGTTCACTGTGGGTTAATATTTAACACAATTTTTCAAAATTCTTAGCTTCTGTCTCTTCAAATATTGCTTCTAACTCATTTTTTCTCTCCTCTTATTCTCTTATTCCAACCCCATGCATGTTTATTTTTTTTTCACGGTTTCCACATGTCTCTTGTACTCTTCTCTGTATTTCCTAACCATTCTTCCCTCTGTGCTTCAGTTTGTTTACTTTCTACTTGTCTTCCAGCAGATAAGTGTCTTCCAGTTCACTTCAAATAATCCAGTACTGAGATCTTCATTTCAGTTACTATATTTTTCAGTTCTAGAATTTCCATTTAACTCTTTTTTATTGACCCCAGGTTTCTGGTGAAATTCCCTATCATTCCTTCTATTTTCCTGGAAACATTAGACATAGTTATTTTAAGTTCCAGTATGATAACTCCAATATCTGAATCACACATAAGTCTGTTTCTATTATCTGTTTTTTTATTATTATTATGTTTCGTAATTTTTGATTCAACACTGAATCCTGTAGACTAAAAATTGCGGGGGCTCTGGGTATGTTTTCTTTCTCCTATGAAGGTTACATTTTCTTCTGTCAGGTGGGGAGAAAGCACACAGATCACCTTAGTTCTGCTCTAGGCTAATTGTAGGTCAAGTCTGCTTGGAGTGAAACTGAAGCAGACCAGATCTAAAATTAGGCTAGAGCAGGCTTAGGGCTTGGCCATGTATTAATTCACCTGAGGAGCTGGGATGCTGATCAGAGCCACTTCACTTTAACAAGCGTTGAATTCCACCCTTTGTCTCCTCAGTCCTATGCTGCTGCTGACATTTTTGCTTACATTTTTGGCCTTGTGGCTTCTGCTAGATCTCTTGAAGTCTTATCCCATGTATATGAAGGCTAAAATATCATTAAGTAACTCAAGGGAAAGGTATATCCAGAGTCTGAGTTATGATTTCTATTGTTCTCTCCTGCCTGAGACTGTGTTCCTCAAGTTCTAGGCTCTTGGGCAATCACAAACCCAACCTCTGGCTCCTCAGCCCTGCAGCATTGCTGCTTTTTGCTGGCACTCTACTTCTTGTACTATGAACTGGCAAATGCCTTTGGGGGAGAAGCTAGGGTGAATATAAAGCTCTCCCTGTTGTACTTCCCTTTTCTTATTTTTTTTTTTTAGCTTTTATATTTGTTTTTGAGGGCAAGTGAGTCCAATACAAGCAATTCCATCATGGCCATAACCAGAAGTCTCTAGATAGTAAACTTTTATCAGAGGCTTGCAAAACAGCAAAAAACTAGTAATGTAATTAAACTTCAAGTTTAAATGATTAAATGGAACAATCTTTGCCCTTATCAAAAAATATTTTTTTTGAGAATCTCAAAAAAATTGGGTGCTTAGAATTCATCATATCTTAGTATTCAGCTTAATGGATAAATTTTTTTTATCTGTTTCTATATTCTGAAAAATACAATCAGGTGATAATACTATTAATTTTTAAAACTATTATAAAAAAATTCAAACACAAAATTAGGTATTTATTAGTTGTAAAGCTTTGTAATATTAGAAATTAAGATTATATGTGATTCTAAAAAACCCAACTGAAAACCTAGAAAATAAAGAAAAATAGCTTTAATAAAAAAATCAATTAGTAAAGAATAATATGGAATATTTAGTTTATTAGTATAGATCAGTGTTTGGGGCTCTGTGAAGAAGAATCCATCCTTTTCTGAATAAAAATGAAAGTTATTCATATATAAAGTTGATAATTTTTTCTTTTTTGCTCCAAAACAGTCCCTAACAATGACACTGCAACATTAATGAAGAGGAAAGTCAAACTAGGGGCAGTAACTACTGAGAAACTAGAACATAAAGGGGTAGGTAACAGAGTTACTGAAGATAAGACTTAGATATGCAATTACCTTCTAGTCCTATAGGTGGCAGGTGCTGTGGAGCTGGCACAGAGTGGTAGACGAGGAAGCAGGCCAGCATGCTCAGCTGTGATTCCTCCAAGGGCTGCCCGCTGAGGTAGGCGTGCACACACATATCACCCCCGACTGTGAGAGAAACAAATGGAACGGAACCAACTGATGACAGAACTGAGAGGCACAAGAAATATCTTCTATTACTTTTTCATCAAGAACTTATTGAACGCTCAGCATATATAAAGCAGGTTCTATAGCCGGTATTGAGGCTACTCTGACAAGCTAGACTGAGTCCCTGTCATTGTAGAGTTTAGAGTGTTGTTGGGGGAGACAGATATTACACAAATAATGACACAAACAAATGCATAATTACAAATTGTGAGGAGTGCTATAAAGGTGCAGTGGTCACTGTGGTTGTCTCCCCGAAATACCCCTTGTCACACCCTACCCTCCACCATATATTATATTTGATGGGACTGACTTCAGCTCCAGAACTAGATCCTTACTAGTCTTGGCCAGGGGTCCTCAAACTTTAACATGTGCCAGAATCACCTGGAAGGCTTGTTAAACCACAGATGAGTGGGCCCCACTCCATGCACAGAGCACAGAGATTCTTATTCAGTAGGTCTGGGGTGGGGCCAGAAAAACTCCATTTCTAACAAGTGCCCAGGTCATGCTGCTCCATAAACCACACTTTGAGAATCACTGATCTTGGGTGATCAAGGCAATCCCATTCTCCTGATGCAGTGTTAGTTCAGAGACAGGCAGACCCAGGCCATTTTTTCAATAAGAGACATTCTCTGCCACAGGGATAGATTGAGAGGTGTGCATGAGATGCAACTCGAGCCAGAAACCTGAGGAGGTACTTAATGACAAGCTTGCTGGAGGCTCCAGGGAAAGAAATTCCCTCATTCTCATCACAAAACTCCTAGAAGCAACTCTATTCTTCCTCTGAGTATCATGCTGAGCTAGAGGTGAACATGTTACAGCCATTTGATTACCATCCGAAAAATGCACTGAGGATAAAGTCATGGCACAGAATGTAGCTGATGGAACCTCAGAGAAATGGAGTTGAAGACACTGGAAAAAGATGACCCTTTACGTGCCTTACCTGCAGACCTCTAATAACATAGGCATACTTGTGTCCTTACTGTTTAAAGGCAGGTTAAGTCAGGCCTTCTTTTACTTGCAAACAAAGGCATTTTGATACAGAAAAAAGGTAGAGAGCATGAGCGGGCAGGCTAAAGATGTCAGGAAAGCTGCCTGAGGGAGAGTGGTCTTGGAAGGCCTGGGAGGAAATGCCATTAAAACTGAGGCTGCATGGATAAATATGAGTTGGGCAGGTGAAGAATGAGAGGAAAAGGTTCTAGGGAGGGAAAACAGCATATTCAATGGCCCCACAGTGAAAAGGAGCTCAGTGTTTTTGAGTAAGTGGAAGGGGCCAGGGTGGTGTGGGGAGCAAGTGGTGTAAAAGAGGCTTTGTTGAGGAAAACAGGCGCCTTGCAGGTCACACAGGTCCTGGTGCCACACAGTAGGGATTTCTTTCACAGCTGAATCAGGAGCCATTGAAAAGCTTTAAGCAGGAGTGTTACATCAGTTTATTCTTTAAAAGACTGTTCTGTCAGTTAAATTGAGATGGTTGGAATGGAGATGAGAAAAAGCAAGGAGGCTATTTAGGAGGCTATAACAGTGGTCCAGGCACAAAATCATCATTCTGTTCTAGGTAGAAATAGTAAAATGTGGACAAATTCAAGAAATATCTATGATGAGGATTGAAAGGCATCAGCAATGGGTCAGCTATTGCAGAGAAGGGAAGGAGGGAAAGGAGCAAGGATGACTTCCAAAAGGGTCAACAAAGGAGTGACAGTGAAATGGTGACAAATACTGAGAATTTTTAAAGAGGATTTTTTTTAAAAATTGGGAAAGTGTGCTATGACAAAGTCAAGGGAGGCTCATTTCAAGAAGGAAAATGTAGCTAAAAGCCTCACCATTGTAGAGATGGAGTGAGATGAAAACTGTAGACTCCACTGAACACAGTTGTGAGGATGTCAGTCTACTGGGAGGTGGAAACATTTAGGTTTGGGGGAGGCAGCAGAGGGAGAAAGGTTAAGGGAGAACAGATGAGATTCTTCTTTGAACAGCTCATCATGAAGGAGAGCATGGTGGTTCAGCCTCTCTTCAATGACTTTCTCATGTCTACCAGCATTTTGTTTCACTGATTTTCTCTATTGCTTATCTGTTTTTGGTTTCATTGGTTTCTGCTTTTATTTGCTTGCTTTGGGTTTACTTTGCTTTCCTACTGCACTTGACAAGTCTTAAAAAAAAAAAAAAAAAAAAAGGACAATGCCAAAAATTGCATTGCAATCCACTGCTGGTGGGAAAGTAAAATGGCACAATTTGGAAAATTGAGTGTGGCAATGGGTGAAGGTACAAATGACGCAAAAATAGGAGAATGCTGGCAACTATTAAAATTGGTGTTGTGGTTTATTACACTAGTCTACTTACTTTGTATATTCTTTAAATTTCCATAACAAAATATGAAAAAGTTAATAAAACTTTTTAAAGTTCTTAAACTTGAAACCCGCTTTCTTTGCCCAAAATTATAATTTGAGGAGATAAATACTGTACAAAACATTTATATAGGCCAGGCGCCATGGCTCATGCCTGTAATCCCAGCACTTTGGGAGGCCAAGGCACGTAGATCATGAGGTCAGGAGTTCGAGATCAGACTGAACAACATGGTGAAACCCCGTCTCTACTAAAAGTACAAAAATTAGCTGGGTGTGGTGGCGTGCACCTGTAATCCCAGCTACTCAGGAGGCTGAGGCAGGACACTCGCTTGAACCCAGGAGGTGGAGGTTGCAGTGAGCTGAGATCGCGCCACTGCACTCCACCCTGGCGACAGAGCGAGACTCTGTCTCAAAGAAAGAAAAAACAAAACCGACATTTATATAATATAAATTGGCTGCATTTTCAGATTAGTGTAGTGATTTAATGGGTTATCTCAGATCTAATGAGTTGTCAGTGAGTGATCCTGAAAGTCCACATATGCATCTGTGATTTTTACACACAAATATGAATGCAATTTCCAATTTTCAGTTAATTTATTGTTCTCTACCCCAAAGCCAACTGCTAGTGCTTGTAAGAGAGGAGACTATATATTTAAGAGGTTTTGTTTTAAAAAAAATTCTAGTTTTTCACTAAAAAATAAACACATTTTTGATAAATCTGTGTGGCAAGTCAAATTCAATGGAGGCTGACAGCAATGCTGGAAACCACCAAATGCGCTAAAGAGCAACAAGGCAATCAGGGCCCTGTTTTAGAGAATGTTCTAATCACTGCCAAAGTTCCATACATTATATGAAATGTGCAAATCAGGGAATCTGCAAAGATTTAAGGAAGTATTTATTATCAATAGCAAAGGTCTGCCATAGGTGATCAAATGTTAAATTGAATAAAAACGAAACACGAAAACCTTTGAAATAACATGTTTTTCCCCAAAAATGAGGATAAAAATGACTATCCAAAAAATTATGAAGCTATATGATCTTTGAATCTGAACAGGAAATGACAAATACAATGCAGCTTTTAAATATAAACATGGAGAGTCTGAAATCAGGCTTTCCAAGTATATCCCTCACAACTTGGTTTACAATTTAATTTTTTTCAGAAATTTATTTCCTAGTGTTACAGGTGGATAGTTTTAAACTCAATTATATTCAAACGCTTAGGGTCTATTGATTACTAATAGTTTTCACTAATCAAAGCAAGAATTGTTTCTACTACTATTACTAAGGTTAGTATTAACCCAAAGCAAGCAACTGTCAGATATTTACTGGGAGCATTTGAATGAACTAAAAAGAATGAAAAGATCAAGGAGTCTACTCCTGAAAATCAGTTTCAGGTGTATTTAACACACAGATACATTTCCATAAATCTAAAGGCCCCATCGCTTGCCTCATGTAAGTCAGAATCACTTCTACACTGTTAACGAGTAACTACAATTTCCTTGCAATCACAAATCCTGCTGATAGAAAGCCACCACTGTGACATCACATAGCTGTGCGGTCCCAGGTTTTCAAAACTGAGTTGGTACAACAAGCTCACTCAGCAAGCACACGTCAACTTCTACATGTACATGTGGTGCCAGTACAAAAACAGGATGGCTGCTGGCCTCAGGAAGGCAACAGGCCACACCCCTAGGAAACAGGAGACAGAGGCACTGGAAAGGAAATGTGACCTGATGCTAGGGAAGAGAGAACAAGGTCCTGAGCACCAAGTGGTATTTAAAATGCTATAAATATTATCTGCCTGGGTCAGATGTATTTTACTAAAGAAGCTAAAGTAGATAATCAAAGTCTAATTCATCTAGCTGGAAACGTTAAATCTATAGCCATTCTTGCTTATACTCAGATTTATCTTGCTTACCAATGAAAAAACAAAGTTACAACAGAAAAGCCTGAACCGAATGTATCTCAAAAGCACAAGAGCGCTATGCTACAATGCTACTATTACCTTGTAGCCACTGGTCCAGGGTATTATCAATGGTGCACTTCACAACAGGGAGGAATTCCGAGTTCATAAAGAGCCCCCGCTTAGGGTGGTTCTGCAGCCGCTCCTGATGGCTTCGGGAGCTGAAAAACTCTAACACCAACTTTATCTGCCAAAGTTCAGAAGTCTCAGACATTTCTCTTCTCCCAAGTCTTCTTATAGCCTTGAAGAGGAAAGAGGACAACAATCTATTTAATCAAAGAGTGCTCTGTCTCTTCATCAGAGTTGTAGACTGAGTATTTTTTAAATGTGGCTCCGAATTATAAAGGGTCGGGGGGTGGTCCATTCTGTGTTTTGATGCAGTCTGCCCACAGAGGAGCCGTCACTGGGTACAGGTGCATGGCTCACCTCCTTCAATATGGCCCTACATGAGCAGCTTGCAGGGAAAAGTAACAAAGGTGAATGAGCTCATTCTTGGCTCAACAGCTCCGAATAACCAAGACCCAAAAGGTCATAGCCAGTCACCTCTGGGAAACTCGAGCTGGGTACAATGACATGGCAGAGATCCCAGGGGGTAGAGGGCAAGAAGAACACTACTAATAATACTGCCCTTGAGATCCATCTGCAAGTCACTACAGCTGCAACCAGAGAAGATATTCATGCATAAAGACCTGCCACCCATGACTGTAAAGGTGTGAGGGTTCAGAGAGTAAAAAGACACATTCTCAGCCAGCAACATTCTCATCCAGCAAATAACACAACTTGTTATTTGGCTGCTATACAAAGAGGCACTGTGAGAAGCAGTGCCAGCGTGGATACCATATATCCATACTTTCCAACCAAAAAAGGGTGGATTCCAGACAATAATGGCATTCTGGGCCTACTTAGTTATATTGGAACTTGGTTTTTAATGATGTTACTTAACACTGTGTGTTTTCTGGTTTGGGGGAATTATCCTCTGACTAAATATATTTTTCCATTCAGCTTTTTAGCAAATTATTTTTATCATTAAAGGTTATTTCTCTTAGACACTGAGTCTCAGATGCTCAGCTGTGAACTTACTATATTCACTTAAAGAGCTGTTTAAAACTAGATTCTGGATCTCACCCCAGAAATTCTGATTCAATAGATGAGGCATGGAATTAAAGGATCTGTATTTTTAAGATACCAAGGCAAATTTCTGCCAGGTTAGAAAACTACTGGCTTGGCTTAACTCCAAATCTGGGTCTGAAAGATATGATAATACTGAAAAGGTGTATGTATTACTAATTTGCCTAAAGTGAATAAATTGGTCTGATCCTTTAAGAACATTATTAAGCATTATTTTCTGCATTACCCCTTTAGGCTCTTTTAAAATAGCAATAACAAGAGAAATTTAAAAATGAACTCCAATGCCTAGATAACTGCATATGGACTCTGTAACCTCTTGCAAGCTTTATCACATAGGTCTAATTTCACAGTACTGCCATCGCTAGGGCTCTGTTCACTAACGGCTCACATGCAGACTTCTACAAAGAGGCATTGCCAGGAGGGAGGCAAAAATAAGATGGGAGAGAGGAAGGGAGTGCTCCCCTCCTCTCCTAGTCAGGGGAGACAAAAGGGAGGAATGGGAACCCTTAAAGGAAGACAGCCCCCCAAGGGGCACTCCTGTCAACATAAAGCCCAAGCTTTTTGGATTTTTGAGAGCTTTCAAATTTTATATGGTTTCCTTTCTTAAATTTCCAAAAGCAAATGGGAAACTAAAAGGAAGGACACTAGGAACCTTACCACACTATTCAGTGAGTTACTTGAACTACAGGACAAATTTCACCAGAATTGGTATAGGTTTTTGGATCCATACCTGATCCATTGCGATGTATGCAGGCAACATCTCTGGGGTCTCCTGGGTAACACATTCATAGAGTACTGAAGAAAAGAGATCCAGAATTTCCTGTTTCTGCAGAAAATCAGAAGTTTTGTAGCACAAAGTATATTCCAAAATCAATTCAAAAACGAATTGTATAGCACTACTATGGCCCATTCTTAAGTTTTATAATGAATGACATAAAAGTAACACTACAATCTTTTAAAAAAGCCACAGCACATGTAACATTAAACATTAATTAAAAAAAAAAAATTAAGTCCCAAGAGACAGTTAAGGATAGTAAGTGCTACAGAAGAGAGGAATGGACCAAACTAGGACAAAATGAGTAGATAGGACATCACAGAGCTATGCCTTGGGTTGGGCTGGGAAGAGTAGGATCCAGAAAGGAAACAGAGTAACAAAGCTGCAAGAAAAAAAACACTGTCCAGAACAAGTTTAGGGGAGGCGGCAGAGTCAAGTCCAGCTGGGGTTAAGGGTGGGCATGGGCTTTATTAGAGACCCGTGACCTGGAGTGCACAGCCCAGCTCTTACTAGCTGTGAGATCTTGGGCATGTGACATCTCTCAGTGGCAGTTTCCTCATCTGTAAGCCCAGAATGATAAAATACCTATTCTCAGGGTCATAATTAAATGACATTTAAGTATTAGCAGAGTGTCCCATGTATAGTAAAGATTCAATAAAAAAGAGAGGGGAAGGTTATTTCACTTAATCCTCAAAACAATACTGTAAGGTAGGTTCTATTATAATCACTTTTAGAAATGAGGAAACTACATTTTGGAGAGGTTGAGAAATTTTCTGAAGGCCATATATGCATCCAATCTTTCCTTGTCTCTATGGTGGATTAAGTCAAAGATCTGGGCCAGGCACAGTGGCTCGTGCCTATAATCCCAGCACTTTGGGAGTCCAAGGTGGGAGGATCATTTGAGCCCAGAAGTTCAAGACCAGCCTGGGCAATATAGTGAGACTCCATCGCTACAAAAAATTTTTTTAAAAAAGTAGCCAGGCATGGTGGCTACATGCCTGTAGTCCCAGCTACTCAGGAGGCTGAGGTGGAAGGATGGCTTCACTCCGGGAGGTCAAGGATGCAGTGAGCCATGATCACGTCACTGCACTCCAGCCTGGGCAACAGAAAAAACCGACCCTGTCTCAAAAAACAAAAAACAAAAAAATAAAGAAAAATCTGCTAAGCACCCTTGGAATCTTGAAGGTAACAGGTGTATGAACAATAAAAAGCAGGGTTATAATATACAGAGGAAACAGTTAATGAAATTACATAAAAATAAGAGAAAGGTGGTAAACACTGAAAACATAAAGCAGAATATGGATGGGTATCATTCTTGTAGATGACAGAAACTATCATCTGTCAAAACTGATGTCTTATAAATTTTAAGTTGTTTCTTCTATCAAGGTAGAAAGTTGCTGAATTTAATAGTTTTAGGCTATGCAAATCTATACGTGCCAAGCAAAAGTCATCCAATGTGACTGACGCATGTCATCAATCTCAAAGATAGATATAGATAGTAGAGATGTTTTGGGTGACCCATGCATAGAAATAATAACAAATTCTAGTCCTGGGGCTCGGCAAACCATAGAATATATACCTGACCCATGTTCACAGTTGGCTTGCAGAAATATTCAGCAAATGACAGAAGTGCTGGATCAGAAGTGAATGCTGAGATTGTTTCTGGCTAAAAAAACAAACAACCACAACAGTATAAGACAACAAAAGATTATTTTCCTTACGCTTAAACTGTAATACACACAGTTCTAACAACTCTACCTCCCCTTTGTCACCCAACATTCCCAAAAAATCCCAGATGATGCAAACTTGCCTCATCAACCTGTTCTGCTAAGAAGTTACAAGAAGCTTTTGCACAAGTTAACATGAGCTACTAATTTATCAAAAGGCCAATAACAAACAGGTCTTCCTGTTTACACAACTCATCCAAAAAAGGCTTTTCCCTCCTTCACTGACTAATTAAAAAGCCTACCAGAAACTAGAATTGTTACTGAAAAGGTAAGGAAAAAAGAATATCACTCAAGCCAGCCACAAAAAGATAAACAGTGTATGAAACCACATAAATGAGGTACTTAGTATAATCAAAATCACAGAGACATAAAATAGAACGGTGGTTGCCAGGGACTAGGGGAAGTAGAATGAGGGGTTATTGTTGCAGGTATAGATCTCAGGTCTGCAAGATGAAACAGTTCTAGAGATGGATGGTGGTGATGGTTGTGCGTTATTGTTGCAGGTATAGATCTCAGGTCTGCAAGATGAAACAGTTCTAGAGATGGATGGTGGTGATGGTTGTGCAACAATGTGAATGCACTTAGTATTACTGAGCTGTAACTTGCAATGGTTAAGACAATAAATTGTGTGCATTTTACCACAACTTTTTAAACTTGGGAAAAAAACAGTATCACTCAAGGTTCAAGATTGAAAATGAAATATGAAGGTATTACTATTTTCCACTGAGGTTTATATTTTATTTCTGAACTCCAGTAGGCAGGAAATAGAAATAGCTTTTAATTTTTATATACTTTCTTCGTTCAAACTCAAGTCTAAACTTATCTATTTTCTTCACAAATTGGGTTAGAGTCTTTGGAATATGCTCTAATTTTTAGAAGAAGCAATACTACAAATTTAAGTTAAACTGTGTCCAAAAATCTTTCAAAAGTATTTCATAAACAACTTACTGAATACTGCCAAACAAAATTCACCAATGTCAACCCTGGGAACTATTTATACATTTCAATCCTGGGAACCATTATAAAGGCTTGGTCATAAGTAACTGACTAAAATGAAATATGAGTTGAATTAAAATAAACTGCTGTCTCCGTACTTGGAAGAACAAAGGATGCTAACTCAGTCCTCTGGCTGCCACTCATCCAGTCCGCCTGCCCCACTTTTGCCGTCTAATTATTCCTTAGGGTCCTAACTACTTTAGACTACTCTACTTTGTATCACCAGCAGGGACACAGTTGCTCATGGAATTACAGGAAACTGAAGTTAAATTCAGAAGTCTTAATGCCTGATTATGGGACAAATTTCTTGTGTTGGAAACTTATCTGAGTCAAGAATATAGAGCAAAATATGTGCTGACCCCGCCGTGGGAATGAGATTGCTTCCTACCCTCATTTATCGTAACTATTTCCTTATTTCAAACACTACTGCACTGGCAGTCGAGTACTGTGCAAATAATAAAGCAAACTAATAAAAGAAGTCTGAATCTGTCATCAGTTTATCCTCACCAAGATTAAGGAAACAAATGGTGGTTTTTAAATGGAGTTAATAATTGCTAGCTTGCAAAACTCGTTTTCTATTTTTGCTATGAAATTAAGTAAATCTTCACCGATTTGAAGATCAATAATAAAATCACTATTTGTTACAGTGTCAAGATATGGTGTGACTGTCCTTGCTGCTAAATGTAAACATTAACTTACAGTATTTTACTTTATTATATATATATTACTTATTATATACAGATTTTATATTCATTATATTTTATTATTTATTTTATCACATAAAAAGCAAACAGAGCCACAGTCAGTCTTTACAATCTGCAACAATGAAAAAGGAAGCAGATCCACCTTTGAAGTTTATAGCAATGGGCGAGGAAGCCGGCAATTTAGAATTATTTCTTTCCGTTTTTACCAATCAATAATACTACCTTGAAAGCCCGGGCTTCAGAGTTCCTGTTAGCAACAGTCTGAGCCAACAAACTTTGCCATCCCATTGGATCTTCTTTGTAGGAGAGCTGACCCGCCCGGAGTTTAACATATAAAACCCCATCCTTGGAAAGGATGGACCTGAAAGAAAAGGAATGAATTTAATATAAGGTATTACTGGCAGTTCTTGGCTGGAAATAGTGTTTTCCCAATACCATGTTCACAGGAGATGAAGCTTTTACCATTTTCCACTAAGGTAAATGATTATTTACTGTGTCTAAGATTAAATCAGTCCCTATGAGAAAGCCTAGAATAAAGTTCTGTTTTTCTTTGGTGTCTAGATTCATGGAACTTGTTAAATGAGGAGGCACTTTGACTATTGGCTCAATTACGAGCTTCGAAGATAGCATTTTGTCTAACATTTCTTTGTATTCCCTATATCCCCTAGCTCTATGCCTAGGGTACATGAGGTACTAAATATCTATTAATTGGTTTGCAGCAAGAAGAAAATAATGCTGCAAATCTAAGGACAGAACAATACAGAAAACAGCTAATATACAGTCTGGAAAAAATCACATTGGGACCAAACTATAAAAACTTTTACATGCTTGTTAAACTTCCTTGAAATTTAAAGGCTTAACTGACATGCTACTTTAGGTATAAATGTATCAACACTCTAAAATAACTGCACGTGATTATTTCCACCCAAAATAAACTGGCTGAGTAGTATATATTATCTACAATAATCTTAAATTTAGGAGAACTTTCTAGCAAAAGAATGGTAAAGAGATGCAACAAAAGATGTGGTCTGATAAACACTGATTAATAAAGTTCTTTTGTGCATGTACAAATCAGCTTTACTTTCTGACATGGTTAGGCTCTGTGTCCCCACCCAAATCTCATGTCAAACTGTAATCCCCACATGTCAGGAGAGGGACCTGGTTGGGGGTGACTGGATCATGGGGGCAGATTTCCCTCATGCTGTTCTCATGATAGTGAGTGAGTTCTCACGAGATCTGATGGTTTAAAAGTGTTGCACCTCTCTGTCTCTCTCTTGCTGCCATACAAGACATGCCTTGCTTCCCCTTTGCCTTCTGCCATGACTGTAAGTTTCCTGAGGCCTCCCCAGCCAGGCAGAACTGTGAGTCAATTAAATCCCTTTTCTTTAGAAATTACCCAGTCTCAGGTAGTTCTTTATAGCAGTGTGAAAATGGACTAATACACTTTCTTAAACTAAATCTTATGTTAATATACCAAGAGATAAGTCCATTACTCTCACAAGGAAGTCAGTGCAAGTTTCTCAATAAATAAATATTTAGGGTTGGAGTTTGAAATTAAAACTTTCATTTTCTAACACAAGTCCTGTTTCAAAGATACAGACTGTTTTACAGAAGACATACCCTACATATAGTCTTGAATGAGATTAAAGGGTGATGAGTCACATTCCAGATAATAATCTATAATTTATACCTTCTTATATACTTCTATTCACTTCCTAAAAGGTAAATTTGAGAAATTTAATGTACTTACTTCAAGTGTTGTGTTCCTTTGCTTAAATCTATGAGCAGTTCCCAGTATCTTGGGCCTTTTACTTTAATCTGTCAAGATAAACGTAAACATAGTCAACCCAAAGCTGAAAAATATGCTCATCTGACAAACTGAAACCTATGTTTCTCAGAGGAAACAATAACAGCCAGAAACAGGCATCTGGAAGTTAACAAGCTCCATTTCCAGACAAAAAATGAATGTAAATCATGTTCTGAGGCCACCTAAGCTATCAATAAAGATCTCTAAGAAAAGACTTGCTCTATTCTTTCTGACTTTTCCTCCTGCTGCAGCTTTCTTATCTGCTACAATACATGAAGAAAGCTGAGGCTTTTATTTAGCTATCTTTAACGCTATGCCATTCTGTTGAATTGACCCCTTGGACCCAACTCCCGACCACACCCAGCTTACCTGCTTTAAAAGATGGAGTTCTGGAAGAAGGGTAGGAGCCATCAATTCTTCTTTGGTTTGTTCATACCACTGAGTGCCCTTTACAAATGTAAAAGTCCAGCCACAATTCACTAGGTAGTCAGTGGAAACAACAAAGAAGAAACATCTCCACGCTATACCTCCCCCTATCCCCGCAGTTCATACAGAGACCTTTAAATGGTATAAAATCCTCTCTGGTACTCAAATCTTAAAGGACTGATGTCTAAATTCCTCACAGGGTATGTGTCCTTCCCATCACTTCAAGCCTTGCTCCTCACAGGCCAGCAGCACCAAAGGCCGTGCTCCAATGCTGCTGGGTTTCTGCACATTGCCTTCTCCGCTGGGAAGGAGCTCCACTCAGTGGGCCAGGCCTAGTCCAAACACTGTCCACTGTTGACAGCCTCAACCCCATAACTAACAGCTAAGCGAGGGTGCTTCTCTGCTTCCCCTGCATTCCACAGACATCTCCAATTATCACCCTCTATTCCCATTGTATCCATGCCTGGCTCCCCAGGGGATAGAAGTTCCTTAAGGAAAATGACAATGTCATCTCATTTTGTACCCCAGAGCCTAGCACGGTTTTGAGTCACAGAAGGTACTTAATAATTTGCTGAATGAAAGGAGGATATAAAACTTGTAATCTATGCATCTAAATGAAAGCTGTCATCAAATACACAATTTTGGGTTTTCAAGTTTCAGCTAACAAATCTAAGAATGGGTCTAACTCAATCAGTTATACAAAACACTACTGTCAGTCACATAAAGTTAACAGGGACATTTTCAAATTATAAGCTCTAAGGACAAAAGAGTAGCTGATGATCCCTAAAAAGTGATACCCAGATCATTTAAATGAGCATGAATGGCCTGGCAGGATATACAATAACTTTGGAAGCTTCCATTTTTATGAAAGTTCAATTCATTACTTATCACCTTTTACTGGACAACACATTTGAAATATTATGACCTGCAAAGACGGATGAGTGGTAATAAAATTACAAGTAAATGATAGGGAGAGATACCTTGTAGGTAACTTCTAAGAGGGCATAGCAGGGCGTGTTTGTGTCCACATCCACAGGCACTAGAAGCCTGGGCTCCGCGGCCAGCACATAGAGGTGCCGGAGAGCCTGGAGATGATACCTGTTCACAAAAAAGACAGAGAGTGGGTAACAAACAACTGTGACAATATGAGCTCTGCAATCTGCCGTTGCCTATAAGCTAAGACAGGACAGAAGCTCAAGTAATATCTTCAAATGAACAGAAATCTTAAAGGCAGATAAGATTCTATTAAAAAGTAATGGAGAAATTATCTTTTAAAAATTTTATATAACTGACCTTTGACCCAATAATTCTTTACTTTAGTCTTCACAGTGAAGAGGTTTTACAGGGAGGTAAAAAGTATCATAACATGAAAATATTTACTATCAAACTGACCACTTATAAAATCAATCACTCTCAAAAACCCCTTTCTACTCAACATAGGCATCTGTTTTTATCTTCTCAGATTTTTTTTTTCTTTTTCCTTAAGGATTGATAGGGAAGAAGGGGGAAGACAGGATGTCAATTCTTCTCAGACAGCAAAGTTCTTCTACACATACATACTTGCACATACATATACACACGTCCTTGAAACACAGTACATCAAACATCCATGTGGGTATGGCAATATTTTTCTTTGGGGTTCTCAAACAGTTTTTTAAACTTTAAGATTTCTATTTTAGAATGTAAAAACAAAAAAGTTTTCATATTTTAAGATCTCATAAAAGAAAAATAGGCTGGGCACAGTGGCTCACACCTGTAATCCCAGCACTTTGGGAGGCCAAGGCAGGTGGATCACCTGAGGTCAGGAGTTCGAGATGAGCCTGGCCAACATGATGAAACCCCATCTCTACTAAAAAGACAAAAGTTAGCCAGGCCTGGTGGCACATGCCTGGAATCCCAGCTACTCGGGAGGCTGAGGGAGGAGAATCACTTGAACCCAGGAGATGGAGGTTGCAGTGAGCTGAGATCACACCACTGCACTGCAGCCTGGGCAACAGAGGAAGACTCCATCTCAGAAGAAAAAACAAAAAAAAATCGCCCAGGCGCAGTGGCTCACACCTGTAATCCCAGCACTTTGGGAGGCCAAGATGGGTGGATCACGAGGTCAGGAGATCGAGACCATCCTGGCTAACACGGTGAAACCCCGTCTCTACTAAAAATACAAAAAAATTAGCCAGGCGCAGTGGCTGGCGCCTGTAGTCCCAGCTACTCAGGAGGCTGAGACAGGAGAATGGCGTGAACCTGGGAGGCGGAGCTTGCAGTGAGCTGAGATCGCACCACTACACTCCAGCCTGGGCAACAGAGTGAGACTCTGTCTCAAAAAAAAAAAAAGAAGGATAAAATGAGACTTCAATTTTAAAAAGCTTTATAGACAGTAACTTCCCTCTTCTTACTCAAATACATTTATTTCTATAAATCTATTAAAAATAAAATCAATAAAGATCAGAAAAAATGACACTAACAAATTACATAAAGATTCTTGTCACCGGCCAGGCGCAGTGGCTCACGCCTGTAATCCCAGCACTTTGGGAGGCTGAGGCAGGCGGATCACAAGGTCAGGAGATGGAGACCATCCTGGCTAATACGGTGAAACCCCGTCTCTACTAAAATATACAAAAAGTTAGCTGGGCGTGGTGGCAGGTGCCTGTAGTCCCAGCTACATGGGAGGCTGAGGCAGGAGAATGGCATGAACCCGGGAGGCGGAGCTTGCAGTGACCCGAGATCACGCCACTGCACTTCAGCCTGGGCGACAGAGCGAGACTCTATCTCGAAAAAAAAAAAAAAAGATTCTTGTCACCAAATGGAAAATGGCTTCGTTTACAATAGCTAAGCCAAATAGCTATGACCAGCAGTACGTGAGTGTGGCTCTCCACTGTACCCTAGCCAATAATTGGCTTTAACAACTCAAAAAATCTTTCCTAAATGACAGGCATGAGGCCACATGTCAGAAGTGTATTAACTTAACAATATTCTTGTGCTGCACCTACCATCAGAGTGTGGTCTTCAGATTAGGCTACTTTTGTAAAACAGCTATCTTTCTTCTGTCGTTGGTTATACATTGTAGTGTAGTTTAAAATGATGGCTTAGGTTACTGTGATAAGTGCTCCTGACCCTTCTCCCATAAACAATAAAGGGCTCTTGACCTGTCTCTGGGGAGACAACATGGGATGCCTTAAGTTGAGCACAGGGCTCAGGTGTCTTATAGGGGCTATTTTATTCTCTGCCCCCATATGCAAGAGATCTGCTATGTCTCAAACTATATCTAGGGAAACTTAAGTGTTGGTGGTTCCTCGTACCCTAAAACACAGAGCTTTTAACTGCTTCTACATGGTTTGAAGTTCTACCACTCACTGCCACTTCTAAATTGTCTCTGGTTTTTTGCTGTATTTTGCTTTTCTTGTCCCGTCTATGTCATTTATACACAATTTATCGGCATCTATGTGAAAGGAAAAAAAGAAACTCATACAGACATTGCCACTAAATCAGACAAACTTTTCTCTTGGAATTAAATAATTAGAGCACAAAAAAAGTATCCTGAACTTCCCTTGGCAACTATCCTTTACCTGATGATTTTTTCCCTAAAGACAACTTTACTTGATCTCCTTTTGGGTTTAGAGCAGTTCTATAGATCTGAGAATGGTGGAAGACTGGTCAGTCATCAGGTGTCCAAAGTTATCCTCTGGTCTAATACTTTGTGAGATAATTTTCTTAAAAGATTTAGCCAGGAATATAACTAAGTTGGAGAACAAAACAATGCTAATTTGGAAATAATTCCATGAAACCAAAATACAACCAAATGATCCCCTTAGAGAACTTAATAAGTATCACATTGAAGACAGAATCACTAGACTCACCGGTTGTCAGTGCTGTGAGCTGGGAAGTGCGGATAAAGGGCACAGAGAAGAGCGGCAATGGAAGAATTTGATGTGCTCAAAGAGTACCTGCAAAGTAAGTTCGGTGGGGACAGATGTTATTGATTATATTGCACATACTTTCAAGGCATTCTTGAGAATCAGGAAACTGGTGTATAATAGTAAGGCATACTGATAAGATGCCCTCATAATACAAGAGTGTCAGTGGTGTGAACATTCCACTTTTCATTTAGTCCTTGGGCCATTTCAAGATCATCACTATTTAAAGCCAAAGTAATATCCCATAAATGTTAAATTTCAACCCTTGAAGCAAGGTTTTAACATAAAATAGCAGAGTAGTGAAGACCATGAATGCAGTCCTAGAAATTATAAATATTGAAGAGTCATGTACCAAGTATGCCACCTTCTTATCCAATTTTATTAATGTATATGCCTATGTATATGCCTATGTATATAAATATACAATTATAAATCTGAGTTTTAAAAATACAGAATGTTGTAATTGGTATTTAAACAGTTTTTTCTGTTTCTGTGAAGCATGATGATTCCTTTAGAATGACTGACTAAATGAAAAGGCAAAAGTTATCATTAAAAAGTTACAACGAGGCCATGCGCGGTGGCTCACGCCTGTAATCCCAGCACTTTGGGAGGCCGAGGCGGGCGGATCACGAGGTCAGGAGATCGAGACCATCCTGGCTAACACGGTGAAACCCCATCTCTACTAAAAATACAAAAAATTAGCCGGGCGCCGTGGCGGGCGCCTATAGTCCCAGCTACTTGGAAGGCTGAGGCAGGAGAATGGCGTGAACCCGGGAGGCGGAGCTTGCAGTGAGCCGAGATCGCGCCACTGCACTCCAGCCTGGGCGAAAGAGCGAGACTCCTTCTCAAAAAAAAAAAAAAGTTACAATGACTGTATAAACAACTATTCCTCTAAATATAAATTCTTTCCTCACCAATATGATACACTTTTAAGATAAAGTTTCATAGACTTTTAAAAATATTCTCTTGGTAAAGGGTCTATTAAAATTTTCCTTAAATTACTTTATTGTTGCTCAAATTTAGTATAGCAAACAGGCAAATTAATCTAAAGTCCCAGAGTTTTTCTAAAAAATATTTTGAAATAAAGATGGTGTAGGACATCACATAAAACCACTTCTAAAACTATTGAGTATAAATACTTTTCTTACACACAAACATGCACACACATATACCCAAATCTCTTTCCCTGTCTTTTAAAATAATTGGAGTATTAAATAAGGACTTATAATTCATTATATATGCTTATATATTTAATGGATTAGAAAGAAGAGATTTCAAAATTTAAGCAAAGAGATACATCTATTTTGGCATGTGCATGGAATAAGCCATTTTCTTTGTACCCTTTTGATAAACCAAAATTCAAAGATAAATATTAAGATACTAATGTTAGAAATTTTGGGTAGAAACATAATGGTGTAGCTATGCTAAGTTTAAATGTTGTTACAGAGTATATATGACCATTTAAAAACCAAAAATCACTAGAAAAGCAGTAGCAGAATGGTAGAAAAATCAATTCGATACGAAAGAAGAGCGAGGAGAGTCATACAGTTTGGAACAATGAAAGATGGGATTAAGAGACACGGAGAGGCTCATTTTGAAAGGAAAAAATTTTCAAAAATCATAGAATAAAATAAATAAGAATTTTCATAGTAATATTTCTTTGACCATTATTAATTCTAAACAATTAAAGAAAGACAATTCCACAAAACATGTTGAGAGGAAATACACACCTTTCTGATCAACTTTACTTTTTGTACTTCTGAAAAGGTGAGTTCCAATGGTAAGCTCAGTCTTAAAGAAGAGGGGAAAATTAGCCTACACAGACACTGTAGCCATTGATCAAGGTCACACACACTACAGCTAAATATATACAGGGGTATACCATATTCACAGAATGGAAGACAATACTGTAACAGATTCTAATCTCCTTAACACAGACACATACAATCAAGGCAATTCTGATCAATATTTTATCAGATTATTTAGTATGGAACAGATTCCAATATTTATATGAAAATGCAAGGAGCCAAGAGAAAAACACACTTTTGAAGAAGAAAACCGAGTTTGAAGGATTTACTCAACTGGATAACAAGACTCATAAGACAATGGAGTATTGGTGCAAGTACAGAAAAACAGACCAGCAAAACCTAATAGCCCAGAAATAAACACAGGTGTATAGGCACTTAACTTATATAATAGAGGTGGTACTGCAGAGCAGTGGAGAAGGATAAACTTTTCAATAGCAGCGGGAAAAAAACATGGAGAAAAATCCGTGCCAGGTAGATTTTAGATTCAAATGTGAATGGAAAAGCTAAAAACTTCTAGAAGATAAGATAGGAGAATATCTCCTTTTCTCTGGGTAAGAAAATATTTCATAAACAACACAAAGAAGTAAAAACTATAAAAGAAGAACATTAATAATTGTGTCATCAAAAGACACCACTGAGAGAGAGTGAAAAGGCAAACAAGCCCTAGGGTGGCAAAGATAGCTGCAACAAACAAAGCTGACCAAGGGCTTAGGACATAGTTTAAAGAATCCACAGTAATCAATACAAAGCTAAACCAATGTGGAGCAGTCAACCTCATCAAAACAGAAAGTAGAATGGTGGCTGCCAGAGGCTGGTGGGAGGGGCAAACAGGGAGTTGTTCAATGGCTATAGAATGTCAGTTTTGCAAGATGAAAAATTTCTGGAGATTGGTTGCACGGCAGTGTGAATATAATTAACACTACTTAATTGCATACTTAAAAATTGATAAGTTTTATGTTATGTGTATTTTACCACAAATAAAAATTTTAAAATAGATAAATATAAAAACTGGGTAGCAAGAGATTTGGACATCACAAAAGAGGTTTTGCAGTTGGCTATTAAAAGTGTAAAATGGTACTCAAGAACATTATTCAGAAATACAGAAATTAAAGCCACAATGAGATCCTGTTATATACCTACTAGTTGGCTAAAACTAAAAAGACTACTAAAAAGACTATACCAATAACAAGGGTTGACAAGGATATGGAACAACTGGAACTTCACATCCTGCCCATGAGTATGTAAAATGGTACAAGTGCACTGCAGCACTGATGGTATTATTCACTGAAAGTGAATACACACGTACAACCTATGACCCAATTCCACACAGTTCTATATACAACAAAATCGAAGACATGTACAACTTTCCCTAACAGCACTGTTCATAACAGCCCCAAACTAGAAGCAAGAAGCATATCCATCAATGGGGGAGATCAATAAAATGTGGTAGTCATACAATGAAAGTGTAATACAACACTGAAACTTGAATAATCCATTGCTACATACAACATGAATCTTACAAACATAATGTTGAGCAAAAGTAAAGTGCAAAAGGATACATCGTGTATAATTCAATTTAAATGTCAAAAACAGGCAAAATCAACGTAAGGTGTTAGAAGACCAGATAGGGCTATCTTTGGGGAAAGGAAGATAATAGTGATTGAGAGGGGTGCATGGCAGAAGCAGAGACGGGTGCTGTGAGTTGAAAGTGCTATACAGAATCTTGATCTACATGATAACAAAGAGATTTTTCTGTGGTAGATAGCTCTTTGACCTGTGCACCTATGATTTATACACTTTTCTGTACATGGTTTTTGGTTCATCTAAAGCCAGGGCAGTCTTATAAAGGATGTAGTCAGGAATGGCACATGTTGGAAAAAGATCAAGAAAGCTGAAAACTAAGAAAATGTCACAGGATCTGGTAAACGATTTTGTTTGTGACCTTTCTGAGAAAGTAGCTTAGTGGAATGGTAAAATTTTTAACCAGGTGGGCACAAGCAGTGATGCACTGAAGAACCGAGCACAGACTATTCTGAGAAATACAGTGATGCTCAGTGTGTCAGAGAGGATGGTAATTCTACTGAGTAGACCATAAGTTGACGGTTAAACTACAAAGAAGCCCATCAAGTCGAATAATGCTGCTAGTTAAGCTAAGAGCTAGTCAGAATTTAAATTTTTCATGTTATCTTCAAGATCAACGTAAGTCACCCTTATAGATCTCACCAATGAGATCTTTTCATTGGAAAAATACATATTCACTTACCTTCCTCCTCCCAAAAATAGAAGTCCAAGGGCCATGTGGTGGGCTAAGTGAAAACCATAGTTCATTTCACCACCCGTTTTCATGTGTAAGAAGCGACAAAGCTGCAAAACCTTTAGGTTTCCTGAGCCAGCCATGACCATGGCGAGAGACAGCAGCACCACGCTCAGACAAGTTTCTAGGTTATGAGGACCTGTCTGTCAGGTGAAGAGATGACATCACTGTAACTGTTGTGTTACATTTCTTTATTATCAGAACTAGCTTAGCCATCATTAGAAGACTACAAAAGTTTGTAACTTAAAAAAAAATCTGGGCTGGGCACTGTGGCTCACGCCTGTAATCCCAGCACTTTGGGAGGCCAAGGCGGGCGGATCACGAGGTCAGGAGATCGAGACCATCCCGGCTAACATGGTGAAACCCCGTCTCTACTAAAAAATACAAAAAGTTAGCCGGGCGTGGTGGCGGGCGCCTGTGGTCCCAGCTGCTCGGGAGGCTGAGGCAGAAGAATGGCGTGAACCCGGGGTGCGGAGCTCGCAGTGAGCCGAGATCGCGCCACTGCACTCCAGCCTGGGAGACAGAGCGAGACGCTGTCTCAGAGAAAAAAAAAATCTGTAAATACAAATATTTTCCCTGATTATGAAATATAAGTTCAACAGAGATAATTTCAAATATTGAATATCAAGACATAACAATCACTTGGAATGTCACACCCAAAGATAACTGGTGTTAACGTTTTGGCTTTTTCTCTGAATTTTTCCTTTACCTACACATATTTTTTCCAAATGAAATGGAGATGTTACTCTACACAATATTTTTAACCTTTTAAATGACCTATTACAAGCAAGCTTCACTCACAAAAAAAAGTTGTTTCTTTTTTGTTGTTGTTGTTTTTTTTGGAGACAGGGTCTCTCACTCTGTCACCCAGGCTGAAGTGCAGTGATGCAACAGCCTCAACCTCCTGGGGTCAAAGGATCCACCCACCTCAGCCTCCCAAGTTGCTGGGACTACATGTGTGTGTCACCACACCTGGCTAATTTTTTATTTTTTGTAGAGATGGGGTCTCCCTATGTTGCCCAGGCTGATCTCAACCTCCTGGGCTCAAATGATCCTCCTGCTTCAGTCTCCCAAAGTTGCTAGGATTATAGGCATGAGCCACTGCACCCAGCCACAAAAAATTCTTGTATAACGTGATTTTGGTAGCTCCACTGTGTAAGAATATATAAATAAACCATAATCAAATTTAATTAACTACTTTTAGACTTTTTTGATGTTTCTAACTTTTCCATATTATAAATAGTGTTGCATAAATCCATGTAGCTTTTACCAGGAAATAAAATCTCTCAGTCTTGTCATCAGAGAAGCAATGCCTCAAAAGCAACTGAATCCTTACTAAGTACTAATATTTTTTAAAAAGGAAATTCCCAATATTTAATACTGAGACAGAATTACATGAGGTATGACAACCCGTGAATATTATGGCCTTTTTTATTCTCTTGTCACAAGAACTAGATACCTGTGCATCCTTCCAGGGTAATCATATTCTCACCTAAGTTAATATCGCAAAACAAAAATAAAAAGATGAGCTAATGGTTCTTCAGATCTCTCATTCTACATTTAAAAAAACAGCAGAGATATCTGATAACACATAAGTAACTGGATCATCAGTAAATTTTTTTCAAGTTTAATTTTATTCCCAAGGAGAATGATAAAAAGACTTACAACAGAAGCATTAGGTGCGGACAAATAAGTCATAAAATCTTTGGCAAATTTATGCTAGAAAAACAAAAGAAAAAATTCCAAGTTATAAGAAGCATCTTAAAGCTTTGTTAAAACAAACAAAAAAAAAGAACACAGTAAACTAAAATACTTCTTACCAAACAGTTAAATGCTGATAAGTTTTCTGAGCCAGCAAATCGAAAACCCAGAGACAAGCAGGCTCCTGCAATTATGTAGACATGTGCTTGGCTGAAAACAGGTGACAAGAAATTTAATAATCATTATTTTACTTTAAAATTAACTTGAAATAAGTAACAATAAATATTCCAGTTCTCTAAGCTAGTTTATATCTTTCTGGGAATGATGAAGTGCCCTCAGTCAGCAGATTTCTATGTATTTTTTTTTCAGCAGAAGCATCGGGTCACCTTACTCATGAAGTTTGCCCCTTGCCTACAGTTTCATATGCAGCAAAAACAATTTTTAAAATTGTTGCCAATTTCTTTAATGGAAAGGATAAAAGACAAATACATACAAGTTAAATCTCCAATATTGCTTTTTGAGGGCAAGAGCTCTATACTTCAGAGAGCTTTAACCAACGTCATGAACATCTGATAAATAATGGTTAGAAATATGTGGGATTCATAATTACTTAAATCAAGGACAATATTACTCCCACATGGTATATTTCAATTTAATTATCTGATAGACGCTAGGATAGCTAATTTGCATTATACATCACTTACGACAAAGTTTCCAAATTCAAATCCTCTGAGCACGGCAATTCGATTTCACTGAGAGAGATACTATTTTCTCTTATAATCTGTCAATATAGAAAGCAAGAATACTTAGATATCAATGTTCTCATTACAAATATTTAATAATCTGAAGAATAACATACTGCTTATCATGGCTATATTTATATAAAGTAAGCTTTACCAAACCATTTCACTCAAAAGCCTATATTTTAATCTCATTGAATGTAATCAAATTTCAAATCTAAGATGGGCTAAGTAAGAATAATAATTAAGGGCAGGCATGGTGGCTCACGACTGTAATCCCAGCACTTTGGAAGGCCAAGGCAGGTGGATCACGAGGTCAGGAGTTCGAGACCAGCCTGACCAACATGGTGAAACCCCATCTCTATTAAAAATACAAAAATTAGCTGGGCGTGGTGGCGCACGCCTGTAATCCCAGCTACTTAGGAGGCTGAGGCAGTAGAATCACTTGAATCTGGGAGGTGCAGGATGCAGTGAGCCAAGATCACGCCACTGCACTCCAGCCTGGGTGATAGAGTGAGACTCCATCTCAAAAAAAAAAATAATAATAATAATAATTAAATAGGGCTGAACAAATATAAACAGGAAGACGTAAGTATATTCTAAATCAGTAACAGGGTCATAATATTGCATACCAGTCAACTGAAATACAAAGATGATGGCTTTAGAATTGGGGCAGGGGTGAGGGGAAGAAGTGGGAAAAGAGAAATAGGAGACAACTCTAATCAGACTTCTTCTTTACGGGATGTTTCCAGCATTAATCCAACATACCTACCACAGGTGAGGTTATTCACTAGGCTAAGATAAGCTAAACTGTCAATATGTTTATCAGCTATGTTACAACTATTGTTTAGAAAAGACATCCTTTTCCTTTTAGTATAGGTAATGAACAATTTACCGAAAAACATACACAGAATATCTAGCTGTAATAACCAAGAAGACATTTGATCCTTTTCTCCTAAAAGAAAAAAGCCAAAAAAGATAAAGCTAATGTTTGCTAAACATATGAATGTATTTAAGATTTATTCTTTTAATCTTCTGAGAAGATTTCTTAGAAGATTTCTTAACATTTCAGGATGTTTTCTTCAATAAAACAATAAATATTGGCCGAACACAGTGGCTTACACGCCTGTAATCCCAGCACTTTGGGAGGCCAAGGCAGGCGGATCACTTGAAGCCTGGAGTTCGAGACCAGCCTGGCCAACATGGTGAAACCCGTATCTACTGAAAAACAAAAAATTAGCTGGGCCTGTAATCCCAGCTACTCAGGAGGCTGAGGCACGAGAATCACTTGAGCCCGCTAAGTGGAGGTTGCAGTGAGCCAAGATCGCACCACTGCACTCCAGCCTGGGCAACAGGGCAAAACCCTGTCTCAGTCTCAAAAATAAAATAAAATAAAATAAATAAATATTAGAAGGCACTTATAATACAGTCTTCTTATGTACTGAATATCACCAAATCAAAGACTTAAAATATCTTTCCTCTTTTTTTTTGCCTTGAGACAGGGTCTCCCTCTGTCACCCAGGTTGGAGTGCAGTGGTGCGATCACGGCTCATTGCAGCCCTACCTCCCGGACTCAAGCAATCCTCCCATCTCAGCTTCCCAAGTGGCTAGGACTACAGGTGCACACCACCATGCTTGGCTAATTTTTGTATTTTTCTGTAGAGATGGGATCTCACTATGATGCCCAGGCTGGTGTTGAACTCCTGGGCTTAAGCAATCCACCCTCCTTGGCCTCCCAAAGCGCTAGGATTATAGGCGTGAGTAACCGCACCCTGTATGTAAAGCTTTTTATGAAAGAAAAAGTGCTATGAAGATGCTAGTTGTTATTTTACATATGCCCTAAGTTCAAACAGACAAGCAGTTTACAAAGTGACCTTTAAAAAAAAAATCCTCCTTTTAACGCTAGGTTGCTCACTACAAGGAACCCTGCTCCAGAATCAATGTAGCTCCAGATGAGAACCCAGAGAAAAGTGGAAGCTGATAGGAAATATCAATCAGGAGAACTGTGAAATTGTTATCTCTCCTATTTGCAGTATCCCTGATGTAATAAAGACCAAATATAACATTATAAAGTCTGAAGTAAAAAAGAGAGAGATGTTATTCTATACTAAAAGTCCAAAAACCATATTTTCATAAAAACAAAAAACGACCACTGTTTTTTGTGTTTTTTTGTTTGTTTGTTTGTTTTTTGTAGAGACAGGGTTTCACCACACTGGCCAGGCTGGTCTCGAACTCTGACCTCGAGTGATGTGCCCACCTTGGCTTCCCAAAGTGCTGGGATTACAGGCACGAGTCACCACACCAGGCCGCAAAAAAGACCACTCTCTGACATGAATTTATACTTTCCACTTTGGAATTACAGTTACTTGTACACATGTTTAATCTCAGTAAGCTGAACTTAGTGCATTTAATAAACTAAAGTTTTTTGAGAACACTCTATATGTCTGATGTATCTTTAATGTATTACAGAGTTTAGCACGTGCCTTGCATTTACAGAGGATTAATGAGTATGTGCTGAATGAAGGAGTGAAAGAAAAAGTATTTCATCCTACAATATACATTTCAAAGAGCACTTTCAAAAAAACTAAAATCTCTGACATCTGAATATGCTAGAGTTAAAATTATGGTAACAAATGAGCGAGTCATTTAAAACAATTCTTCCTCACCTCTTTCATATCAGTGATTAACAAAACTGGAAGAACTAAACAAATAAAAACAAACCTAGGAGTTCTACTTCCTCAAATAATAGATGAATAAATTCCTATCAGATCAACTCATACAACAAGTATAAACCCTAGACAAAATATAAAATCCAAACTATCTATGGCAGGGGTCGGTAAACTATTTCTAAAAGGGTCAAATAGTAAATACCAGCAACTACTGATCTATGCATTTGTAACAAAAAACAGCTACAGACAATAAGTAAACAAATGGGCATGGCCATATTCCAATAAAATTTTCTTTCTAAAAATCAGGTGGGCTTAATTCACCAACTCCTGACCTCAAGACACTGGAGGACAAAAGCAAGCAGATTCTAGAGGGGAGAGTCGATCCATGGAAGAGAGGAACACCACTAGATACATTTTCCTTTCTGCGGTTTCTGCTCTGAAAGCAGGTCTATCTGCGCCAAGAAAGATGGCAAAAGCTACAATTAAAAGCTCATAACCTTCTTGGCCTTAACAACCAGGATACAGGAAAATACCACACCCATTGGGAGGTGAGGACAGAATATGACAAAGGAGAGAGCCACAGAGACAGGGCCCCAAGCTCTGTATATAAATTCTGTGCAAATGTCTGCCTGATCCATGAACCATGTGTGCACAGGGCAGACTCCAACAGCCCACAGGATAAAGACGTGCACCAAGATTAGAGCTAGCAACCAAGAAAGAATGACAATCTGATTCCAAGTAAATTAACCGGTTGCTTTAAAACAAAATGTATATACCTGTGTTTACCGTGCTTGAACTACAAACAACGTGGTTTAGGCTAACACACATTCTCCTGAGAATCTGGAACTTGGGTACATACAAGGCAGAGGGTACCTTACCTACATGTCAGGTCCCAATTAAAAACTTGGGTGCTGAGTCTCTGATGAGCTTCCCTGGTAGACAACCTCAACATGTACCTCATATCATATACAAAATTACTTTGAAATGAATTATGTAAGTATACACAAAACTAAAACTTTGGAAGCTTTTAGAGAAAAGCAGAAAAGATTATCTTCATGATGGGGTTAGACAAATGGTTTTTTTCATAGGAATAGAGAATAACCATAAGAAAAAACTGACAAATCAGACATTATTTAACATTCTAATATCTTCTGCTCATTAAAATTATTACTAAGAAAATGAATATGCAAGCCACAGAGTGGGAGGGATATTTGCAAAAGAAATCTGACAGGCCAGGCGTGGTGGCTCACGCCTGTAATCCCAGCACTTCGGGAGGCCGAGGCGGGCAGATCACGAGGTCAGGAGATCGAGACCATCTTGGCTAACACAGTGAAACCCCGTCTCTACTAAAAATACAAAAAATTAGCAGGGCATGGTGGCGGGTGCCTGTAGTCCCAGCTACTCGGGAGGCTGAGGCAGGAGAATGGCGTGAACCTGGGAGGCGGAGCTTGCAGTGAGCCGAGATCACACCACTGCACTCCAGCCTGGGCGACAGAGCAAGACTCCATCTCAAAAAAAAAAAAAGAAATCTGACAAAGAACGGGTTTCTAGAATGCATTAAAAAAACTCCAGCAACGCAGTAATAAAAATACAAATTTTTTTAAAAAATAAGCAAAAGACATGCACAGACACTTCACAAAAAAAGATAGATGGAGGACCAATAAACCAATGAAAAAGTTCTCAACATTAACAGTCAGCAGAGAAATGCAAATTTAAACAACAGTCAGATATCATTACGTATTCATCAGCAGCACTAAAACTTAAAAAACTAACACCATTAATTATCGGTTAGATGGGCAACAGCCAACACTCTCAAACACTGTTGGTCAATGTGTCAAATGGTACAGCTGCTTTGGGAAAAGATTTATCATTTCTAATAAAACTAAATATACCATCTACCCTATGCCTCAGTAATTCCAGCCCTACCTAATAGGATTGCAAATGGAATACACAAGTTGAGGATCCCTAATCCGAAAATCCAAAATCCAAAATGCTCAAAATCCAAACCTTTTTGAACATTAACATGATGCCCAAAGGAAATGCTCATTGAAGTATTTCAGATGTCAGAGTTTCAGATGAGGGATGCTCAACCAGTAAGTATAATTTCGAGTATTCCAAAATCCAAAAACGCTTCTGGTCCCAAGCATTTCAGATAAGAAATACTCAATCTGTACCACCTAATAATAAAAAGGATGAACTATTAATATACTCAATATCTTGAAAACGCTGAAAGAAGTCTTATACAAAAGGGTATATGCCATATGTGGCTTCATTAATATAAAGTTCTACATCTGGAAATTAACATATTTTGGGAGATAAACAAAATACATATTGGTTACCTGGGGGTACAGGTGAATGCACAAAGAGGGAAGGGGCACAAGGGATAGAGGCTGGTTTCCACAGGTCTATGTGTTAGTCAAATCTTATCCAATAGGGTACTTAACATTTGTGCATTTCACGATATATAAATTTTATCTTAAAAGGAAAAAATGTAAATACCAATTCCAGTTAATACATATGGTACAATTTTGGGATGGAGTGTATTACTGTTTGGAACTAACATTGAAATTCATCAAAAAATGTTGGATTAGATAGAGGAATAGATAAGTGGATAGATAAGTGATGAAACATGTTTATACAGTAAAATATTATTATAGAGTCTATTGGTGATGTGGGTGTTCATATTAACTTCTTTCAATCTTTGAGATTTTTCTTCTGAAAATACTGAAAGAAACAATCTACATAAAGAAACTGAGACCACTAGACATGGACAGTTGTCTAAGGGCAGTGGCTAGTTACAATATTCGGTTTTCAGTTTTTACCAAAAAAATCTGTTCATTTTTAACTAGTATACTTGGCTTATCGAATAAATATGATATAAAGTAATTAAAAGTTATTAGGAGATCTAAAATTGTCACGAAGTAAAATAGCATCTTAGAAATGTGCACTTAATTATGACAAAAATATCAACACTTTTTTAGAGTATTCTGGCAAACATATTTAGTTTTTTCCTTTCATTTTTTAACTCCCACGCAACACCGATATTCATATTTAATTTTTAAAAACTACAATTTCTAGGGACCTGAGGCTAAAAGAGAAGGCGGTGGTCTGTGCAGCACAGAATCTTAAAATGGAAGTTCTTAGGTCTTTAAGAGGTATCCTAATGATCAATATTGCCTTCATAAGAAAAAATATTTTACAGAATTTTGAAAAATCCCATAAGAAATCATAATTTTATGCTACTAAAGATATAATATTTATTATATGTACTTACTTGAGGAACATTGCTGTCAACCCACTTGGAATTTGGTAAAATATCATCCCACAAAATCAGGCATCGAGCAAGTGTCTTAAAAATGCAACAGAGATAAAATTAATTAGAGCAAGTAAAGTTCATACATTTTATAACAATGATAATAATAAACAGAACAATTTAAGAATCAGTTCCCAACTGTTGAGAATTTTGAAAAATAAGTATATGCAAATGCAGGAAGGTTATGTACTGATAAACCTATTGTAAGTTGAAAATACCTTAAGCTGAAAATACACTTAGGCCAGGCTCAGTGGCTCATGTCTATAATCCCAGCACTTTGGGAGACCAAGGCGGGCAGATCACTGAAGCCCAGGAGTTTGAGACCAGCCTGGCCAACATGGTGAAACCCCATCTCTACTAAAAATACAAAAATTAGCCAGGCATGGTGGCACACGCCTGTAGTCCTAGCTACTCAGGAGGCTGAGGAACAAGAATAGCTTGAACCCAGGAGGCAAAGGTTGCAGTGAGCCAAGATGGTGTCACTGCACTCCAGCCTGGGCCACAGAGTGAGACTCCATCTCATAAAAAAAAAAAAAAGAAAAAGAAAATACATTTAATACACCTTGCCTGCCAAACAACACAGCTTGGCCTAGCCTACCTTAAACATGCTCCAAACACTCAAATTAGCCTATAATTGAGTGAAATTCTCTGTCAGCATAGTAAACTGTAGAGTATGGGTCATTTACCCTCATGACTGCATGGCTGACTGGGAGCTGCAGCTTGCTGCCATTACCCAACACCATGAGAGCATCATACTGCCAGGAGTACAAGAAAAAAATTAAAATTAAAATTGGAAGTAGTTTCTTCTGAATGAGTACCGCTTTCACACTATGGTTAAGTTAAAAATCCTAAGTTGGGAACCGTCTTACTCATTAAACTACTCATTAAAATAAAGATTTAAATTTTAACAAAGAAAAACTAAAATTGAGTTGAATATCACCAAAGTTTAGAGGGCTTGTGCGGGTACTTTTTAAAATGTACTCTGGAAAAGAAAAAAATCACAAAGGAAAGAATCATAGCTCTATCTACACATAATTTAAAAGCTTCTATATGCTAAGTTTAAACATCAGAAAAAAAAGAATTAGAGGGAAAATTTTAGACAATTAAGTGAATTGTTACTTTCTTTAGATTCAACCTTAACAGTATTATCACATCCCTGATAGTAATCCAAAAATGTAAAACAAAGCAGTAAAAAAGTCCTAATCACTTGTTGCTTTTTAGGAAGTTTTGAATAATAATGTGAGACAGTGAAATGTCACTCCAAGTATTAAATATCAACGTGGTTACCTTTCTTGGGATTCCCAAAGTCCTATTTGTGAAATTTCAAATGAACACTGCCAATTAGATATGCATGACAAATTAAAAATAAAAGGCTCTCTTGTAAAGACATTTATGTTTGCCATTCATTCATTCATGGAGAACAGCCTGTGTTGCCCAGGCTGGTCTCAAACTCCTGGACTCAAGCAATCCTCCTGCCTCAACCTTCTGAAGTGCTGGGATTACAGGCGTAAGCCACTGTGCCCGGCTTACAAGCTAAGTTTAAGAACCACAAATAGACTTCTCATGTTAACACAAATGAAGACAAAGCATACCCTAAGCAAGAGAAATTCTGGCTTCACAAAGTCCAACAAATACATGGTGTCAGGGGCTCGGAGCCAATCTGCAATAGATCTGGTGGTGGAGGAAAACAGTAAGGCACACTGTTCAAGTAGAGGGCAAGACAATCAAGAATCTCAAGCTCTATTTCAAAACATTTCTTCCCGCTCCACTACAGCTCTACATATTTTTCACAATACTTCACACCTTCTAATGTAATAGTTATTATAGATGTACATGTATGTCTTACTATAACATAAACTCCATGAGGGAAGATATTTTTAGTTTTGCTCAATGAAATATCCCCAGTGCCAAGGAAGCACTGCCCTACACATTCATCCAAATAGTAAAGTAATAAATATCTATTTTTAAACACTTTGTTAATTCTGCACACATTTACTTTTTCTAAAGGGAGAAATGTGGAACACTGAAAACTCCTTGAATCTTAGAATTTGTTTTTAATTAATAGACTAAAGACATGGCATAACGTCTTGTACTCAACTTATTCCTCATGCAAAGTGTAAGCATAAATGCCAAAGATCTTACTTTCAAGCATCAGCATTAATATAGCAAGTTAGGAAGGCAGACGGTTTGGTAATTACAAAAGCTCCTGAAGTAGGCAAAAACCATTGTTTTACATGGTAACCAAGATCACACTAAATGATAAGTATTTCTGGCTTAACCAGTCCTCACAGCAATATGCTAAATTAATGAAAACAAACATGGGCATTGCTTGGGTGTTACTGACATCAACTACAAAACAGAAATGAACAGAAATTGAAAACTATATTGTCAAATACCATTAAAATAGCCAAATACATTATTTCCAGGTAAAATCTTTATAACTTCAAATACTGCAAGTTTTCTTTCAAAAACTTACAGTACTTGAAAGAACAAAAAATCAGCTTAATCCAGCACAGGGGAAAGAAACACATGAGATAACTGAATTTTACAACCAAGGTCAGGGAGGATATCACACTATCACCGCGGGAGGAAGGGTGAGTGGGTAGAAATACCTGTTATTGGTTTTTAAGTAGATCATAGCCAAAGCTAGAGTAGCACCTGGACAAGTCACATCCACATTTATGGTATCTCCTTCCTATTGAAAGAAGAGTTTATGCATGTAAAAGAGTTCTAAATTATTATAAAATTCCTCTGAATAATAACTATGCTTAAAATTAACACATTTACCAATGTCAGTATGAACACTAGTATTTTCCAATTAACTTCCCAGCTTCCAGACTTTTGATCTATTACTTTGCTGTGTACTTACTTTGATTTGATAACTTGGTGATTTATGTTTCTCCCTATGCATTCCTGTTTGAAAGCGCCTATGTCCTCCAACCATGTACTGATAGAGCTGCTCAGGCACATTGAGATCAGACATACCTATCAAATTGCTGCCATGCTGGAAAAGACAATAACAGACGAGTGAAAAGAAATTTTATGAAGGAAGATCCACAACACATACCCATAACAAATATAAAAATGAACTAACTTCAAAGCAGGTTATTTTGGGTTTTGTTTTTTTTATTTCCAATTTAAAGCAAACATTAATCATGAGTTAATAAATATTAATAATTCTCATAAAAGTTTTAATACATGAATGTTCAACTTTAAGTACTGTCTTAAAATACATAAGAGCTTTAGAGTTAGTTACATTTAACAATAAAGAAAAATATTAGTTATATAATTGAAACTGGAACTGTAAATACCTGAATACTGTCATTATTGTACTTAAGAACTTTTCCAACAATAACTATGATAATAATAGTAATTTATTAAATGCATGCTCTGTGTCAGGCACTATTCTGTGTGTTTAACATGAATGAACAGCCATATCAAATAGCTACTATTAAAACCCTATTTTATAAATAAGGAAAGTGTGGCACAGAGGGATTAAGCCCAAGGTTATACAGCTATTATAGTTAAGTCGCAGGGCTATATATAAAACACGGCCATCTGGCTCAACAATCCATGAAGCTGATTAAGCAATACACAATAATGTAGTTAAATGACTTGAATCACTAGTTAGGACCAGAATTCAAGTTGCAATTCCCTGTGTGATTCTTTTCTTTTTTTTTTTTTTTTTTTGAGACGGAGTCTCGCCTTCTTGCCCAGGCTGGAGTGCAGTGGCACGATCTCGACTCTCTGCAAGCTCCGCCTCCTGGGTTCACACCATTCTCCTGCCTCAGCATCCTGAGTAGCTGGGACTACAAGCACCCACCACCATGCCCAGCTAATTTTTTTGTATTTTTAGTAGAGATGGGGTTTCACCGTGTTAGCCAGGATGGTCTGGATCTCCTGACCTCGTGATCCGCCCATCTCAGCCTCCCAAAGTGCTGGGATTACAGGCATGAGCCACCACACCCAGCTGATTATTTTCCATTATACCACCAGCCTCTTTAGCTCACGTGCCAATGTGAATTCAAGGCCCTAACAGATGGTCAACCACAAGGTGGATTTTCAGAACACACATGAAAAAAATTCCTTCCACTATAACTTTTTTTTTTTTTAAGATGGAGTCTCACTCTTGTTGCCCAGGCTGGAGTGCAATGGTGTGATCTCGATTCACCACAACCTCCGCCTCCTGGGTTCAAGCGATTGTCCTGCCTCAGCCTCCCGAGTAGCTGGGATTACAGGCATGCGCCACCACACCTGGCTAATTTTGTATTTTTAGTAGAGATGGGGTTTCTCCATGTTGGTCAGGTTGGTCTTGAACCCCCAATCTCAGGTGATCCGATCACCTCGGCCTTATAACTTTCTTTATATCATTTAGTTTGACCATAAGAATGTATTGGTGGTTTTTCAAGGGGAACCACATTTCAAGTGAAACAATCATTTAATGAAACATTTCTGGTAATTCTGTACACATCTCTTGGATGGAGTTAAAGATGGGTCAATCAGATACTGCATTTTGTCACAAGGAAGATGCTACTGGGACAACATTCTGGGATACACAGTGAACATCACTACGGCAAAAGGGGGTTAGGGTTTGTTTCAAGCAGCTACTATAGACTCTTAAGGCTCCCGATCATATACGTTTTCACTATTCTCTGTTTTCAGTCATAGTGGGCTGTCACTTATTCATTCTATGTCTTGAACGCTTTAAAAAAAAAAAACTTTATTCCCTTCAGTTTGTTCATGAACACTGCAAGCTGGAGGAAAAGAAATCTTAAAGTCCCACTCTTGACCACAGTTTCTCTCAATTTGCAAATCTGGTACTTTGAAAAATATCCAAAAAGACAATAGAGCTGGGCAGCAGATTAAGTCATAGTAAGGGACAATATTCAGGTTTAGGTGTCAACGTTATTTGTCTCAACATGTAGATGTCCTAACTGAAGCATGGGAAGGCATAGGCTATGCTTACCCCCAAGCAGACCATGCCCAGGGCCAAGCCAGCAGCTAAGGAGTATGACTCTCTGTCAGTGCAGTATTCCATTTCAGGACCAGGAGGCCGTCCTGTAAAAACAAAAGCAACACAGTTCAAACTAGCTTCTCAAAATCTCATCTCATAAAAATCTTAGAGTTAACTTTCTAGCAAGTTGCACTGGACATACGAATGGAATATAACTCCATTCAGAAAGTTATGACACTATAATAAATGGTGTCCACAACTGTAGGTTTACCTACCAAAAAAAAGGGCCCAAAATAGTTCTTTTTAAATTGCCAATTTAAGTCTTTATAAGCAATGATATTCAAATACTGTGAAACTTTGAGTCTTACCAAAAAAATTACCAAGTAGTAGAAAAAAATTTTAAAGGGAAAAAGGTAAGAGTATTCAAAAAAAAAGTTTTATTTTTTTGTTAAAACATCTGGGCCGGGTGTGCTGGCTCATGCCTGTAATCCCAGCATTTTGGGAGGCCGAGGCAGGTGGATCACTTGACGTCAGGAGTTGGAGACCAGATGGCCAACATGGTGAAACCCTGTCTCTACTAAAAATACAAAAACTAGCCAGGGTGCCAGGTGCCTGTAATATCAGCTACTGGGGAGGCTGAGGCAGGAAAATCGCTTGAACCTGGGAGGCAGAGGTTGCAGTGAGCCAAAATCAGGTCGCTGCACTCCAGCCTGGGTGACAGAGTGAGACACCATCTCAGCAACAACAACAACGAAATATCTTACATTTTGTTTTCATTACTTTCAAATCCACACATCACATGTGGTGAAACATGTTCGAATGATGATAATGAATAAGGAGGTCACTTACTTATGTTGTTAAGCTGTTAAATATTATGTTTAGACATTTATTTCGAGTGTATATAATAATGAGCCCTACTATGGTAGAATTTCTGTGTACTGATCCTAGAAGTCTGACTGGATACAAAATTCATACTTTTAAAAGGCACCCTATAACTCTAACACTACCGTGTTGAAAACGATAAAATGTACTATGTATTAAAACCCTTCCCTCTGAAAAAATGTTCACATTCCTGAAATTTTATCCCTATAGGAAAAAAATGCAATTTAAAAAAAAAGAAAAAAGGCTGGACGTGCTGGCCCTTGCCTGTAATCCCAGCACTTTGGGAGGCCAAGGCAGGAGGATCACTTGAGGTCAACGAGTTCGAGACCAGCCTGTCCGACATGGAGAAATCCCATCTCTACTAAAACTACAAAAATTAGCCAGGCATGCTGACAGACACCCGTAATCCCAGCTACTTGGTAGGCTGAGGCAGGAGAATTGCTTGAACCTGGGAGGCAGAGGCTGCAGTGAACCGAGATCGCCCCACTCCACTCCAGCCTGGGTGACAGAGCGAGACTCTGTCTCTAAATAAATAAATAAATAATAAAAATTAAAGAAAAAAATCACACAAAGGTAATCAGTGTAATGTTTATATATAACAACAAAGGATTATTAGAAACAATCTAAAAAGTTCTAAAAGTTAAAAAAAGGCATTTTACAGACCATCGACTCAATGAATATTACACAAAATTTGTTTTAAAACCCATTTATAACAATGATCTATAAAAACAATTTTTAGGCGGGGCACAGTGGTTCATGCCTGCAATCCCAGCACTTTGGGAGGCTGAGACAGGCGGATCACAAGGTCAGGAGATCCAGACTATCCTGGCTAACACCATGAAACCCTGTCTCTACTAAAAATACAAAATAATTAGCCAGGCATAGTGGCGGGCGCCTGTAGTCCCAGCTACTCGGGAGGCTGAGGCAGGAGAATGGCGTGAACCCGGGAGGCGGAGCTTGCAATGAGCCAAGATTGCACCACTGTACTCCAGGCTGGGCAACAGAGCAAGACTCTCTCAAAAAAAAAAAAAATTTTTAATGTACATTCTGACAGTAATTATATAAAAAGGCATATACATATGAATTAAAGATGAAATCTTCTATATACAGTGTGAAAGAGGTATGCCGCAGCTGTGAGACTGTGCAATGACACCATTAGACATCATCATGATATAGCCAAAGAAGGGTAGACTACTTTGCAGATGAACATGCTTTAACAACCAGTGTTGAATATTTTCAGAATAAGCGTTTTTCAGATCTCTGACTTATGCTACCATGTATTGTGATAGCCAAAACATTTCAACTTTGGGAATAATTTCATTTATCATTATAGTAGACTAAATTATGGGTCCCAATCTTCACTGGTTCTCTCTTAGGTTTCTATCAACACCACGAGAGAAACACACCCTCCAGCCTGGGTCCCAGAATGAGGCAGGTGAGGCAGAACGGCAGCAGAACAGCCGGCTACACATCTACAGCCTAAAGCAGAGCTGCCTGGGCCAATGCTATGCCTGTATGTATGTAGCATCACTGTGGCAATAGCTATCTGATACAATTATACTAAAGAATAATACATCTTTAACAATATATTCACAAATCCATATAGAAAAGATCTTGAATAGGACATATAAGTATGTAACTAAATTGTTGAGCATATTAATAATGCCAATAGCATTTCCATTTGGCAGAAAAAGATGACAACACATAAAGATTTCCAAAAAGTTTGGACCCAATAAAAAACAGAGACAATGTTCACTAAAGTGAGTGTGTGGACCTTACCATTTCCAGGTTCATCACCAACATACCCACCAGCATGTAAAGGAGGAAAGCAGGAGTCCATTACTTGACTTCTATTGGAAGTGCTGTTATCCAACACAGTAAACACTGTGATGTGTTTAGTTTAGTGTCTCTCAGGGACCAAAACAATCTACTCTGAGTTTTAAGTGCAGGCCACTGGTAGACACTGCTGGTAAAGCAGGATAAACAGCATACTCATAGCTGATTAAAACCACAGGTACCTCATTAAATGTGACCACTGGAATTCAGTAATGAGCTAGCAAATAAACATGGAGGTTAATAACCTGCAGTTACATTAGCCTTGGATAACATTACTTAGAGTTTTGTTGTTTTTTTTAATTAGTACTAGATCATTCTTTGCTCATAAAAGCTACCATTGTCTTTCCTTAATTTTTATAATTTTACTATCACTTTTAATTGGGTTAATGTGGAGTGGAGAGTACATGCCTATGAAGATTCAGCACTATTAATCCCATACCTATCTCAGCCAACAGGACTTCTGCAGTATGTCTGTGAGCTGTCCCTTGATATACAAGGCCAATGCCAACCACTGCAGCCACTTGGACATTGTGAGGAACATCCAGCTCTGTGGACGTTGGGGGTAAGAGAGCAGGAATGTGAATGCTAAGAAGCCGAGTAATAGACATATCCATGGTGCCTAGTTTTGCAGCAGAAACACCAAGTAGCAGTCCAATGCTTGTCATTTCATGGCCCTAAGATAGAAACAAAACAAATACATAGTTTAAAATAAAATACTGCCTGCCACTTTCAAGAAGTACTTTTATGTTGACAGGCAAGGTGAGAGGCACTGAGAATACAGCAGTAAACTAAACAAACATGGTCCTTGCTCTCATGGACCTAATGACTTAATAGGAAAAAAAGTGTTAAATTAAAAAACATAAACAAATATATTATTAAAAAGTAGTACAATAAGAAAGTACAAAGTATTATGAAAGAGTATTTTAAAATAGCTTAATTTAGATTGGGAGGGACTAGAGGATTATTAGGGATGAAATCTCTAAAGATTATACAAAGAAATTTATATTAGGACCTGAAGGATGAAAACAAATTAGCCAGGAACAGTGGCAGGAAAGAGGACACTCAAGTTTAGAAGGTGAGGAAGACTGTTTCAGGTGATAAAACAGCATGTAAATAAATGGCTCTGAGGCGATTCAGAAATAAACCCTCACATTAACATCAACTGACCACAAGGGTGCCAAGACAATTCAACAGGTAAAGGGCAGTCTTCAAAAAACAGTGCTGGGACAAGTGGAAGGACACATTCAAAAGAATGAGGCTGGACTCAACACAATATAACAAGTGTTGGCAAAAATATGGAGAGATTGGAACTCTCATGTATTGCTGATGGGGTTGTATAATGGTGCAGTCATTATGGAAAACAGTTTACAGTTCCTCAAAAAGTTTAACAGAGTTACCATATAACCCAGCAATTCCACTCCTAAGTATGTACCACTACTTACCATTACTTCATTACTCTTGAGTAATGAAAACATACATCTGCACAAAAACATGTATACAAATGTTCATAGCAGTATTATTCGTAATAGCTAAAAAGTACAAATAACCCAAATATTCATCAACTTATGAATAAAATGTACATTCATAAAATAAAACATTTATTCAACAATAAAAAGGAATGTATTGCTGATAGATGGTACAACATGGATGAACCCTAAAATTATCAGGCTAAGTGAAAGAAGCCCATCCTAAAATACCATATTTTATATGACTCCGTTCACATGAAAGGTCCAGAAAAGGCAAACCCATAGACACGGAAAGTAGATTAGTGGTTGGCAGGAAGTGAAGTGAAGGTGGGGGGGGGTGAGGTAGAGGAATGGGGAGTCACCACTAGTGGGTACAAGGTTCCTTTATGGGGTGAAAAGATGTTCTAAAATTAACAGTGGTGATGGATGTACAACTCTGTGAATACACTAAAAACCACTGTACCACATACTTTAAACAGTGAATTGTATGGTATGTGAATTTTATATATTTATATAAATAAAGATTCCTTAAAAAAAAATAACGCTGTGAAGTGAAAGAGTTTAGTTTGCCAGAGAGCTAAAATAGCCAATCTGTATGGTTAGAGTGTGGGGGAGCAAGAAGAGTGGGGCTGGGTGCAGAGGCTCACGCCTATAATCCCAGCACTTTGGGAGGCTGAAGCGGGCAGATCACCTGAGATCAGGAGTTCAAGACCAGCCTGGCCAACATGGTGAAACCCTGTTTCCATCAAAAATACAAAAATTACGCAGGTGTGGTAGTGTGCACCTGTAATCCCAGCTACTCAGAAGGCTGAGGCAGGAGAATTGCTTGAACCTGGGAGGTAGAGGTTGCAGTGAGACGAGATCACACCACTGCACTCCAGCCTAGGTGACAGGGTGAGACTCCACATCAAAAAAAAAAAAAAAAAAAAAAAGAACAGTGGTACCAACTAGGGCTGGAGAAGTGAACAGGATCACACCAGCTCCTAGAATGTATATTAAGAGCAATGGTCGATCCCCCTTTGCCCTCTGGTGTTGGGAATGTTGGCCTTGTTCTAAACCAGTTTCCCTTCACAGAAGTTCGGCCATCATGTGGGATCAGAATAAGGTCCTGGGGCAACTAAAGGTATCTGGCCAAGGGTACATCCGAAGGACCCTACACCGGCCCCCAGTCCCCACCAGCCTGTTCAGGTGTCGGACAAAGACTTCCAATCTTTCCTATCATGTTTTTCCTACTGCTCTTCTGAGAAATGTTACTTAGTTATGTGTCTCTTTGAGAAATTGCTTCTTTTCAGGGCAGGATGCTGGGTTATGCTTGATGAAGCTAAATAAACTGCCAGCCAGATGAGAATTATAGACAAATAATATGCAGGGACCCCCCCTGGATTCATCTTAGTCTTGAGCTCATATAGAATTCAGAGAAATCAAAGGCAGTTGACAAGGAGGGTCAAGGCTGAGTGCAAGTGAACGCAACTACTCCTGCTGGCTTGATCCCCCCCTGGTCATGAATGGTGGCTGCGCGCACATCCACGACCAAGGCAAGCCTGAGAGACGCCTTGGACTCTAGCACAGCAGAGGGAAAGACTAAGGATGCCTTTTTCTCCCCTCTCTCTTTCTAAATGGGTAGCCTGCACTCCTCTCAAGTGCGAGACATTGGGACTCCTTTGATCCTCAGACTCTGAAGAAAAAATACCTGGTATTTATCAGTACCAAGGCTTGGCCCAGCTAGAAGTTGGAAGATGGGGAGACCTAGTCAGCTGGGGAAAATAACAACTATAATACTATCCTATAGCTAGATCTCTTCAACCACAGAGAAGGAAAATGGTCCAAAATTCCATATGTATAGGCCTTTTTTGCCCTGCAGAATAACCGCAAGCTCTGTCAGCAATGTATAATAGACCTTGCACTTATAGCAGTGATATCCAGCCAGACTTAATCCAGACAGAAGGGAAAAAACAGTCTGCCTCCTTAGAAGAGGAGACAGAGGCCCCTGCACCAGCCCAGGTCCCAGCTCCTCTTGGATCATCTCGTCCCCCTTATCCAGGCCCCCTTTTGAACCTCATCCTGTTAGAAGAGTTCGACCTGGATGCGCTCCAGCATCACTTCTTCCTTTACAGGAAATGCATAGTGAATATGGTCCTATCAAAGTACAAGTCCCCTTTTCTTTACAAGATTTGAGGCAGATAAAAAGAAATCTAGGACAATTGTGTCGACCTTGATAGGTATATTGAAGCCTTTCAGAACCTTAATCAAATGTCTGAGCTTTCATGGAAGGGTATCATGTTACTTCTCAACTAGACTCTTAGAGCTTCAGAGAAGCAGGCAGCTTTACAGGTCACTGAGACATTTGGAGATGAAATGTTTATCTTATTATGGCACCTACCAAAAGGGGGAAGAAATTAGGGAGCCCTTTCTGACAGCCAAGCAGGCAGCATCCACCAATAATCCTCAATGAGACTCAGACACTGCTCTAGGAAAGTGGCCGAGAAAACATTTTTAGGGATGCACAGTGGAAGATCTGAAAACTAGAGGCAAATCTCTCAATTACATTAAGTTATCAACCATAAACCAAGGGTCTGAAGAGAACCCTTCTGTTTTCCTGGAAAAAACTGAGAGAGGCTTTAATTAAACACCCATCTCTCTCCTGACTCTATAAAAGGATAGTTAATTTTGAAAGACAAGTTTATAACCCAAGCAGCCCCAAATATTGGAAGAATGCTGCAAAAAGTTAGCTATTGCACCAGACAGTACTCTAAAGAAAATCCTGAAAGTCACCACCTTGGTCTTTTATAATCGGGACCATGAGGAAGCCCAAGAAAAAGGGAGAAAAGGAACGAGAAAAAGGCAGAGGCACTAATAGCTGCCATACAGGCATATAAACCTCTCAATCCCAGGGAGCTTCTCATTCTATGACCGGCTGTTATCAGTGTGGGAGCACTAAAAGAGAGTCTGCCCCCGAAATCAGAAGCAGCCCCCACGGCCCTGTCCAATCTGTAAGGGAGACTACTGGAAGACAAACTGCCTCCAGAAACATACGTCCCAAGGTTCAGAGCCGGCTTCTCAAATGGTCCAGCAGGACTGATGGGTCCCAGGGCTCTCCTCCCCAGCTCTGACAGCCCAGGCTGCATTACCATCCAGGAGTCCCGGGTGAGTCTGGAGGTCAAAGGACTCAGAGGACAGACTTCCTACTCAACACCAGAGCAGCCATTCCTGTTCTCCTCTCCATTCTGGGCCTCCCCTCCTCCCTTAGCACAACTGTGAGGGTCGTCTCAGGAAAGCCTCTGACTCGATATTTTTCTCAATCCCTTAGCTGTACCTAGGGAGACCTTTCGTTTACCTATGCCTTTTTAATCATACCTGAAAGCCCGACTCCTCTGAGGTAGGGATATTTTAGCTCACATGGGAACCACCATCCTTATGGCTCCATTATGGCTCCAGGACAGACTCTTTGCCTCCCTCTGGTGGAGACTGATATTAATCCAGATGTTTGGGCAATTCAGGAAAATACTGGCTGAGCTACAACAGTCTCACCAGTCCAAATCCATCTCAGGGATCTCATCTCCTTCCCTAATTAAAGACAATATCCCCTAAAACCAGAAGCTAGGAAACAACTAGAAGCCATCATTAATAACCTAAGGATGCAGGGCCTTGTTAAACCCTGCGACAGTCCTTGTAATATCCTAATATTGGAAGTACAGAAAGAAACCCAACAGGGAATGGAGACTGGTCCAGGATCTCCACCTCCTCAATGAGTAACTGGTGTAATTAACCAATTTACCCAGTGGTTCCCAATCCCTATACTTTGTTAACTTAGATACCTGAAGGAACTAAATGGTTTGCATTCTTGGAATTAAAAGATGCTTTTTTTCTGCATACCATTATACCCCAACTCCCAAAACTTGTTTGCATTCAGGGATCCCTCCAACCAGACTACCCAGCTAACCTGGATGGTGTTACCACAGGGATTCCAAGACAGCCTCCACCTGTTTGGGCAGGCAATCTCAAAAGATCTCTCTGAGTTCTTTCAAACTCAAGTTAGTCTTAATATGTAGATTACACTCTACTCTGTGCCCCAACTGAGGAAATTTCTCAGAAAAGCAATAAGGCTCTTCTTAATTTTCTAACTGACAGAGGACATAAAGTTTCAAAGTCCAAGGCTCAACTCCGTCAGACTTCAGTGAAGTACCTATGCCTGGTCTTGTCAGAAGGGACCAGGACACTGGGCGAGGAGAGAATTGGATCCATTTTCTCCTTCCTTCTCCCCAAGACCCTCAGCTAACTAAAGGGATTATCAGGCATTACTGGATTCTGCAGCCTATGGATCAGAAATCTAATTAAAAGCATTGCAATGCCTAATTATAACATATCTAATAATCTAGGGGGACATGCCCATGACAACCCTATTTTGCAAAATCCTGGAATAGAACAGTCCATTTTCAGAGGTTTTCTTCCTGTCCTTTCTAGGTGTCCCTAATATATGGGCATGGATTTTCCCCCTTTTAGTTCCTCTTTGTGTTCTCATTGTAATACTCATATTTGGTCCATGTGTACTTAACCTCCTTGTAAAATTTGTTTTTTCTCGCCTAGAGGCCATCAAACTCCAAGTGGTCATGCAAATGGAACCTCGGTTGATGGCTCTCTTTTACCAGGGGACACTTAGATAGGCCTCTAAGAGAGACCTGACTGCTGTTTCCCAAAACAACACCCTCTGTCAGCATGAAGCAGAACAGTCATCACCCCTATCCGAACAGCAGTTAGATATACCTCTTCAGAGCGGGGATTGATGGCGGTAGGAGGCAGGTAAATTCTCAGATGAAACTCAACCTTCAAGCCAAGGACAGTCGAAAGCCTGAAAACCAAGCTACAAGTTCTGGATAAATCCATGGACTAGAGAGCTCTCATTCCTGTTTGGCATGCTCTCTCCTGATTGGTCCTTATCCTTCACCTACCTTACATATACCTGCCCTTCCCCAGTTGGTCCTCTACACTATCGTGCCTATTTCTAAATGGTGCTTTTTCAAGCATACCCACAGACCAATCAGCATGTACCTCCCCCATTTCAAGCCCATAAAAACCTCTAGACTCAGCCTCGTGGCTGGCAACCCACCTTCGGGTCCCCTCTCGCTGTTGAGAGCTTTCTTGTCACTCATTAAATTCTACTCTGCCTTACTCAAGGAAAAAAAAAAAAAAAAAAAAGCAATGGGAGATCATTAATTAAATGGCTTTGACCAGGGAAGTGACATACTCTGATTTATGCTTTAGAAAGATTATTCCATGTACTATGAGACAAATGGACTTAGAAGTACAAGAATGAAGAAAGAAGAGCAAATAGAGCAATTAGGAGCTACTACAATAGCCAGCCAAGGCACAAAGCCAGGCACTGGGAGCACAGGTCTCACCTTGGTCAAGTAGTCATGGATATTGAGAGTCGCCAGCTTGGTAAGGTGCCCATTCAAACCCAGAGCCATGAGAAAGCCAGCATACTCATTGGCCAACTCAGCATGCTTGGGCTTATTGTAAACAATCCAAGCTGAGTCGATCTGGGAGGCAGGAGCTATCTTCAGGCCAGCAGCCACACCATTATGAAAGCTGGCCCAGCTTGTCATGTTGGGAGGCACATCGATGTTTCCACTATTAAGGTCTACTGTTGTGTTCCGAGGAGGGGCACGCCCTATCCAGCCAAACGAAGAACATTGAGAGAATAAAAATCCACAAAACCAAGATTGTTAAATTTAGATCTTTGAGACTAAGATTACTTACGTTTTCTACATTCAAAACCATTAACCCCATAATGCCTGGAACGTTAGGTCTCTATGACCACTTAAAACTTTTGTACATGTGAGTCAAACTTAATGGAACTGGAAAAACCTTCACTGTCTAAACAGTTCATTGTCCTTTTTGTTAAAATGTATGAGGCTATATAATGAGATAACTGATACCAATTTAACATTATACAGAGATGACTGGGATAATCACTCATTTTTTCTTTCAAACAGAGAGCTTAAAAACCAAAATGAAGACTAACATCACTGTTAAACTATACAAGTTATAAATCCCAACATCTGATGACACTGATGTTAATTTCAAATGTTCTATCCTATATTTTCCCCTAGACATTAAGGAAAAATGACATCTTAAGAAAAGACAAAAGCCAGGCCTGGTGGTGCGTGCCTGTCCCAGCTACTTGGGAGGCTAAGGCATGAGAATCACTTGAACCTGGGAGGCAGAGGTTGCAGTGAGCCAAGATCATGCCATTGCACTCCCACCTGGGCAGCAGACAGAGACTGCATCTCAAAAAAGAAAAAAAAAAAAGGAAACAAGAACCTTAATAAATCTGCTACAGGTCTTACCTATATATGCCCCCTTCTCTCTCTTTTTTTCTCTCTCTCTCTATATATACATACAGATATAGATATCTAATTATATGCTATCGTTTAAAATGCTTAGAGATAGTTTTGTAAAAAGCATCCTTTTATAGACTTGAGTCACCCAGTGAACTTCAAAAGGGCATTCACCAGATTATACTTTTACGGTCCATTTATTTAAGAACAATGTAAATTATATGTTCACAATGCTATATGTTCCCTACGAATTTTTTCTTGATTCTTTTCTTTTTGATCTACATTATACACAGCAAACATTGAATCTTTTTAAATATATTTTGAATATTGTCTTAAGTCACGGATAAAATAATTAACATAAATATTTTAATTACTGCATAAAGTTATCCATTTCACTGCAGCTTTAAAAATACCATTTTTAAAGAGTTCTAAGATGTTATGTAAAATAAATTTTAAGTAGATGCAGTGTCTTATTTGTAGCATGTACACATACACACACAAAGCACAAAGTAAGACTTATTTGTCTTTACTATATGCTTTTTGTACCTAAAAGCTAACTCAACTGCTAGTGTTAGCACCACAATGAGTAATAAGTTCATAAGTTACACTTGTACTTTCTCAAAAAAGGCAGACATATCAATATGAAAAAACTGAGTGACCTTTCTGAAACATTCATTCATCATATGCAAGAGACATAATATTTATACACGAGAGAAAATAAAATGCAAAGGGTAAGGTAAATTTTCTTCAATGAGAATAACAACATACAAAAGTACAACAGGCCACATCAGTGTGGGTTAAGCAACTATTTAAGAAAATATTCTTTCCTAAATTAAGAGGATAACCTTTCTTTTTGGCCTACCAGAATGACTAAAAGAATAAAATGTTGGATTAATGTCATAAACACATTTTAAATCATGCAAATTCAATTAAATGTATTCAGAAAAAAAGATGCATGTATATATTTTTTAAACCCACCCAAGTATCACTTGAGTGCTAAATCACCCAGATTGAATACATTTTAACATTTGCCAATTTTGCATTAGATTTTCTTTTTAATCTGCACTTATTATATGAAATCTTTCATATAAACAGTTGGAAAGACTACTAAAATGAACATCTATATACCATGCCTTCCATCAAGAATCAATAATTGTTAAAATTTTGCCATAGGTGCTTTACCTCTGAGACAATTTAAATATTAAAAGCAACTCTGCTCACTATGTCCCTCAGTGAGATCAGGGCTCAGAATAAGCATGATATGGAGATGGGAATGTGTTCTTTCACTTAGTCAATCTCATTTCCTGCATGCTGCTCAAAGCACAAGCTTTTCACAAATCTGAGTGGAACTCTGGATTTTTTAAAGTATGCAATTTAAAATACTGTATAATTATGTTTGCATATATTATGTACTATTTATCATATATTAAATTATACATTATATGCTACCACATATACTATACACTCCTACAACATACATTATACATTTTGTATAGGTTTCACAAAACCATATATACTATAATAGAGTTTCAGTGATAATTTCAACTATGTAATTGTCACCTTTAGAACACATTCAAATCAGCATTAGGGGGACATGCACTATAAAATTCATTGTAATCAAGACTATAACTACAGTTATATATGGCAGAAATAAAAACTTGTGCCAGCCAGAAAGGCAATTTGACATGTTCCTTAAAACCATTCATCTTGCTGTCCTAAGAGTTCTACTTCTAAGCATTTAGCCTAAATACACAGGACGAATACGCCCCAACAATGTTTATAATACCAAAAAACTGTAATTTCCAACAATACCAGGCTGCTTCTATAAACTATGGTATATCCGCTGAATGAAATACTCTGAAGCAAATAAAAATGAATGTATTGATTAAAAACACGTGTATACAATACATACACATAATTATAAACACATACATTTATTTGCTAGATATAAAAGGATGTTCACTGTAAATTTTTAAAAAAATCTAAAATAGATATAAATTTTCTGATAATTAAACAAATATAAAATTATAAATATGTGGAAATAAACTTAGTAAACATATATACTAAAATGTTAAAAGGAGTGATGCAGAAGAGTGGGAGTACTGCAAGCGACCATTGTTTCTCTTTTTGCTTAGTACATTTCTTGATTTATACAATGATCATCTGTTTAAACTATGACGTAAGACATTTTAAAACTAAATATTTTTACATATTAAACTTAAGATTATTTAAAATTCAAGTCTCATCGTTATCAATAATATCTTTCTGAACTTCTCCAAGTGACTTTTTAGATCTTAAAATCACCTCATTAAAAAGCAAAAATGAGTAATGAACTATATTCTGCTTCTCTCAAAGTTTAGTTTCACATGGCATTTGAGCTTTGATAACCACTACAGCAGCTATTAGGAAAATTTTAAATCACTGGGGATAGAGGGAGCATTTCTTTTGTTTTAACTAATTTAAAGAACTACACTTAATGCATGTACTTAATCATTTTCCTTTCTCATTGAGCCCAGAATTTAACATACCAGTCAGATTCAATTTAGGAATAGGCAATGGCTCTGTTGGAACAGGATGGTACGAAAACAAGGTAAACATTCCTCGTCCTACAGGAAGAGCCATAGTTCGCTGACACAATTGGAGCAATCTGTAATTAAAGTAAAAACCAACATATGAAAATGTTTAAAGCAAAGAGCAATTGAAATATCATCTGTAAGTATTTCAAAAGAAGGTGTACTGTATAAGATGAAGTTGTCTCAAAGTAAATTCATACACAGATGTGAGTGAACTACCCAAACATGATTATTTTCATTTTAATATTCTTGTTCCTATTACACTCTTAGGGAGAGACATATTTCCTCTGTTTTGTTTCATATTTACATTGAATGAAAACCACCTGGCCTATAAACCCAGCCGACTCTCTCTAGGCATTCAAAAAAAAAAAGAAATTTAAAATTCCACTCCGATGGATGCTAACCTTCTCAAAGGAAAATACAGTACTTTTGGGGTTTTTATCACTGTGTTAATTTCAGTCTAGCTGTCCTCAGTACATGTGGGATCCTCCTCCCATCCCTTTTGCCAATACAGCCTCAGAAGTACCATTTCTGTGGCCTGTACACAAGAAAAGAAACAAGGTCCTTGTGTTAGAGGTGAATGGATTTCATGGTGTCTCCAAGGGAAATACAGATTGGTTTCACTTACATGATGGCTAGATTTATAGGACTAATACCATTATGTATCAGGTATGTTCAAGGTTAAAATGGTTTCTGTTGGCTCTACTGTGAAATTAATACACCACTCTTCAACTTCTTCCTATGTTAAAATAGCTTAACATTCCATATAGCCACTTAAAAAAAACTAACAGAAATTTTGGAAGTAGGGCATTTATAACTAAGAAACGCCTATACAAGCTATATCTGAAGACACAGAAATATCCCTTCAGAGGCTGACAACTGACAAACATTTTCTCTGCAGACAAAGCTATTCATAAGCATACTCCCTCCTTAACTGGACACACATAACTGCTTTTCTAGCTAACTGGAAAGAAAAATTTTGCTGTCTTAAAGATTCTCTGGGAACACAACCGCAACATTAATTTGGGATCAGGAAAATTCAAAGCCAAGAGGCTGTTGCAACCCATAGAATTTTTTTAGAGGAAATCTTACACATAATTCACTTCAACTTTGCGCAAGTAACAAAATTATAATGAGAACAATATTATATCCCCTGAATATAAGATGCCACTGATAAGATGTATCATTATTTCATGAGAAACTAAGAAAGAAAAAGCACTGCCAATTAAACTATGACACCTGTTCACTGAAATACACAACTGATTTCAGAGATATTAAAAAGTGAAAAAACTTGCATCTTAGAATCAATGAACTCTACTACTAATAATGGCTGACTGCACTGAGCTTTACTATGTATTGAGCAGTATTCTAAGTGCTATGTAAAAATAATTCACTTGATACACAGCACCATCCCATGAAGTATGCCTACTTTTACAAATGAAGCAACTGAGGCAACAAGAGGTAAAGTAATTTAACCAAAGTCACCCAGCACAGCATGGCCATGCCTGGCTCTAGAGGCCATGCTCATAAATCCTATGCTCTAAACTCAACTTCTGTCACTCCATCTTTTTATTCACAGGTGACTAATAACTGGGTACATGTGGAGAGGAAACAGTTAATAGGGAAATCACAACTAATTCAGATCTTCAGCAGCCTGTGGCTAAGTGTGGGTGATGGTTCCCCTCAAAACAGTACCATAAAAAAAGTAAAGAGAACTAGAAAACAGTGGCAGATGAATGATAGATGATAGAGACAAGCAGATAAAAGAACAGGAGAGAATTTTAAAACAGAAGTGTCCCAAGAGAATAGCTCTGGAATGTCATAGGCATGTGAGTCTTATAATGTATCAAGGGATGTATCCTGTGCAGGGGAGTGGCAGAAGAAAGGCTTATCTATTTTTATTTGGAGTATCATCTATCATATCCAAAAAAAAAAAATACTCATACAAGTTTAAACTACACTAAAAACCCCACTAACCTCAAAATCTATTCCTGATCAAGACACAGAAAAACAAGTCCAGTGTTTTCTTTGTTTGTAAATTCTTAAGGTAACTATCAGGCAAAATAGTTTTACATTCACCTTTTCTAAAGAGTAAAGTGTTATATGTATTTCAAGAGGAGGACGATATGAAATACAACAATTACGTCCTCAAAAGCCAAAGACATTTTGCTAACACACGTGGTTTGTTGAAGTTGGATGAAAACTTAAAACACAGGGCATATTTTCACTTGAAAGTATCTTTTAAATCTCTTTAGGGTTTTAAATGCTAAAAACTTGAAGGAAAAACAAATATACACAAGACACAAATGTAACAATGAAACATGACAAGAGATAGTGCACGTGTTTTCTTTCACCTGTTTTCCTTTTCCTCGATGAACTCGTGGTCACTGAGCTCTGGGTACTGCACTACGTTGACACGGACAGGATGCGCACTCTGAAGAAGCCTTCGCACATCCTGCACCCTTAAATCTTCACTCCATATTAATGACATGACCTCGTGATTCATGTCATTCATGCCGTCATCTTCCTCCTCAGTTTCTGTTCCTGAAGGAACATCTGATGAGAGCACCTGAGTAACAGACTTTATTGTAATAATAATTTCAAAAGCAGTTAACATGCACTTGCTGAACATGAGGATATATAGGCTGATGTGTCTTGACTATACTAGCACAGAGAAAATATGTTTTCCAAAGCAGGCATGGGTTGGAGCCGCAATGTATACTGGGACTCTAATCTACAAATCTTTCTAAAAAGTACTATATTGCTGGCCGGGTGTGGTGGCTCACACTCTGTAATCCCAGCACTTTGGGAGGCCGAGGTGGGCGGATCACCCGAGGCCAGGGGTTCCAGACCAGCCTGGCCAACATGGTGAGGATGATTTAAAAAGATAATTGGAGAGTAATGAAATAATTTAACTTTCTACTTGCAGGATTCCTAGAACTCATTTGAAAAAAAAAACAGACTTGATGATTGATGAAAGACAGTATTTCGGGAGGGATAGCTTAAGACATGTTTTTAAACAACTCTACTGAAAAAAACACATTTTTTCCCTGGGGCTGCAGTTTTATGTGATTAAACAAATATGTTTACACCTATTTAAAAGGTTAAATTCAAAAAATTCAACACATCAAAAAATATGCAGTAGAAAATATTTATATATAATTACTCATCCAAATTCAGGATATATGTGCTCTCCCTTTTCCTATGTAATAATTACAAAGTGGTTAATTACTAATATGGTACAAGTAGGGAAATAGCCATGGTAGTTTCCATGACTACCCTCAGGACTTGTCCTGATTCAAGGCAAAGAAAGATCCAGGCACAAGACAGAACATTCACAAAATCTCCTGCTCCTAATGCTCATCTTAACAATTAATAAGACGCGTACAATTACAAACCCCGTCTGGCATATAATATAAAAGACAAGCTAATATATATACTTAGAAAAAGCCTTAAAGGAAAATGAAGAACATTTCTACTTTATGATTTTATTTAAGGCTAAAATTGGAACTCTGAACTTTCTATGTTGATACTCACAGACTTCCCTTTGGGTAAGTTTCCTTCGCAGGCCTGCTTGGAAAGATCCTGACGTCCAATCAAGAGACAGACAGCTTCTGGCCAGTCTGAGGCAGGCTGCTCACGACAGTGATAAATTGCATCTCTGATGGGAAGAGCAATTCCAAAGGGAAGAGTTTCCAAATCTCTTAAAGTGAATCCTAATGGTTAAAGGAAGAGAGAAAAATTTTAATTTAGACTCGCCACTGTCCCAATTATCCTGACTGAAGTTGGCAACAATATCTATCCTGACAAATAAGTTCATTTTATTCATCTTACTACCAGACTAATGTCTTGACATCAAGGACTAGTATAGGAAGTCTCTTTGAAAGAACTTGTAAAAACCTGAAGAAAAAAAGACAATCTAATAGAAAAATATAAAGGACAAAAAGACATTTCCTAGAAGGGGAAACATAAATGGGCAACATGCATATGAAAAGATGCTCTACCTAATTAGGGATCAGGAAAATGCAAATTAAAGCTACTGAGAAATATAAATGTCAAAGCCAATCAATACTAAATGTTGGCAACTATGTAGAGCAATAATAATTCTTTTTATTCTTTTTTTTTTTTTTTTTTTTTTTTTTTGAGATGGAGTCTCGCTCTGTCGCCCAGGATGGAGTGCAGTGGCGCGATCTTGGCTCACTGCAAGCTCCTCCTCCCGGGTTCACGCCATTCTCCTGCCTCAGCCTCCCGAGTAGCTGGGACTACAGGCGCCCGCCACCATGCCCGGCTAATTTTTTTTGTAATTTTTTTTTTAGTAGAGACAGGGTTTCACCGTATTAGCCAGGATGGTCTCGATCTCCTGACCTCGTGATCCACCCGCCTCGGCCTCCCAAAGTGCTGGCATTACAGGCATGAGCCACCGCGCCTGGCCCAAGCAACAATAATGCTTATCCATAGCCAATGGTAGTGTAAACTGGTACAACCACTTTGGAAAACAGTTGGTATGTATAGGTCAATCCACCCATTTGATCCATCAACAGCCATATAGAAACTTATACCCATGTACAAAGACACAGGTATAAAAATATTCATTAGCAATACTGGTTTGTTATGGAAAAAAAAAAAGAGATGGAGAAAGGGGTGAGTCCGATTGTCTATCATCAATAGAATGGGTAATTAAATTATGATATGTTCAAACAAAGTAATCTCTATATCAGAGAAAATGAATGGCCCGCTGCTACTGCTACATGAGTCGACATGGATGAATCTTTAAAAAACAAAGTTGAGTGAAGAAAAAGGAACACATATTTACATCTATATATTTTCAAAACTACATAAGACCTAGCAATTTATAAAGATGTAAAACTATAAAGAAAAACAAGAGTAAGGTAACACAAATGTAGGTAGGGCAGTGGTTCACTATAACATTGGGGTGTGTGACAGGAGGGGACCATCCAAGAACAGATATGTAAGGGCCTTCTACTATGCGGGTAATATTCTATTTCTAGGGGTGGGTGACCAGTACATCAATACTCACTTTAGTACCATTCTCTAAACTAAACATATACGTTTGACATATTATTTTGTAAGTATACCATATTTCATATTTAAATTTATCCTCAGGTTAATTAAATCATGTTTTTCTTATGATTTTCTAAATTTCATAATACTATGCATTATTTATAATATAAAAAGTCGATTAACTATTGAGGCAAAAAATGTTTCCTTATATGAGAATAACACTTATTAAATATTATGCAATATACAAATGGATAGAACTAATCCAATATTTTTCAGCATAGGTATCCTGTATGTATACTATGCAACAGTTATTGTCATTTTTAAGGTAAAATGCAAAAAAAAAAAAAAAAAACCTGTCAGAAACTTCATTTAGAACATACTTTAGATAAGACTTCAAAAACATCTTTTAATATTCATTAAAACTTTACTTTTTAACATACATCCCATATAACATCCTCATTTTTAAAATCATGTCTTCGTGGCAGTAATTTTTGTTTTTCAGTTCTTTGTGAAAAAAAATTTCTTTGGTATTTTACTTAATTTAAAACCTAGGAGCATAGGTTTGGGGAATAGGGAATATAGAACTCTTTTCCTTCCTCTTCCTCTTCCCAGTTCAATGTTCATCTTGGTGCCTGAAATCCCTTCAAAAGTGCATTTATCCTTCAAAAGTATACCCTGAAATGTTTATATTATTGCTTTTAGACTTTGCCAAAACCACCCATTTCTGATATCTGAGTATCACAATGATTTCAGGTGTGTATGTAGGTGATTAGAGTTCTCCATTCTCAGAGACCAGCTTACATAGCCACAGCCTCAAATGTTCCAATTAAATGGCAAATAAAGATTCCTTATGCATCAAGATAAAAAGCTGGTATCCCAAATATTATTATATGAAAGTTGTGAGATTGTCGAGAAAAAAAGAATATGGCTTGATGAACCATAATCTCAATCTTGTGAGGCCTTTTCACAAAGCCAGAGCCCCTCTCTCCTCATGCCTTCCACTTCTAGCTAGTCTGGAGGAAGCACGGCCTAGTTAGGAGGTAACAAAGAAGCTCTCACCTACATTAGTCATCCAGACAACCAATCTTTCAGCTAGACTAGAAACAGATGTAGAATGCCTGAAACTAAACCTATAAGAGAATAAAACATAAAGTTATTAAGCAGAACAGTAAATAATATTGTTTTAAGTGTTTGACATAAAAGCACAGTCTAAATAAAAGTCACCTGTTTTCCTCTTGTTCTACTTGCAACTTCTGGGGGGCTAAAAGGCAACAAAATGAAACTTAATTTTGATAGTCATCCTGGTAAAGAAAACATGTAACATGTAGAAAACATTTGAAAATAAGAATCAATTAGCAAACAACATCTAAAAAAAAATAAAATAAGCAATACTGTGGCAGGCTGAAAAGTACAGTCAAGGCCCTCAGAATACTCAGGGGATTGGTTAGGACACCCCATGCGTACCCAAATCCGTGCATGCTCAAGTCCTGCAACTGGCCCTGCAGAACCTGCATATGGGTTTCACATCAGAGAATACTGCATTTTCTATCTGCATTTGGCTGAAAAGAATTTCATTGTAAGTGGACCCACACAACTCAAACTCATGTTGTTCAAGAGTCAATGGTACAATAATTTCCTTCAGGCTAAAATAGTCCTTTTTACCCGCACTGAAAATACAAGATGTATTAGATTTTAAGTAATCCTGATACCTGAAAATTAGTTGTGGACAAAAGACCGCAACAGACCAGAACAGTACTAAAAAGGTAAGACATGGCCGCCAAAGCAAACAAGAAAAATTCAATTCTTTTTTCAATTCTGATACTGACATTTACAAAAATTTGTTTCCAGAGGCAACATTGCACCAACTTACCTATAGTTATTCTGGTTAAATACTGTGAGGATTCATCAGAAACCAAGCTCTCATCACCAAGTATGTACAGTGCAATACTCTGCAAAGGAAGAAAATTAACATTATTTTTCTCTTTTCAGAGACAGCATCTCACTTTGTCACCCAGGCTGGAGTGCAGTGACACAATCACAGCTCACTGCAGCCTCAAACTCCTTGGCTCAAGCAATCTTCCTGCTTCAGTCTCCAGAGTAGCTAGGACTATAGGCACACACCACCATGCCCAGCTTATTATTTTATATTATTTTTATTTTTTGTAAAGACGGAGTCTCGCTGTGTTGCCCAGGCTGGGCTCAAACTCATGACCTCGAGCAATCCTTCTGCCTCAGCCTCCCAAACTGCTGGGATTATAGGTATGAGCCACCACACCTAGCTACATAATTGAAGTATAACTAGAAAATAATTATAACATAGAATAATTCATCCATTTTAGGTGTACAGCTCTGTGAGTTTCGACAAATGTTGTATCACATAACCACTACCACACTCACAATATAGTATACTTTCATCACACCAAAAAGTTCCCTTGTTCCTTTTGTAGTCAATCCTTTCCTCCTACACCCAGCACTGGAAACAATTCATCTGTTTTCTTGCTCTACAGTTTTGTCTATCCTACAATATCATGTAAATCAATCATATGATATGTAGTCTTTTTTGTGCTACTTCTTTAACTTAGCATAAGTCTTTGAGATTCATTCACGTCTCTCCAAGGATCACTAGTTTCTTCCTTTTCATGCTAAGTAGTATTCCATTATACAGACATACCAAACTTTGTTTACCTACTCAAAAACTGATGAACATTTGGTTCCAGTTTGTGGTCACTATGACCAAAGCTGCTTTATTTATTTATTTATTTTTTTTTTTTTTGAGACGGAGTCTCACTATGTCGCCAGGCTGGAGCGCAGTGGCACAATCTCGGCTCACTGCAACCTCCGCCTCCTGGGTTCAAGCGATTCTCCCACCTTAGCCTCCAGAGTGGCTGGGATTACAGGCATGCGCCACCACGCCCAGCTAATTTTTGTATTTTTAGTAGAGACAGGGTTTCACCATGTTGGCCAGGATGGTCTCGATCTCCTGACCTCGTGATCCGCCCTCCTCGGCCTCCCAAAGTGCTGAGATTATGCCACCGCACCTGGCCCCAAAGACATTCACATACATGCGGGTCTTTATGTAGGCATATGTTTTCATTTATCTTAAGTAAATACGAAAGTGTATGTTTAACTTCACAAGAAACTGCCAGTTTTGCAAAGTGCCATGCCACTTTTGCAGTCCCACCAGTAATGTATGAGAGTTTCGATTGCTCCATATCCTCACCAAAAGTTATTTTCAGTCATTCCAACAGGTATCGAATAGTGCTCTCTCACTATCTAAGAAGTATCTAGTAGTACAGAGCTGTAGTGTTATTTGCTTTGAAGAGGAAAAGAAAAAGATAACACAAAGGAAAAAGTCTCTCAAAAGAGTTAAAATATTCAACATATAACACAAACACAAAAGTACATAAGATCTCTCTATTAAATGAGAAAACATACATAAAGTTCCTTGAAGACAACAGGCTCCCAATAAATGTTATCTCACTTCCTTCCTTTCCCTCATTTCAACAAATGGTACACAGACAATGCCATCTCCGCATATACAAGTGACTCAATAGAAAAAGAGCCACCATAAGCTAGAAGGTTACTACAAATGTCTCATTAGCTAAACATCACATAAAAAAAATTTATCACTTGCGGTCAGGAGTTCAAGACCAGCCTGGGCAACATGGCAAAACCCCATCTCTACTAAAAATACAAAAATTAGCCGGGTGTGATGGTGTGCACCTGTGGTCCCAGCTACTCAGGAGGCCGAGGTGGAAGGACTGCTTGAGCCCCGGGAGGTTGAGGCTGCAGTGAGCCATGATTGCACCACTGCACTCCAGCCTGGGTGACAGAGTAAGACCTTGTCTCAAATAAAAAAAATAAAAAATAAAAAAAGTCCAATAAAACTTATAATGAGGAAACCAAAAACGTATCAACAAGGGCTTCTGTTGATATTTTTCAGAATATTTTTATAAATAAAAATTAAATTCATATTTTTATAAATAGATCTCTGAGCTAACAAGTTATAAAGGAATACGAAGAGGATAAAACTAAGATGAAAGGCCAGAGAGGTAAACTGAGCACTCATGACAGTTTTACTGAAAAGACATTCACAGAAAAACCTATAGAATGGGAGAAAATATTTGCAAATCATGTATCTGACACATTAATATCTAGAGCATAAAAATGCCTAAACTTGAAAATAAAAATCCAATTTTCAAATACACAAAAGATCTGCATAGATCTTTCTTCAAAGAAGATACGTAAATGGCCAATAAACACAAGAAAATATGCTCAATATCACTAAATTAAGGAGGCAAATCAAAACAATGAGATATCACTTCATAAATACTAGGATGGCTATAATTTTTAAAAAAACAAATAGAAAATAATAATATGTGTTGGCAAGACCGTAGAGAAATTGGAACCCTTCCTCTTGCATTGCTGATAAGGATGTAAAATGGTATAGCCACTATGAAAATGAGTTTAGCAGTTCCTCAAAAAGTTAAACATCGAACTACCTACCATATGACCCAACAATTCCACCACCAGGTATATATTAAAAAGAACTGAAAGCAGAGACTTGAACAGATATTTGCATACCCATGGTTCACAGCAGCACTATTCGCAACAGTCAAAAGGTGGAAACAACCCAAATGTCCATCATCAGGTGAAATGATAAATTGTGGTATATCCATACAATGGAATACTATATAGAATACTGCCTTTAAAACAATGTAATTTTGATACATGCTACAATATGGATGAACATTGAAAACATTATGCTAAGTGAAATAAGCCAGACACAGAGAGATAAATATTGCTTGATTCCCATAACATGAGGTACTTACAAGAGACAAATTCATAAGAAACAGAACGGAATTACCAGGGCCTGGGAGGAAGGGGAATGGGGAGTCACTATCTAATAGGTACAGAGTTTATGTTGGGGATGATGAAAAAGTCTTGGGTACGGACAGTGGTGATGGCAACATAACAATGTGAACGTATTCAACGCCACTGGATTGTACACTCAAAAATAATTTCAGGCCGGGCACAGTGGCTCACGCCTGTAACCCCTGCACTTTGGGAGGCCAAGGTGGGCAGATCACCTGATGTCAGGAGTTCAAGACCAGCCTGGCCAACATGGTGAACCCCATCTCTACTAAAAATACAAAAATTAGCCAGACTTGGTGACTAACGCCTGTAATCCCAGCTACTCGGGAGGCTGAGGCAGGAGAATCGCTTGAACCTAGGTGGCGGAGGTTGCAGTGAGCCGAGATTGTGCCACTGCACTCCAGCCTGGGCAACAGAGTGACTCCGTCTCAAGAAACAATAATAATAACAATTTCAATGACAAATATTATGTTATATATATTTTGCTATCATTAAAAAAATCCCGTGTTTTTTAAACAGAAACATCATTCTGTATGTCTGTTTTGGAGCCATGGGGGGGACTGTGAAGCACTTCTCACCATGAAGCAGAGCAAAATGTAGAGTAAAGAAAAAGAAGGGCAGGGGGCAAAGACATTTACAGTCTGCCAACATTTGAGAGAAGGGACAAAAGCATATGGTTCTCCTGCAAGCCTGGGAAGACCCCACCTGGAAAGGCCCACAAGGGGCCTATGAGCAGGCTGCTCCAGGATGGGGGGACTGAGGAACAGGTATGCCAAGAAACTTACCTTATTCACCGTTACAGCCCTATGGTTCTATATGAAGGTTTGATCTTGGACATGTATTAACCAGTAATAACAAACTAATTTCTAAAAATAAATAAATCATGAGATTTGCAGCTAGAGGTAAACAAAAAATAATAAAAATAAATAAAGAAGTGTTTCTTGAAAAAAATTTCAACAGGATTTTTCTTTGTAGCTATAGACAAGCTGATTATAAAATCAGTATGGGACGGGCACGGTGGCTCACACCTGTAATCCCAGCACTTTGGGAGGCTGAGCCAGGCGGATCACTTGAGGTTGAAAGTTCGAGACCAGCCTGGACAATATGGTGAAACCCCGTCTCTACTAAAAATACAAAAAATTAGCCGGGCATGGTGTGGGATCCTGTAATCCCAGCTATTTGGGAGGCTGAGGCAGGAGAATCGCCTGAACCCAGAAGGTGGAGGTTGCAGTGAGCTGAGATCACTCCACTGCACTCTAGCCTAGGCGACAGAGTGAGACTCTGTCTCAAAAATAAAAATAAAAATAAAATCAGTATGAAAAGGCAAGAAGAGTAATGAAGGGAGGAGTAACGCTAATCAATTTTAAAGACTTACTATAAAGCTACAGTAATTACAGCGTAGACAGCCACAAAGATCAATGAACCAGAATAGAAAGTCCAGAAACAGACACACAAGAATGTGGCCAAATTAACTTTTGACAAAAGTGCAAATGCAATAGAGAAAGGATAGTCTTTTTAAAAAACAGTGCTGAAAGAACTGGATATCCAAATGAAATAATAAAAACCTTGACTTAAAACCTGACATGTTATAAAAGATTAACAAAATGGATTAGAGATCTAAATGTAAAACATGCAAAGAAACCCAGGAGAAAATCTTCAAAACCTGAAGTTAAACAAAGAATTATTAGACATGACACTAAAAGCAACATCCATTAAAGAAAAATACAGATAAACTAGCTTCATCAAAATTAAACACTTTTGCTCTTTGATGTATTAAGAGAATGACGAGACAAGACAAGGTAGAAACCAGAAGAAAATATCTGCAAACCACATATCTGACAAAACCTCATACCTAGAACCCTGAAAACATCATTAGCCATTAGGAAAATGCAAATTAAAACCACAATGAGGTATAACTACACATCTCTCAGAAAGACAAAAATAAAAAAGAGTGACAATACCAAACACCAACAAGAATGCAGGTAAATGATCTCTTAAATATTGGTGGTAAAAATGTAAAATGGAAGAGCCACTCTGGAAAACAGATGACAGTTTCTTTAAAAACAAAATATAAACTTAACTATATGACCCATCAATCCTACTCCCAGGTACCTGTCCTAGAGAAAGCAAAACTTATGTTCACATAAAACGCTAAGCATGAATGCTGACAGCATCTATATTTACAATTGCTAAAAACTGAAATCAACCCAACTATCTTGAATGAAAAACCAACTATGGCACATTCATGCAATAAACTACTAATTAGCCATAGAATGCGATGAACTGTCGATACAGGAAACAACTTGGATAAGTCTCGAAATCATGAGAGAAATTTTTGAGGGTGATGTAAATGTTCTATATCCTCATTGTAGTAATTACATGAATCTATACACGTACTGAAATTCACAGAACTATACACAGAAAAAAACTTAATATCAGGTGTACTTTTTAAAACTAAATTTTAAAAGAAAAAGGAGATAGGTAGTAACACTCCACATACATACCAAGACTACAAGTCTGCTTCTTTCACAGATTCCAGGGAGGTAAGGATAAGGTGGCATTCCTTCACCCTTCAGACAAGAACTCACCCACTGATAAATACTTGGTGGCTCAGACGTAAAAAATGATGGATGATGCATAAATCCTGTTTGACCTTTAAAATTAGATAAATATTCAAAAAGACACGAAAATACATTAAGACAACATTATTTTATTTTAAACGGAAGATGATCAACAGTTACTTGTCATTTTGAAACAACTAGAATAATATTTTTCCAGCTGGGTGCAGTGGCTCACGCCTGTAACCCCAGTACTTTGGGAGGCCCAAGCAGGTGGATCACGAGGTCAGGAGTTAAGGACAGCCTGGCCAATATGGTGAAACCCCGTCTCTACTAAAAATACAAAAAAAAATTAGCTGGGCCTAGTGGTGCGCACCCGTAGTCCCAGCTGCTTGGGAGACTGAGGCAGAAGAATCACTTGAACCCAGGAGGTGGAGGTTGCAGTGAGCCGAGATCACGCCTAAGAGACAGAGCGAGACTCTGTCTCAAAAAAAAAAAAAAAAAAAAGAATAACGTTTTTCCATATTCTCCAAAATGCTTCATGTTTTCTGCCACAGTACATAAGGAACTATGTTATTAAATGTAGAATTTAAATGACTTCTATTTTATCCCACCCTGGATGGAAATTTAGCAAATTCTTGTTCCCAAGGCATACAAAGAATCTAACCAAAGGCTGGATGTGGTGGCTAACACCTGTAATCCCAGCCCCTTGGGAGGCTGAGTCAGGTGGATCACTTGAGGTCAGGAGTTCAAGGCCAGCCTGGCCAACATGGTGAAACCCCATCACTACTAAAAATACAAAAATTAGCCAGGCGTGGTGGCACACACCTGTAACCCCAGGCAATCCCAGGCACTTGGGAGGCTGAGGCAGGAGAATCGCTTGAGCCTGGAAGGCAGAGGATGCAGTGAGCCAAGATCGTACCACTGCACTCCCGTCTGGGCGACAGAGTGAGACCCTGTCTCAAGAAAAAAAAAAAAAAAAAAAGAAGAATCTAATCAAAAATCTTGCCCTAAACCTAAAGGTGAAAAAAACAAAAGAAACATCCAGGATTCAGGTCTGTTCCAACAACTGGGCCCCAAATTTCAGTACCTTTAGCTCAGGGTCTAGGATAGTACAGTGGTGATGGAGATGTTCTGTGTCTGTATCTGCACTGTCCAATATGGTAGCACTAGCCCCATGTGGCTACTGAGTTCTCAAAATGCGGCTAGTGCACTGAGGAAATATGTTTTATTTTAATTGAATTTAAGTAGCATATGGTTAGTGGTACTAACTGTACACTACAAGTCTAAGTTAAAAGCATCCTTGGTGGCCTGGCGCGGTGGCTCACGCCTGTAATCCCAGCACTTTGGGAGGCCGAGGCGGGTGGATCACGAGGTCAGGAGATCAAGACCATCCTGTGTAACACAGTTAAACCTCGTCTCTAATAACAATACAGAAAAATTAGCCAGGTGTGGTGGTGGGCACCTGTAGTCCCAGCTATTCAGGAGGCCAGGAGGCTGAGGCAGGAGAATGGTGTGAACCCAGGAGGCAGAGCTTGCAGTGAGCCAAGATCGCGCCACTGCACCCCAGCCTGGGTGACAGAGCGAGACTCAGTCTCAAAAAAAAAAAAAAAAAAAGCATCCTTGACCCTGGAAGCTTTCTCTGACTTTTGCAAGTCAGAACCTTAGGGATGGGTAACATTTTCCCTATACACTGAAGATATTATGGCTTACTACGTGTCAGAAAACAAGCACTACGAACTAAAATCTGCCTGGTGGAAAGGCACTGCCCCTGACTTAGAAGCTAATGGTAAGAAATACATCCTCTGCTATTCAATGAGAAAGATACAAGGAAATATCACTACACTGTTTAGAAAATATTTAAAAGCACGACTACTTACCTGGATCAATTGTGCACACTTGTCCAGTAGTTCTGACAAGCGTTGGGTAGTCTCTATAGTAATGATCTACATAAGGCCCCAATTTTAAGTCCCTAAAACAGTAAGGGCATGTAAAAAAGAAGGTATTACAGCACTTTCTCCCAACAGAATTGGAAGGATTGATTAGTTGAATCTTTTAATTTAAAAACTTACATATGAGAAAGATAACCAAATCTAGAGTCTCTCTATTGTATTTTTGGACTTTAAAGTGCCCAGTGTGACAAATGGAACCCAATCTCTTTTTGCTAAATTTTGTGGAAGTAAAACTACAGTAAAAGCACCGTGATCTAGTTCCTCCTCTGCTATTAGCTGTGTGATCTTCCAAAAGTCATGTCTATAAACCTCAGTATTTTCTTCTAGAAAATGGGGCAATACCAGCTCACTTACTCTGAAGTTTTAAAGATTAAATAAGATAAAATATGTAAAAAAAAAAAAACCTGATAAAATGTAAAACATCATACACATTACTTTTTTCAGAGAGCCATGATTATGGTTTGGAAATTACTTAATTACAAAAGAATTTTCATGACAGTAATGACATCCTAAGAGATATTTACCATTGATTAAAACTGCCATGTCTCAGGATTGAATTTCAAGATCTCAAAAAAGACAACAGAAATTAGAAAATGTACTATGTCTTAACTCAGAGGTTGACATTTCAATTCAAATTCAACTTCTTTATCACCAAAGGTCATAAAGGTCAAACAACACACAAGTATGACCCTAGAATTCTGAGCCATACACCAGGTGCTTCAAAGCTCTTGAAAGGTGTTGAAACGTATTATTAGAACTATCTTATTGTGGATCTACTATGAGTGCCTCAAAGACAGGGACAACCTCAGACTGCAACAAGGACAGCATAGCAAAATGAGTCCACAACTATCAAACACTCGCATCCCAGGAAAGACATTTAGGCAAGTTTCCTCATCACTAAAACAGGAAACTTACCTTGTTTGAGACTTTACATGTAAACTATGATTTTGTCAACTATAAAGCACTATTTGAATGTGGATATTACAAAACAGCAGATGTTATTCTAGAACTCCCACCGCAGTATAGCCAGTCAGTCATCCTGTCAAAATGAAAATCTGAGCAGGTCATCTCCATTTTTTCGTGACCTTCCACTAATCTCAGGACAAAGACTAAAAATCCCTGCATGGCTCACAGGCCCTTACAAAACCAGTATCTTCAAACAACTCTGTGGTTTACAGAGATGCCCTAGTTTTCTGAGAAGGTAGATTTCAGAAACTTATTTACAAGGTCCCTATATGATACAAGGTTCCTATATGGAAAAGACAGTCATCTCAGGACTTCCTGGCAGTTTCTAACCTACAAACAAATTTACCTTGCCAACTGAACGAGAAGTTCAACAAGTGAACAAATTCCTTCTCCCATTAGAGTATTCAACTTAAGCTCCTCATACACAAGGTGAAGAACGAAAAAAATTGCAGGTATGTGAGTAAAGAGAAGTGTAGAAGAATCCAGACTGAGATTCTGTGAAAAATCCTCATCCTTCATCTGTGAAGCTTCTGAAGGACTCAGACATAAAGATCTGTTCAAAAGATGAGACTCAACATTCTGGTGGTAGTCTGAATTTAGTAAATATTCCCAGTCCTGAGAAGAATAAAAAGAATATTAATTTTTAAAAATAATACCTCCTTATAATATCATAAGAAAATTAATTCACTTAAAACAATTCAAGTTTCATTTTCACATTAAGTTGATCTAAGAGTATGTTAAAAAAAAAAAAGACAATGCTAAGAATGAAGTAACTATAAAATAGCAAGCCAGTTATAAACGTTAAGGCAAGCCACCTTTAAAAACCATTAAAAAAAATATTTTCATGACCTTTTAGGAAAGACATTGGGAGAAGAATTATACTATTTAGGTAGAGATTGAGAGAGAAAATTTAAGATTATCTCAGGCTAGGTTTTATAGGAAAAGTAGATGGCAAGTTAGTGGCCACTACACTGAACTGTGTTTTGGTAAGAAGGAAGGTCCACCTGCATTCAGCTGGTGTATTCATCTTTCCACATGTATAAGATGCCGGGGCTAGTAATATAATCTAATAATCAACTGATTTTTATATTCAGACTGATTGGACTACATTTTCCAAATATTCAAGTCTATTTTGGTTCTACTTGTGATTTACTGCATTTGGTTCAGAGAATGTGGTTTATGCTATTTCCAGATCTTGGAATTTACTGATGTTTTTGTAAGGCTTAATACAGTGTGTTACTCTAAATTAAAAATTCTTGGACTAGATACAGAAAGAACTAACCATAAAAGAAAAAACTGGGCCGGGTGCAGTGGCTCATGCCTGTAATCCCAGCACTTTGGGAGGCCGAGGCGGGTGGATCACAAGGTCAGGAGATCACGACCTTCCTGGCTAACACGGTGGAACCCCATCACTTCTAAAAAAATACAAAAAAATTAGCCGGGTGTGGTGGCGGGCGCCTGTTAGTCCCAGCTATTGGGGAGGCTGAGGCAGGAGAATGGCATGAACCTGGGAGGCAGAGCTTGCAGTGAGCTGAGATCATGCCACTGCACTCCAGCCTGGGCAACAGAGCGAGACTCCATCTCAAAAATAAAATAAAATAAAATAAAAAACTGATAAATTGGATAACTAAAATAAAAAATTCTGCTCATCAAAGACACTGTTAAAGCCACATTCTAAGGGAAAATATGGTCAAGAACTCATGTCTAGAACATGTAAGAACTTCAACAGCTTACATATTTTTTAAAATCTAATTTACAAGTAGATAAAGATTTGAATAGAAACTTCACAAAAAGATACATAAGCAGCTAATGAGCACATGAAAGAGTGTTTAACATCCTCCAACCTCAGCCTCCAAGTAGCTAGGACTACAGGTTATGCGCCATCATGCCTGGCTAATTTTCAAATTTTTTTGGTAGACAACTGGTCTTACTATAATATGTTGTCCAGGCTGGTCTCAAACTCTTGGGCTGAAGCAGTCCTCCTGCCCCTACCCCTCAAAGTGCTGTGATTACAGGCGTGAATTTTCATTTAAAAGAAATTAAATTAAAAGAAATTAAAATTACAGATGTGAATTTTAATTTAAAAGAAATTAAATTAAATTAAAAGAAATTAAAATTCACACCTGTAATCGCAGCACTTTGAGAGATAGGGGCAGGAGGACTGCTTGAGCCCAGGAGTTTGAGACCAGCCTGGGCAACATATTATAGTAACACCTTGTCTCTACCAAAAAAATTTAAAAATTAGCCAGGCGTGATGGAGCATACCGGTAGTCCTAGCTACTTGGAGGCTGAGGTAGGAGGATGGCTTGAGCCTAGGAGTTCAAGATTACAGTCAACTACGATAGCATCACTGCAGTCCAGCGTAGGCAACAGAGTGACACCCTGTCTCTTAAAAAAAAAAAGAAAAGAAATGAAAATGTATGTCCACGGGCCCGGCATGGTGGCTCACACCTGTAATCTCAGCACTTTGGGAGGCCAACATGGGCAGATTATTGAGGCCAGGAGTTTGAGACCAGACTGACCAACATGGCAAAATCCAGTCTCTACTAAAAATACAAAAATTAGCCAGGCATGGTGGCACACACCTGTAATTCTAGCTACTGGGGAGGCTGAGGCATGAGAACTGCCTGAACTCGGGAGTCAGAGGTTGCAGTGAGCCAAGATCGTGCCACTGCACTCCAGCCTGGATGACAGAGCAAGACTCCGTCTCAAAAAAAAAAAAAGAAAATATATATCCACAAAGACTTGCCAGTGAATTTTGGCACTAGCTTGCTTTATTCATAAGACTTTAAAAAAAAAAAATGGAAATAGCCTAGATATCTACCAGCAGAAGAAGGATAGATAAACAAACCATGGTATATTCACACTACTCAGCAATAAAAAAGCACAAACTACTGGTATCTGTAACAATATGAATTAATCTCAAAAGCATTATGCTGAATAAATCTTATACCAAAGATTACATACTATATTATTTTATTTACATCAAGTTCTAGAACAGGTATAACTAAGATATGGTGACAGAATTCAGATCAGTGATTGCTAGAAGAAGAGAATAAAGCTGATTAAAAACAGCAAGAGGGGCCGGGCCCAGTGGCTCATGCCTGTAATCCCAGAACTTTGGGAGGCCGAGGTGGGCAGATCACGAGGTCACGAGTTCAAGACCAGCCTGACCAACATGGTGAAACCCCATCTCTACTAAAAATACAAAAATTGGCCAGGCGTGGTGGCGCATGCCTATAATCCCAGCTATTCAGGAGGTTGAGGCAGGAGAATAGCTTCAACCCAGGAGGTGGAGAGCCGACATCGTGCCACTGCACTCCAGCCTGGGCGATAAGGCGAGACTCCGTCTCAAAAAAAAAAAAACCACACAAGGAAATTTTATGGAGTTATAAAAATATTGTGTGTCTTTATAGGAGTGTAGGTTACATGAGTGTGCATATATTAAAACTGATCAAACTAAACCCAAGCTGTATTTCATTTTTGTAAATTACACCACAATTTAAAAAAACATATTTGGACCACTGAAGAATAATACCATGGAGGCCAGGTGTGGTGGCTCATGCCTGTAATCCCAGCACTTTGGGACACCAAGGTTAGGAAGGTCACTTGACGTCAGGAGTTCGAGACCAGCCTGGCCAACATGGTGAAACCCTGTCTCCACCAAAACTACAAAAATTAGCTGGGCATGGTGGCGGGCGCCTGTAATCCCAGCTATTCAGGAGGCTGAGGCAGGAGAACTGCTTGAACCTGGGAGGCGGAGATTGCAGTGAGCTCAGATCCTGCCACTGCACTCCATCCCGGGCAACAAGAGTGATACTCCGTCTCAAAAAAAAAAAGGAATATACCATGGAACCTGATACAATTGAGAACCTTAATTTAAAAAACACTGCATAAAAAAGGTAAATGCTGTCATTTCAGGTGATCAGTTGATACTAAAATGTCTACAAACCCAAACTGAAATCATGCAGTAATACATGTATTAATTTTTAGATAATCATTAAAGACCACAGAAAATGTAACAGATCCTACTCTTCAAAATAATTGCTATTCAGTATTAAAATAAATAAAGTGAAAGGTGTTGGAAAGATAGAGGAATTGATAGGAATACCACAGAAGTGGAAGAATAGTATGAATATCCATAAATTAATTTATATTAGCAAGAAATAATAATGCTTACATCATCAGATCCAGTCTCGGAAGGCCTTGCTTTTTTGGGCGCAATGACAGGAGAAAGTGATCCTTCAAAGTCAAACTGAAAAGTAACCCCAAAAGAAAAGATAAAAATCGTAAATGCATTCCTGTCAACTGATCAACTTCAAGGATTCAGAAATCAGTTCTGCCAATTACGAAAACTGAGAAAAGCCATCAAAACTCATTTTTTGATCTGGAAAGGCATTATTTAAATATCTTTCTTCCAGGTTACTGTAAAGATGAAATGAAATCATATTAATATATGCAAACATCTAGAACAGTGCCTGGGCTTCTAAGGACTGATTTTAATGGTAGTTTCCTTCCCTCTCCTACTCCTGTAACAACATAGATTACATCACATCTTTGGTAGAAAAAGAAACTTTAGGCATATCCACAATATACCAAGTCTCAAAGGATCAACCCAATATCAGTCAAATGTTAGAACTAAGCAAACATTTATTTACAGTCCACCTACAGTAAACTATCTAACAATTCTATGGCAGAGACAAGTAGCTACTCTGGAAAATCTTTTTTCTCCTCTTTCTCCTGAACCCACAGCCAGACTACATACATACGTCTGCCTCCTTTGAAGTTAGGTGTGACCCTTTGACAGAGTTAATTATAAATGGAAGTCACTGTCATCACTTCCAGGACCAGTCCAGTCCTACCCCTGCTCCTCCAGGCTCTTTGCCCCTTCCACCTGACTGGAATGCAGTCAACCAATGGCAATCTTTGAACCAAAGATAAAAGATCCTCCATCAACCTGGGTTCCTGAATAACTGTGTGGCCTGTTTATCTGCTAAGCCCTGTTATGTAAGCAAGACAGACATTTTTATTGTGTTTGAGCCATTGTATCTTTTGAGGCCTTTCTATTACAATAGTGAGCCTATCTTCTAACTAATACAACTACATAAAAGCAGTTTTCTACAAGTTGCTCTTCTTCAATTTCCCCTGGCATAATCTTTGCTGCCCCAGCTACTTCACATGGGCATTGACCATCAACTAATAAACTGTAACTCTATAAATGGCAATGGCTATTTTCCTATGCTGAAAAACTTACATATTTATCAACTCACTCACCTAAACAGAGTTGATTTCTATATAAAAACTAAACATAGGTAGCAATAAAGTGATATTTAAAACTGAATGTTATTGAGAGAGAAGATCTGCTTGTGAAGCGTTCAAATAAAAAACAGCCCAACTCATATATATTATAAAAAACCTGGTAGTAACAGTGAAATCAAAGCAACAAATATAACAGTAACTATCTAACCTAAAACTTCAACCAAAATGTAACACACACAAACTCCCACAGTCAAAAAGAATGTCCCTGCTATAATTATCAGATTCATAAGGCCTGGAGTTATGAGAAAGTAGAAACTGCCTGATAAGGATGGCTCTTTGTGCCATACATGGATCTGTTTAATCTTCACTCTTTCAATGTGTCTCAGGTTAGCCAACCCTGTTATATGCTCCTATGGACCCTTACCCTTCATCTATCATAACACATTTATCAAATATTATTTATTTGTTTCCCCCAAGACAGTCAATTCCAGAGGAACAATCTGTTTTGTCTGGGGTATATGTGAGAAACCTGGCATCATGCCTGGCCCACAGCAGGGATTCAATATTTATCTAAGGAAAAAAACAGCAGCCCGGAAGCCACAAAAAGTTAACCCCAAATGCAACTGTTCCTACAATGTACAGTCCAGTGCACTCATGTAACACATCAGCAAATTAAAGAAAGCACAAAGAAATGCCAAAAATTGTGTAACGAGTCATTGGCAGAAATTCTGTACTCCACCACATTACATATGTGAAAACAAAAAGAATAAATCTGAACAAAGCAAAATGAAAACCATTTGCCAATGAGGACCATTTTATCCTAAGCTTTGACTATGAGGACAAAAGATAACAAGGGTTTAACCATGCAGTCCTATAAATAAATAGCAAAGCAACTTGGCCTCAAGAATTGATTTCCTTATTCCTTCCTTTATAATTATCATGCAATAAGTAAGTCAAAAAGCCATGTCCTTCTCTGCAAAGGAAAAAATGGGTAGGTGCTCAGTCCTCCCCAAAACATGGAAACGCGAAGGGGCATAGGTTCTCTGCCAGAGACTAGGACACAACAATCTGTACTCATCAACAAGTTACAAGGACAATGATACACAAAACTACAGAAAGCTGACGCGTTTTTTCATAATGTAGAAATCCAGTTTCTATGAGGCTTAATCTTTTCACATGTAATAAAGAACAGAAAAATTGGGGATAATGTCACTCGGATACAATTGTTTAAAATAAGAAAAGAAGGCCAGGAGCCGTGGTTCACACCTGTAATCCTAGCACTTTGGGAGGCCAAGGTGGGAGGATCACTTGAGCTCAGGAGTTTAAAACCATCATAGCCGACACGGCAAAACCCCGTCTCTACTAAAAATAAAGAAATTAGCCAGGCGTGGAGGTACATGCCTGTAATCCCAGCTACTCAGGAGGCTGAGGCACAAGAATCGCTTCAACTTAGGAGGCAGAGGTTGTAGTGAGCCAGGATAGCGCCACTGCATTCCAGCCTAGACGACAGAGCGAAACCCCGTCTTAAAAAAGGAAAGAAAAGAAAATTGTCCCTATTTTCCCATAAGATTTCTCTCAAGGAAATTGCAGAGAGCAATTCCTTCATGTGCTGAAATAGACACAAACTCTTAAAAACAGTATCTCACTCAGATGGAAAATGGCATTCACTCAACAAATGTTCACTGAGTATCCTTCTATGCCAGGCAATACCACAGGTCCTGGAGAGAGAGAGTAGTAAACAAAACTAAGCAAAAATCTTTGCCTTCCTAGAATTTACATTCCAGTTGGGGGAGGAAGGACACAAAACAAAATAAGTAAAACATATAGTATATTATATTTAATTAAGTGAGAAGAAAAAAAAACAGGTAAATGGCACTAAAGGTATGGAGGCAGGTGTAATTCTATAGAGACAGGACAGGCAGCACTGAGGTGACATCTGAATAAAGACCTAAGCACGTCTTGTCGGAGGGAAAGCATTCTCCATAGAGGTAATGGCAAGTGCAAACACTCAGAGGCAGAAACATGCTGGCAGTGCTCAGGGAACAGAGCTGAGGCCAATGTGGCTGGGATGATGTGTGCAAAGCATTAAGAAATAAGAGCAGGAAGGTGAGCAAGGGCTAGGTCACATGGCATCTTATAAGCCTATGGCCTTTACTCTGAGTGACATGGGAAGTCACTGGGGGATTCTACGCAGAGGCGTGACGAACGCAACCTGACGTTATCAAACAGGATTACTGTGGCCACTGGACTGAGAAGAGACTGGAACATAGACAAAGGACATGAAATACGAATCAAAAAATAAGAACTATAAATAACTGATGAAATTTTGAAAAAAACATTCCCATTTACTTATAGAGAAATAAGATAAAATTTCTCAGGAAGCTGGCAAAGGTTCACCACACCACAAATAAACACTGTGGTGAAATGGGCGCTTTTAAATGATGCTAGTAAGAATGTCACCTGGGAACCCCTTTCCAAACATTACTTGACCTCACAGTTTCTCTTTTAAGATTCAATGCTTGGGAAGTAACTAGAGATGTGGTTAAAGAGTCGTGAAAAAGGATGTTTATAAATTACAATAACGAAAACAACAGATTCACAAGGTACAATTATTAGCTATTGGTTAACTATGATAAAACTACACTATGAAGAAATGATGGAGATATTTTAGAAAAAATTTTTAATGATACGGGAAATTTTCATTGGTATTTTTATATAGAAGGTAACATCAAAAATATTTAGAGTGGTTATCTCTAAGTAGTATAATTATTTTCTTAATTCCTCCATTTTCCACATTTTCCTTTCATAATTAAGACAAAAAACAAATTTTAAAAATGGATTTGCTGGCCAGGCGCAGTGGCTCACGCCTGTAATTCCAGCACTTTGGGAGGCTGAGACGGGCAGATCATGAGGTCAGGAGATCAAGACCATCCTGGCTAACACGGTGAAACCCCGTCTCTACTAAAAATACAAAAAATCAGCCAGGCGTGGTGGCGGGCGCCTGTAGTCCTGGCTACTCGGGAGGCTGAGGCAGGAAAATGGCGTGAACCCAGGAGGCAGAGCCTGTAGTGAGCTGAGATTGCGCCATTGCACTCCAGCCTGGGCGACAGAGCGACATTCTGTCTCAAAAAAAAAAAAAAAAAAATGGATTTGCTGTGCAAGGCTAAAACATATAGAATGGTACAGCTGAGCTACCTGGAAAAGGGGTAATTATAATCTAGAGTGATTTTTTTTCAGAGTGACCCAGGCAAAGTTGTCCTGGGAGTGATCTCCAAAGCTAGAAGGAGATCACCAATACTGAAGACACCACTCTGCTGATTTTGTAAATAATCTAATAAGGGCCTGTAAGGATGTTACTGCAGGAAGAGGGTGAGAGGTAAGGCTTTATACCATTAACAGAGTAGATACTCAGGCTAAAGTACTTTAAATCTCCCTCAAATCAAACCTTCCTCTTCACATCCCAAGCAATATGTGTGTAAAAAGACAATCTTGTCTTCAGAAAACAATGTTAAACAAGGAGTCAGAAGATGCAGTCTAGTCATAGTTGTTAAAAAACCACAGATCTGTGATTTCTTTGTGATCCAGTTTCTTCATCAATAAAACCAAGACTATCACTAATCCTAGCATAACTTGCAGTCATTTTACAAAGGTGAAATGAGAAATAGTCATATATGCTTTAACATTCTAAAGCTCAGTAATTATAATCACTAGTAAAATGTTAATATTAAATATTAAGTGAGATTTTATTTACAATATATAGATACAATAAACCTTAATATTATTCTATTATTTTGAATATGGTACGCCTATTATGTAGTCTCAATGTTATATTACCAATTATGCAACCATTACATTAACAGAATAACTCATAAAGAAAACAATAGTATTTACTTACATTTCTAGTCCATGCTAAGCGGTCTGTGTTATAACCCATCATGTTCATGAGACAAGTCACAAATAAATTCCACTCTGAGTGATAACTGGGTCCTCCTGGAGCACTGTGGACATTGTACCACTTGACAAGCATCTGAACTGCTATTTCTTTTGGCAGGATAAACTTAATTGCTTGCAAACACGTTTGTACTATTAAAAGCAAAGATTAATTTTAGTATTCTTACTCTGCATGCATTTCTTTTCCCCTTTCAATCACCAAGTTTTTTAACTTCTACTATGTAAAGGCCAATTATTATGAAAAGAAAACTGTCATTAAAGAGCCAATGAGATGCAAACATTACCTAACCAATCATCTGAAACTAAAACCAACTACTGAATTCAACAAGGCTTGAAAGGGGTCTGAAGACAGCTTTTTTTTTTTTTTTTTTTTTTGAGAGGGTGTCTCGCTCTGTTGCCCAGGCTGGAGTGCTGTGGCACGGTCTTGGCACACTGCAACTTCTGCCTCCTGAGTTCAAGCGATTCTCCTACCTCAGCCACCAAGTAGCTGGGATTACAGGCGTCTGCCACTGCCCCAGGCTAATTTTTGTATTTTTAGTAGAGACCATGTTTCACCATGTTGGCCAGGCTAGTCTCAAACTCCTGACCTCATGATCCACCCGCCTTGGCCTCCCAAAGCACTGGGATTACAGGTGTGAGCCACTGTGCCCGGCCAAGGACAGCTTTTTGATCATTAATTTTGCATCAGAAATAAAGTAATCAAATAGCCCAGTTTGCCAGAGACAGTCCTGATTTACATCCATTGCCCAGCAATTACTAACTGCTCGCCTTCACTCTTAAAGATGTTCTAGCTCGGGTGACAAATTAAAAGTCACTATGGGCCAGGCATGGTGACTCACGCCTGTAATCTAAGCACTTTGCGAGGTCAAGGCGGGTGGATCACCTGAGGTCAGGAGTTCGAAACCAGCCTGACCAACATGGTGAAACCCCATTTCTACTAAAAATACAAAAATTAGTTGGGCATTGTGGCAGGCACCTGTAATCCCAGCTACTCAGGAGGCTGAGGCAGGAGAATCGCCTGAACCCGGGAGGCAGAGGTTGCAGTGAGCCAAGATCACGCCATTGCATTTCAGCCTGGATGACTAGAGCGAAACTCTGTCTCAAAAAAAAAAAAAAAAGTCACTATGAAAAACATACAACTTCTATGTTTATACATTTATATAAAATACTGCCTACATACTTCAGTAAATATATAATATTCAATATATGCATCCACGAATAGCAATGCTTAGCTAGCATTACATGATGTTCTAAATGAGTTAACATGCCTATTAACCAAAGCTTTATAACTTTATTTCTGAGGTCGTTCAGTTTCTAAAATGTTTCACAGGCTCTCTGTCTTAAAAGGGTTAAGAGTTAATACCACATAATTTACACCATTCTTTTTTTGGTAAGGGGAAACAGGGTCTTCCTCTGTCCCCAGGCTGGAGTGCAGTGGTGCAATTATAGCTCACTGTCACCTCCAACTCCTGGACTCAAGTGGTCCACCAGCTCAAGCTTCCCAAGTAGCAAGGACTACAGATGCATGCCAGCATGCCTGGCTAATTTTATTTTTCTTTTTGTAGAGACAGAGTCTCACTATGTTGTCCAAGCTGGTCTCAAATTCCTGGCCTCAAGCAACCCCCTCACCTCAGCCTTCCAAAGGGAGGGGATTACAAGCATGAGCCCACCACACCTGGCCTTATACCATTCTCAATGGCTCCACATCAATTATAGCACTACACTGTCATACAATGATCCCCTCAGAGTGGCCAGGGCTACCACTGTGAAGAGACCCAAATCTGCTTTTAGTAGTAAATAATCCCAAACTGCAATGTTTGTGTACTCACATATCCTCTCTTCCAGGATTCTTTTTTCCCTTTCCACTGTCATGCCACTGGGCCCACCCTCATCAACATATCCTCTATCCCATCAGTTTGCAATGTGCAAACTCACACAGCACAGGTTGGAAGCAAATAATATTAAAATACCAAATAACCAAGTATGTCATAGTGGAATCCAAAATAAGTGTAAACCCAATGCTGCATGAGTGTGTGAGAACCCTCTGCAGGTAAAGTACATAAACTTATGTGCATAAACTATGGGGCTTCTGTTTGGCTATAAAGGGGTAAGATTTTTTGTTTTCATTTATTTAATTTATTCCATTATTATTTGTTTTTATATATTTTGCTTAGGCTTATAATAGTTCGAGGTACCTGGCCTTGTGATTACGAAATACCTTTTAGAGCCGGGCGCGGTGGCTCACGCCTGTAATCCCAGCACTTTGGGAGGCCGAGGCAGGTGAATCACGAGGTCAGGAGATCGAGACTATCCTGGCTAACACAGTGAAACCCCGTCTCTACTAAAAATACAAAAAAATTAGCCGGGCGTGGTGGCGGGCACCTGTAGTCCCAGCTACTCGGGAGGCTGAGGCAGGAGAATGGCATGAACCCGGGAGGCGGAGCTTGCAGTGAGCCGAGTTTGCGCCACTGCACTCCAGAACCTGGGCGACAGAGCGAGACTCCGTCTCAAAAAAAAAAAAAAAAAAAATACCTTTTAGAAGGCAAGGAATCTCTATATCAACTTGGAATACCATTTACCAGCAGTGAAAATTCCTAAAATGAAAAAGTCATTCTTGTCTACAATCTGCCAATGTCCTGCTTTGGCAGTTAGATTTGAAACCAAGATATGTCATGAACTTCCTTATATCATACAGGCATTCTTTTCTTAACCTACGTTTGTTGGCAAATCCCTTCAATTCTAACATTTTGTTTACTATGCTATGTTCAGAAATATTCTCCTCAAGCATTTTTGAAATTGCATCTCAGGAATAATTCAAGCAGAATCCAATATTTATTAAGATAATTCTGATTGTATTTTGACAATAATATTAAGTTTTATTCAATTAAGGCAATTAGGTTACTTTCACAATTTATCTGAAAATTGAGATATTTATTTTAAAATTAAAAACATCATTAATACATTACAGAAAAAAAAACATTAAATATGCCAAGAATTATCTTAGTTGCTTAAGCTTCCAGTTTCCCAGATGTTCTTGCAAGAGGCATGTCCATATATATACATATACATATATATATATATATATATATATATTTTTTTTTTTTTTTTTTTTTTTTTTTTGAGACAGAGTCTCACTCTATCACCTAGGCTGGAGTGCAGTGGCACGATCTCCACTCACTGCAACCTCCGCATTCTGGGTTCAAGCGATTCTCCTGCTTCAGACTCCCAAGTAGCTGAGATTACAGAAGTGCGCCACCACACCCCGCTGATTTTTGTATTTTTAGTAGAGAAAGGGTTTCACCATGTTGGCCAGGCTAGTCTCAAACTACCGACCTCAAGCGATCCACCCGCCTCAGTCTCACAAAGTGTTGGGATTACAGGTGTGAGCCACCATGCCCAGCAGGCATGTCCATATATTATTATACTGCACAATATTCCCCAACAGAAGAACCTCAGGGAACAGAACTAGCACATCCTTCACCTGTACTCCAGCCTTAGAGCGCACGTAGAGTGGACATCACAAAGCACTCCCTAGCTCTTTAAAGCTCCTCTACAAAGCTAAGAACTTGATCCAGTGGCTTCAAAAATGGCAAAATAATGTTTAAAACCCCAATTATTAATGTAAATCACAATTACTTCATGTCTTATAAATGAAACTTCTCAATCGTACCTAACTCAGAGGTGGCAATTTCAGGAATAGTGATCCTAACCATGGAGCCATTACTCAGTTCCTAGATGGAAACAAATGAGAAAGTAGATAAAATCTGTGCATTCTAAGTCTTTGAATGTCTTAAAAATAGCTGGTACAAGACTTTGCCCATCAAAGCAATAAAATAAATGAAAAACAATTTTCAAACAGAAATGAACACTTCCGAATTTCAGAAACTTTAAATGTAATTATTTGCAAAATGTTTTCCAAAATGCTTGTTTTAATAAAAAGTGTCTAATCTTTATACAGTGAGTCACCATCATCAAAAGGACATTTACTTTTAATGAGAAGACAAAAAATCACATCAATATACAATTCAACTGACTCAACAAGCTTTTGTTTTCACTAAGTTTTTAATAATACAGAAACTGTAGAAAACAAGCAGAATTACTGTATAGTAAAAAGTAAAATCGTGCCAAAAAATGACACAATAGATTTTTTTAAATCATGAGAAATGTTTGTTGTCATTTTTCAGACAAAATTCTGTATTCTGTCAAATTTGAAATGCCAGCCCACTTCTTGGAAAGCTACCAAATGTTTATACTTACCAGGGTGACTCTGTTATGGACAGGATCTCTGATAGAATGAATGTAAGTTCCAAGCTGTTGGAAAGTACAATCCTCATTATAGAGAGAATCATGAAGTTTTGAAGAATCCCTCAGTTCTGGAACTGGGGACAACAGAACAACCTGTAAAAAGTTGTAAATACGATACAAATGAATTGTTTTCTGAGAAATTAAGGACAAGGAAATTTAACTGTTTCTTTTTTGCATATGGTCTAACAAACAATAATATGTAATGATTCAAAAACATTCTGCTCCAAGCCAAGCATGGTGGTGCACACCTGTATAGTCCCAGCTACTCAGAAGACTGAGACAGGAGAATCACTTAAGCCTAGGAATTTGAGGCTGTAGTGAGCCTGTGAATAGTCACTGCCCTCCAGCCTGGATGACACGGCAAGACCCAGGCTCTTTAAAACATTTTGTTCCAGATACAATGAAGTACCAGCAAACCAAGGTCCTCACAGAAAACAACTAGAAAAGGTAGGTAAAAGGAAAACATCTGATTGGTGGCTATGGAAAAGCTGTGGAAGCAACCTGGACTTGAGGGACCAAGATCTAGGAGAGAAGGCAACTGCAGGGAAAGGGGCCAACGTTCTTGGAGAGCCTTGCTTTTTCTGCTCTGGCCATCTGCAAATTTTGGTGGTAAGAGGAACATATGGAAAGGCTGACAATATGCAAGGAAAGTCATAGCTAAGAGGGAGAGAAGCCAGCAGCACTGTTAGCAACCTTACAGGGCTAAAGACTAAACTGTGAGCCGGGGCACGCGGTGGCTCATGCCTATAATCCCAGCACCTTGGGAGGCTGAGGCGGGTGGATCACTTGAGGTCAAGAGTTCAAGACCAGCCTGGCCAACATGGTGAAACCCCATCTCTACTAAAAATACAAAAATTAGCCAGGTGTGGTGGCGGGTGCCTGTAGTCCCAGCTATTTGGGAGGCTGAGGCAGAAGAATCGCTTGAACCCAGGAGGTGGAGGTTGCAGTACGGTGAGATTGCCCCACTGTACTCCAGCCTAGATGACAGGGCAAGACTCCATCTCAAAAAAAAAAAAAAGACTAAACTGTGATTTGAGGCAGCTGAGGAACTAAGAGCCCAGGAAGAAAGGACAGTAATGAAAAAGCCAACAAATGAGACCAGTATTTAATGGTATTTCCCCTATAGGCAATTATTTATTCAAAAATACAGGAACAGTATTTATTTGCTTAACTGCAGATATGCAAACAAAAAATTTAAACGATCTTAGTTACTATCTACATGCAGATGCTTCCAATCTTAAACTCTAGTCATGACCACTGATCCTTTTTGATTCCTTTAATTCAATTTATATATCTCTAAGTGAATATCTTGTCAACACTGACAATCAAGACTAAGATGTATTTACTCTATTCCAGATTCTACTCTAAAAGTCACCAGGAAAAATTCAGCTCCGCTGGTCCTGGCTCTAAGTCTACTAGCAAAATCTTCCAGAGAAGTGGAAAAGCCATCAATCAGCCAATGTGTTAAGACTATCATTTCCATGACTTTACACCTATCAAAAAGGCACTATTACCAGGCTTATAGAATTCTAAAAAAGTTGGAAACCATTTTCCATTATAAAAGAAATTCTTCCAAATCACACAGAACACTCTGACACTTCTCCAGTTCCCCCTTTGAATGTTCTGCAAATGTGCTGGTTTGAAGGAAAAAAAATTCAATGTGGCACATGTTTAAAAATATAATGAAGACACAGACATTATCAAATACAACTGATAGCACTAACCTTCCCTTTGAACCGTCCCTAAACATCCACACTCACATGTCCTTTAAATACAAACCACTTTTCTCCAGGCTTCCTAACTTGGTAAATCCAGGTACCTTCCCAGGTCATTCAGAGAATTCGGAGCCTCGTTCCACATCACCTTTCCCCAGCCCAGCAGCACAAAACCAATCAGCTGACAAACTCATTTCCACCTCTCAAGGCCTCTCATATTAATCCCTCCTTTCCACACATATACTGCCCTAGCTCAGACCCTCTTCATACTTCTTAAACTGACACAGACAACCTCACTTGGAGGCTAACCGGTCTCCTTATCTTTAATCCCAAAATACACCTATTTACAACACAGATCCAAAACCTCATAACTCCTTTCTCAAAATCCTGTAATGCCCTGTCAATTGCATTCAGAATAAAACCACCTTTTTATCCTTTCTGCCTTTAAGAGCACATTAGTAAGAGTGTAAATCCCAGTTCTACCACTTATTAGGTTTATTTCATTTGTAACTTCTATCTCATTTGTAAAAAAAAGAATCATAGTACTATCTTCTCAATAAAGCTATTCTAAGGAAATAATTAATACTAATAAAGCACTGAGAACAATGCCTAGCACATAGAAAATGCTCAAAAAAGGTTATTATTGTTATCCAAACCCTATCCTGCCTCACCCTACAGACTACTTGTACTTTTATAAGTATTTATTCTACAGATTTATTGAGTCCTTATGACTAGGAGATGAAGATACAAATATCCACTAAAAAATGTTCCACATTATCTGGCCTTCCTGCCTGTGCCTGTGTGGTTTCTCCTTGCCCTGAATGCTCCTTTCTACCTACAGATATCCTACTCAACCCCAAGGTCCAAACGAAGACTGACATGTCTCTCAGTGAGGCTTTGATTTTGCCATGTCCTCCCATTGGATGTTATCTTCCCATCGGATGTTATCTTCCCATCAGTCAATCAACGATGGTACTCTCTTTTCCACATTACTGAGTCATGAGTCTTTCTTAAATTCTAATTTCTTATGCAGACAGTACATCAACTCCACACAATTGTGAGATCCCTAGATGGAAAAGAATGTATCATTTCCATCTCTCCAGCACCTTCAAAAAGTATCACATACATCACAAGGGAGGTCAGTGTATGTTAACTGAATCACTTCTGTTTGAAAACATTTATTCTGCAAGTAGAAACTAAAATTAAGTTAACCATGGAAAGAACTAATGTTTAACCAAACTTCTTTAAAAAATGTTAACTTTTTGGCAACACCTAGTCCTTTTCTTACCTCGTCCAATGATCCAAGGAGTTTACTAAGAGGCTTTGGAGTACTAACGCCATCTAGTGGAGTACTGGGCCGAGGCATTGTGTTGGACATCGTCAGAGAGGGAGCTGGCAGTCCAGGAATAAAAACCTTTCCCACCTTTAAGCAATAAAAACATGTGGAAAAAAAAATATTGCCTTTAATGCATCATATCCTTAAATAAAATGTTAAGGAATATAAACATATATTTCTTTTGATATTTCTAAGTTTATACTCACCAAACACAGCAAAGAAACAATTCAAATGTCAATAATCTATCCAATTCCACTATCCAACTGCAAATATGTTGGTATAATTTTTTTTTTTTTTGAGATAAGATCTCACTCTTTTCCCGTGGGTGGAGTACAGTGGCATGATCTCAGCTCACTGCAGCCTCAACCTACCAGGCTCAAGTGATCCTCCCACTTCAGCCTCCTGAGTAGCTGGAACTATAGGCACATGCCACTATGCCTGGTTAATTTTGTATTTTTTGGTAGAGACAGGGTTTCACCATGTTATCCAGGCTGGTCTTGAACTTCTGGGCTGAAGCCATCTGCCCACCTAGACCTCTCACACCTTGGTATAATTTCTCTTGGTTGGATTCCTTCTCTTCATTACTGAAGACTTTTTTTTGCAGGCAAGGAGAGGAATGTTAATATAGTCAACACATTATATAAAAATCTGCACACTATGTACTCTTCTACCTTTTTGGTCATAAAGACAGTAAGAACAGCGGCCGGGCGCGGTGGCTCACGCCTGTAATCCTAACACTTTGGGAGGCCGAGGCGGGCGGATCACAAGGTCAGGAGTTCAAGAGCATCCTGCCTAACACAGTGAAACCCCATCTCTACTAAAAATTAAAAAAAAAAAATTAGCCGGGCGTGGTGGCGGGCGCCTGTAGTCCCAGCTACTCTGAGGCTGAGGCAGGAGAATGGTGTGAACCCGGCAGGCAGAACTTGCAGTGAGCCGAGATCGCGCCACTGCACTCCAGCCCAGGCAACAAGAACGAAACTCTGTCTCAAAAAAAAAAAAGAATGAGTTGACAATCCGTGCTAACCACTCCTTATTTTGGCTATCTGTAGGGTACTTAGCAAAAACAGAAATTCACATCTGTACAAGCTGAAAACTTGATAAGACTAAAAAGGAGATGCTCAGAACTAAAATGAGATATTAACAACGTACGTATTCATGTTAACACACTACTCAAAAGCTAACAAAATAACAGAAGTTGCCCCAATAAAATCCTTAGGCTTAAAAAACAAAAATAACAGTGAGAACTAATTATGCATAATTTTTTAAAAGCTATCTCAAACCCCTAATTTACGAAAAGATGGAATAAGCACATACCATGCTATTCCCTCATTAATCACCAAAAAGAAAAAAAAACTGAATAAAATTTATAATGCAACTAACAGAAGATTCTGAAAAAGTGAAGAAAAGAAGACAAACTGGCTAGTAACCTGAGACCCAGGAATGACCTAATGATGAATTCCCTAGGTTTCTGGTTTGATTCCTTACGTAACCAGGCCTTAGGCTTTCAAAGTGCCTATAACACAGACATGCCAACGTTCACAGACAAAACACGCCCTAAGAAAATCTTACTCTTTCCAGCCAAAGTGTTGGGAAAAGAATGACTGACCAGGACAGAAACTTTTCACTATATCTGCCCTACTCTTTGCAAACACCAAGAAAAAAGTCATGGCCATCCCTTCCTCCTCATCAGGAGGCACAGTGAAAATTTTGAATGTCCCTCGTCTATTTGAGGAAGTCCCCTTCTATTTCTAGATGCTGAGGATTTTTTTTAATCATGGATATTTTATTTTATCAAATGATTTCTCTGCATCTATTTAGATCCTTGGTCAGCAAACCATGTTCCATGACCAAATCTGGCTCGTATCCTGTTTTTGTACAGTCTGTGAGCTAAGAATAGGTTTTACGTACTTAAATGGTTAAGGAAAAAAAAAACAGAAGACAAATATGTAACAGAGACTGCATGTGGCCCATAGAGGCTAAGATACTTGTCTGAACTCCTACATAAAAAGTTTGCCAGGCTTGATGTGGTGGCTCATGTCTGTAATATCCCAGCACTTTGGGAGGCTGAGGTGGGAGGATCGCTTGAGTCAGGAGGTCATGGGTGCAGTGAGCTGTGATCCCACCACTGCACTCCAGCCTGAGTAACAGAGAGAGATACTGTATCAAAAAAAAAGAAGAGAAAAGAAATTGCCAAGGATGGAGAGGACATGAACAACATTATCAACCAAATGGAATGAACTGACATTTATAAAATACTCAAGGGTGCCTTCTTGGTGATTTGGCCCTTTAAAGTCTCTCTTTGTTCCTGGTCATTTTTTTTTCCCACTTTATAGAGACTCCAGCTATCTTCTGATTACTGTTTGCATAATATATCTTCTTTCCATCCTTTAACTTACCCATGTCATTATATTTGAAGAACACTTCTTATAACCAACATATATAGTTGGGCTGTATTTTCTAATCTCTTCCGCTAGTCTCTGTTATTTGTGTTAGACCATTGTATTTAATTAGTGGCCTAGTGGGATTTAAATCTGCCATTTAATATTTGTTTTCTGTATGTTCCCACTTTCTTTGCTCATCCAGAAGAAGCAACTCTTCAAGTTTGATCATAAGATTTTGGCAATTCTGTTCAAGTTTGGCAATTCTGTTCAGGTTTAATCATAAGATCTTGGCAATTTAGTCACATCTTCAGGCTCTACTTCTAATTCTAATTCTCCTGCTATTTCCACCACATCTGCAGTGACTTCCTCCACTGAAGTTTTGAGCCCCTCAAAGTCACCCATGAGGGTTGGAATCAACTTCTTCCAAATTCCTGTTTATGTTGATATTTTGTCCTCCTCCCATGGATCATGAATATTCTTAATGGCATCTAGAAAGGTGAATCCTTTCCAGAAGGTTTCTTTTTTTTTTTGAGATGGAGTCTCCCTCTGTCGCCCAGGCTGGAGTGCAGTGGCGTAATCTCGGCTCACTGCAAGCTCCGCCTCCTGGGTTCACGCCAGTCTCCTGCCTCAGCCTCCCGAGTAGCTGGAACTACAGGCACCCGCCACCACGCCCGGCTAATTTTTTGTACTTTTAGTAGACACAGGGTTTCACCGTGTTAGCCAGGATGGTCTCGATCTCCTGACCTCATGATCCACCTGCCTCGGCCTCCCAAAGTGCTAGGATTACAGGTGTGAGCTGCCACGCCCAGCCCAGAAGGTTTTCAGTGGACTTTGCCAGATCTCTCAGAGGAATCACTATCTATGGCAGCTCCAGTTAAGTAATGTATTTCATAGTAAGACTTTAAAGTCAAAATTACTCCTTCACAGGCTGCAGAACAGATGTGTCAGCAGGCATGAAAACAACATTCATCTCCTGTACATCTCCCTCAGAGCTCTTAGATGACCAGGTGCACTGTCAATGAGCGGTAATATTTTGAAAGGAATCTTTTTTCTGAGCAATACGTCTCAACAGTGGGCTTAACACATTCAGTAAACCATGCTATAAACAGGTGTGCTGGCATCCAGTCTTTGTTACTCCATTTATAGAGCCCAGGCAGAGCAGACTTGGCATAATTCTTAAGGGCCCTAAGATTTTTGGAATGGTAAATGAGCACGGGCTTCAACTTTAAGTCACCAGCTGCATTAGCCCCTAACAAGAGAGTCAGACTGTCCTTTGAAGCCAGGCACTGACTTCTCCTCTCAGGTTATGAAAGTCCTAGATGGCATCTTCTTCCAACAGAAAGCTGTTTCATCCACACTGAAAATCTGTTTAGTGTAGCCACCTGCATCAATTATCTTAGCAGCTTCTACATCAGCACATGCTGCTTCACCTTGCACTTCTGTGTTATGGGGAGGGCTTTTTTCCTTAAACCTCAAGAATCAACCTCTGTTAGCTTACAACTTTTCGTCTGCAGCTTCTTCACCTTTCTTGGCCGTCACAGAATTGAAGAGAGTTAAGGCCTTGCTGTGGATTCGACTTCAGCATAAGGGAATGTTATGGCTGGTTTGATCTTCTGTCCAGACACTAAAACTTTCTTCATATCAGCGATAAGGCTGTTTCGCTTTATCAGTTGCCATGTTCACTGAAATAGCACTTTTAATTTCCTTCGAGAGCTTTTCCTCTGCATGCACAAGTTGGCTCTTGTGCACAGGTGGTCTGGCTCTCAACCTATCTCAGCTTTCAACACGCCTTCCTCACTAAGCTTAATCATTTCTAGTTTTTGATGTAAAGTGAGAAACCTGTGATTCTTCCCTTCATTTGAAAACTTAGAGGCCATTAGAGGGTTACTAATTGGTCTAATTTCAATATTGTTTTGTCTCAGGATATAGTGAGGCAGGAGGAGACAGAGAGACAGGAAAGGGGTCAAATGATCAGACAGACCACACAAAACATTTATCAATTAAGTTCCTCATCTTATATGGGTACAGTTCGTGGTGCCCCAAAAGAATTCCAATAGTAACATCAAAGACCACTGATCACAGGTCACCATAACAGATAAACTAATAACAAAAAGGTTTGAAATATTGCAAGAATTATCAATATTTGAAACAGTGACACAAAATGAGCACATGCTGCTGGAAAAATGGCACCAACAGACTTGCTCAACACGAAGTTGCCACAAACCTTCAATCTGTAAAAAAAAATGCAGTATCTGTGAAGTACAATAAAGCAAAGCACAAAATGAGGTACGATGGAATACTATTAAATATATACATCACACTGAATGAGTAAACAACACACGCATCAACACAGACAAATCTAAAACAAATATAATGTTGAGCAAAATAAGTATATCAGAGGCGAGTACATGGTATCTTTTTTTATATAAAAATTCAAAAACAAGGAAAACTAAATAATGCATTCTTTAGTGATACATACATAACTGTAAAAACTAGTAATACAAACAACTGATTTATCACAAAATCAGGATTCTATCTCGAGGGCAGGGGAAGATAGGATGCAATCACAAAAGAATGTAATAAAAATAAGGATACTGGCAATATTCTATTTCTTAACCAGAGTACTGGGTAGATGAATATTCACTTCATTATTATTATTCAAATTGTATGTATTTAAATTTCATAATTTAAATTTGTAAAATGTATATTCTCTACGTACATTTCACAAATGTTAAAAAATACAGCTAGCGGCTGGGCGCGGTGGCTCACGCCTGTAATCCCAGCACGTTAGGAGGCCGAGGTGGGTGGATCACGAGGTCAGGAGATCGAGACCACCCTGGCTAACACGGTGAAACCCCGTCTCTACTAAAAATACAAAAAATTAGCCAGGCGTGGTGGCAGGCGCCTATAGTCCCAGCTACTCGGGAGGCTGAGGCAGGAGAATAGTGTGAACCCGGGAGGCGGAGCTTGCAGTAAGCCGAGATCGTGCCATTGCACTCCACCCTGGGCAACAGAGCGAGACTCCGTCTCAAAAAAATACAGCTAACATATACCACATTTAATATAGTGAAACTTTACCAAAACTTTAGTACTTACCAAAGGTACCCATGCTTCAATTTCAAAACTTTAACTTTAAAAAAAAAAAAAAATCTACCTATACTCATTGAAGGTTTCCCATCTGTGACAGGTTTAGAGTACCAATGCATTTAACAGCAGTGAGCCATAGCCCTCCAAATTAGGACCCACCTAAATAGGAAGCTTCACTGAGAATTATTAACAAAATTCTTCTGCCAAATTGTGCAGACAGGAACATAACAAATTTAAAATATCAATCTAAAGTAACATTACAAATATTCATGCAGGCAGCCTGAAGTCCTACTAAAGGCATGAAGTGCTACTTATTGCTTACCCGAACCACTCCTGTGTATAGCACCAGGTTTCCACTGCCTTCCAAGACCAGCATGGTGTCTATTTTCTAAAAAAACAAAAAAGACAAAAAATTTATTTCCCAATCTGAGCAAATTAACAGATTTTTTGACTGAAAAATCTGTTGAAGCGTAATTGTCAACTTCTCAAATGTGCCTACATTACCTCCACTGGTGCTGCATCCTTTGCTGGTATGTTGGTCACTGAACCAAAGATGAGCTGGGTTTTATCATTACTCTCTTGAAACTTTACACAGCTAAATAATAAAATAAAAAAGAAACTTGATACATGCAACAACCTGTATGGGTATTAAAAGTATTATACTGAACAGAAAAAGACAATCTCAGAAGTTTACATACTGTATGAGCCCATTTATATAACATTCACAAATGCCAAATTATCAAGATGGAGAATTAGTGGTTACCAGGATCAGTGGGTAATGGTGTATGTGACTATAAGGAGTTAACGTAAGACAGATAAAGATGTTTTGTATCTTGATTGTGGTGGTATTTACACACATCTACATATGTGAAAAAACTGCATAGAACCATACATACACATAAATGAGTACATGTCAAATTGATGAAATTTGAAATAAAGTGTGTACATCATCTATCTCCTGGTTATGATAATGTATTATAGTTATATAAGAGGTTACCTGTGAGGGAAAAAGAATGCAAGGTACACAGGACTTGTTTACTCTTTTGTAACTTCCTTTAATCTATCGTATTTCAAAATATGAAGGTAAATAAATGGGCAAAAGATCTGAATAGCTATTTTACCTAAGAAGATAAATGAATGGCTAATAACTTCATGAGATGATCAACATCAGAATGCATTAGAGAAAAGCAAATTAAAGCCACTTCACAACCACTAGAAAATAGCTACAATCAAAGAGTGTGATGATATCCAATCCTGTCAAGGATAAAGAGACATTAACCTTCATATTTTGCTGGTGGGAATATAAAATGATACAGGCTATTTGGAAAACAGTTTGGTGATTTCTTAAAAAGTTAAACATGAATTTACCATTCAACCCAATGACCCAATCCTAGGCATTTACTCAAGAAAAATAAAATCACATATGTCCACATTTTTGCTCAAGACCTTTGTTCAAATGTTCATATGGTCATAATTCTCAGTAGTCAAGAGGTGGAAATAAACCAAAAGTCCGTCAGCTGATGAACAGATAAGCAAAACATGGTGGTAGATCTATACAATGGACTATTACATAGCAATAGGTATGAAATAATGATACATGTTACAAAATGGTGGATCCTAAAAACATCACGCTAAGTGAAAGCTAAACACAAAAAGGTACACTGTGTGTACATACATTATATATATATAAATGTCCAGAAAAATTAATCTATAAAGGCAGAAGCCTAGCATGGTTGCCTGAGGCTGGAAATGGGAACAAGACTGACTACAAACAAGCACAAGGAAATCTTTTTATGGTGATATAAATCTTGTAAAACTGGGTCATGGTGATGGTTGTATAACACTGTAATTTACTAAAAATCATTTAATTATACAGTAAAAACATGTTAATTTTATGACATGTAAATTATTTCTAAATAAAACTACTTAAGCCAAAAAAAAAAGGAAAGAAAAGAAAAAGAAAAAGCAGTGCTAAGTTATTTATACAGAAACAATGGGAAAGACATACACCTACCGTAACTGGAGCTGGGACTCTACTAAAAAGCACAGGAACTTTTGCCCACATAGGTCAGATGTAATAAACACTTTTGAGGCTTGTGAATTTTTCTCTCTATAATAGATACATTAATAAAGTAACTGTCAGCACTGGTCCAAGAATCTACCACAGTAACTATTAAAAGTCTTTGAGGCCGGGCGCGGTGGCTCACACCTGTAATCCCAACACTTTGGGAGGCCGAGGCGGGCAGATCACGAGGTCAGGAGATCCAGACTATCCTGGCTAACACGGTGAAATCCCGTCTCTACTAAAAATACAAAATAAATTAGCCAGGCATGATGGCAGGCGCCTGTGGTCGCAGCTACTCTGGAGGCTGAGGCGGGAGAATGGCATGAACCCAGGAGGCGGGGCTTGCAGTAAGCCAAGATCACGCCACTGCACTCCAGCCTGGGCGACAGAGCCAGACTCCGTCTCAAAAAGAAAAAAAAAAAAAAAAAAAGTCTTTGAAAATATTCTGCAAGAAATCTAAAAACTACTTAGGTCAAGCAATAATCTCAAAGACACAAACATTTCTAAGAATTAAACTTCATGATCTCTAAGATCCTTTCAGTTCTTTGATTATGAGCTCGTTACACAGCTTTGTTGGGGAAAGCTACAATAAATTTAACAATTACTGATGAACTTTTAAATTACATACTATGTAAGCTCCCTACTTGTAAAGTAATGCAAACTAAGCCACCTACTTGTAAAGTAATGCATGCAAACTTGAATTCCTATCCCGCAAAGGGCCAGATCTTTCATAATGCTATTTCTCCTATCTACCCCCTCTCCTTCTCAGATTAGGCCTCATTCACATCTCTTTTTGAAATCGTATCTCTAATTCCCAAACCCTTCCTTCTAAAGTGCTACAGAAGGCCGGGTGTGGTGGCTCACGCCTGTAATCCCAGCACTTTGGGAGGCCGAGGTGGGCAGATCACCTGAGGTCAGGAGTTCAAGACCAGCCTGACCAACATGGAGAAACCCCGTCTCTACTAAAAATACAAAATTAGCCAGTAATCCTGTAATCCCAGCTACTCGGGAGGCTGAGGCAGGATAATCGATTGAACCTGGGAGGCAGAGGTTGCGGTGAGCCAAGATCACGCCATTGCACTCCAGCCCGGGCAACAAGAGCGAAACTCTATCTCAATAAATAAATAAATAAATAAATAAATAGTGCTACAGAAGACCCATAAATCTAAAAAATAAGAATCTATAATATATTCAACTTACAAATAAGTTATTTAAAGAAAAATGATTTATAATTGTAGGATACTTTTGATATATGAGAAACAAACCAGACAGACTACTTCAACATTGTATCCACATCTTTACTTTCTTCAGACTACCTATTCCCCATTTCATTCTCTCTAAGATTATGCATTTGCCTTCCATTTCAGATAAAACGAGGCTCTAAGGCTTGAGCTCAACCTCCTGCCTTACATATCTGATCAACCTTCACTTCTTTATCCCAATCTCACCACTTATGCACCTTTCTGGTTACTTGTTCCATCAATCATTTCCTCTGTTCTGTATTTTCAATACTTTCCCTTGAGTATAGTCCGTATAGCCTACTACTTCACATTAAAAGTCTTAAAATACAAAATGGACTCAACATTAGAGTATATAAAAGACCTTCTCAATTCGACTGGATATAAAACTTGTATTGTGGTTAGGTTAGAAAATACTGGGGGCCAGGCACAGTGGCTCACACCTGTAATCCCATTACTTTGGGAGGCAGAGGCAAGCAGGTTGCTTGAGCCCAGGAGTTTGAGACCAGCCTGGGCATCACGGCAAAATCCTTTCTCTGCAAAAATTACAAAAAATTAGTCAGGCGTGGCGGTGTGTGCTTATAGTCCCAGCTATCTGGGAGGCTGAGGTTGGGGAATCACCTGAGCCCAGAAGGCCAAGGCTGCAGTGAGCTGTGATTGAGTCACTCACTGTACTCCAACCTGGGTGACAGAGTGAGACCCTGTTTCAAAAAAAAAGAAAAAGAAAATACTGGGGCAAGATGTCATGAAAACTAATTTTATTATAGTTCAGCAAAAACAAAACTCTCCTTGACCAAGACTCCCTCTAATTTTGTATCTTCATTCCTATTCAAAGGCAAACTCCTTAAAGAGTCTGTATGCCTATGTTCATTTCCTCAGTCCCCATTTACTTTTTCTACCCCACTTTCCCCCGCCACCCTCCCAGCTTAAAATGCTCTGGCCAAGGTCACCAAGGAACCCACTGCCACCCAGGTACCTCCTCTCTGGGTTCAACTCTCAGGGCCACACTTCACCAGTACCTGGCAATACTGGCATCTCTGTATTCTTGAAATGTTCTTTTTTGTATTCTGTATTTCCTGCTGCTTCTCCCATCTGACCTCTTTTGCTTTGTCTCTCTGTGCCAGCTTTGTCTCTTTCCATTCCCCAAATCTTAAGTTTCCAGGACTTCAGTTCCTAGCCCTCTTCTCATTCTACACCACTGGATTTTAACTATTTGGAGGCCACAAATCCCTTTGAGAATCTAAGGAATGTTAAAACCCTCTCCTTGGGAAAAGGCCTATATACTACATGTACACACAATTATTGAATACAATAATTCTTCAATTCTAATCTAATTCTCTTACCTCAATCACCACCTATAAGCTGACAATTCCACATTTATTGTTCTGCTCTTTCCCAAACTTCCGACACACTTATAAAGTGCCTTCTTACCGCTGTCATCAAACATACCAGAGGCCTAAAGGGCAATCAGTAATCTCTCAAGCCTCCTTTTTTTCTTTTTCAGACAGTCTCACTCTGTTGCCCAAGCTGGAGTGCAGTAGTGTGCTCTTGGCTCACTGCAACCTCCAACTCCCAGGTTCAAATGACTCTCTCACCTCAGCCTCCAGAGTAGCTGGGACTACAGATGCACGCCATCATGCCTGGCTAATTTTTGTATTTGTAGTAGACATGGGGTTTCACCATTTTGGGCAGGTTGGTCTTGAACTCCTGAGCTCAAGTGATCCATCTGCCTCAGCCTCCCAAAGTGAGTGATTACAGGTGTGAGCCACTGCGCCTAGGAAGCCTCCTCTTCATTAGCCTTTTCCCTCCCCTCTGCAAAAACCAGAGTGGAAGTACTTGTAATTCCCTAAATACACCACGCACTCACCAGAACTTTTGTTCTGATCCCAGCTGCCGTCTGTGGTCTTTCTCAACTTCCCTGCCTAGCGAATACCTATTCGTCTTTCAAAGCCCTACCAGCAAAAGTAGTCCCTCCTGTGTCACCATCCTTCAGCTATCTGCCTCTTTTGAGGACAGGGACAGTGACTTATTAGACTGTTAACTAGCACACACATTGGCATATAAATTAACACGTGAATTATTAAAGAGAATATAAAAGAAGAAAGGTCACCCAGAACAGAGATCTAAGCTATGTTTCCCAAAAAGTAAAGCTGGCACTCAACTAACATGAACATAAAACTTAGGAAACGTGCTAAAACCCCACATTTCCTCACGGATGGAAATTAACTGTTTCTCCCCAGAACAAAAAACACCCGAAAAATGAGAGATTATTACTATAAAGGAAGAAATATCAGATGACAAAATAATATTTTTATGATGACTTTTTTTTTTTGAGATAGTCTCACTCTGTCACCCAGGCTGGAGTGCAGTGGCACGATCTCAGCTCACTGCAAGCTCAGCCTCCTGGGTTCAAGCAATTCTGCCTCAGCCACCTGAGTAGCTGGGATTACAAGTATGCACCACCACACCCAGTTAATTTTTGTATTTTTAGTAGAGACAGGGTTTCACAATGTTGGCCAGGCTGGTCTCGAACTCCTAGGCTCAAGTGATCTACCAGCTTCAGCCTCCCAAAGTGCTGGGATTACAGGCATGAACCACCACGTCCAGCCTATGATCACTTTAATATCATTAATATCCTCTACTGAAACTGAGGTGGCCTTAATACATATCTCTATATATTTTTACATATATTAATAACTGATCACATTAAAAGGAAACTTTAAACAAAATGCCATATATTTCCCAAGACTTTCAGCAACATTTTTCTTTGAATATAATAATATATATAACAAACCTTATATTAGTAATCGTTTCTGTCCACAAATGGTCAATACACAGTTCAGGAACAATTGGCTCCGTTTCTGGTGCAAGAAAGGAGCCATTAGAATTACTATTTGGAGAATGAGAAATACTATGTCTCTTTGGAGACTGATTATGGCTTGAAATGTTGAACCTTTGCACCCCTGAAAAAGAGTGCACTCCTAACGCAGGAGAATGAGCACGACTGCAAAATAAACAGAGGAGAGAGTACATCACAGTTAGCAAGGCAGGCTTATATGACACACACTCCAATGACACTTCCAAAAATTCCACAGACAGAAGAGCATTCATGGCATAATCCAGGTCAGAAATTAAAATTTTTCAAAAAGGAGTAGCTATTTAAATGGTTCATGTCAATGTGCTTTACTATATTCTAAAGATTTAGAATTATTATTAGAAGAACTCATCTTTTACAACTAAAACTTAGATCATCTTCTTTTTCGGAAAATGAATGATTATTCAAAAAGCTCTAAACTATGTCCCTGTATAGTCAGACATATATATTTATCAACAAAACAATGTCCCTGTAGCACCAGATATACATATCTGGTCATTTAAATATATATCTATATAGAGAAATAGATACATTTACATATCAAATAACAAGTAAAAAAAAAAGAAAAACTAACATAAATTAAGGCAAAAATAAAATAGTGCCACAGTATTTTGGGAATTAATATTCATCAAACTGTTGCCCACATAGTGGTAGAAATGAGGCAACTAACCTTAGGTCAAGCATAGGCAGCTTCAAAATATGACTCAGGAAAGAATGTGACATGGTAAACTTAGAAATCTTAGTAAAAGTGGCTCAGGGCTGAGCACGGTGGCTCACGCCTGTAATCCCCGCACTTTGGGAGGCCAAGGCAGGCAGATCACAAGGTCAGGAGATCGAGACCATCCTGGCTAACACGGTGAAACCCCATCTCTACTAAAAATACAAAAAAAAAAAAAACTCAGCCAGGCATGGTGGCAGGCGCCTGTAGTCCCAGCTGGAGGCTGAGGCAGGAGAATGGCATGAACCCGGGAGGCAGAGTTTGCAGTGAGTCAAGATTGCGCCACTGCACACCAGCCTGGGTGACACAGCAAGACTCCGTCTCAAAAAAAAAAAAAAAAAAAAAGGCTCAATTGGGATAATGGCTATTTCCCCTAAAAAACATCTCCCCTAAATATATTTCCCCTAAAAACAGCTGTCAACAGAAATTCTAAATCCTTCAAAACAAAACAGAAAGCTTAGAAAGAAAAACCAGGAAACCCTTATACCTTAGAGCTGCCATGTTGGAAATAGAAGGTGAGCGAGAATGTAGACTGGGTGATGAGGTTGAGCGACTCTGGCTGTGAATGGAGGAGTAATTCTGGAAAGGTGAAGTCACAGGGGAATCTCCTTTGGAGAGGCTTCTGAGATGTGCTGTGAGGGAGCTGCTAGTGGCCACATTCTGTGGGGTTCCCCCCTGTTCAGAGAACTTTAAAACAACATTCTCTTCCTTAAGTCAAAATAAAGAGAAAGAGGAAAAAAAAAAAAACAATAATTAGAATAAAGTAGCAATTTCCTTGTAAGAATGCAAGTTGAAGTCAGTTACTAAAGACACAGTATTTCTTCTTTCCTAAGAAGCTCAATCTATTTCTCAAATGAGGCCAGGTGCCGTGGCTTACATCTATAATCCCAGCACTTTGGGAGGGTGAGGAGAGAGGATAGCTTGAGCCAAGGAATTCAAGACCAGCCTGGGCAACATAGCAAGATCCCATCTCTACAAAAAATTAAAAATTAGCTGGGAGTGGTGGTACACATTTGTAGTCCTAGCTATTCGGAAGGCTGAGGCAGGAGGATCACTTGAGCCCAGGAGTTCAAGGCTGCAGTGAACTGTAATTGTGCCATTATACTTCAGCCTGGGTGACAGAGTGAGGCCCTGTCTCTAGAGATGATGATGATGATGATGATGATGATGATGATGATGATGATGATAATAAAACTATTCACAAGTGATTTTTCCAAAAAAAAAAAAAAAAAGTGAGGGTATGAAGTATTAACTACTCTTTCATATATATATATACTTTTTTTTTTTTTTTTTTTGAGATGGAGTCTCATTCTGTGACCCAGGCTGGAGTGCAGTGGCATGATCTTGGCTCACGGCAACCTACACCTCCCAGGTTCAAGTGATTCTCCTGCCTCAGCCTCCCGAGTAGATAGGATTACAGAAGCCACCACACCTGGCTAATTTTTTATATTTTTGGTATAGATGGGGTTTCACCATGTTGGCCAGGCTGGTCTTGAACGTCCTGACCTCAAGTGATCCGCCTGCCTTGGCCTCCCAAAATGCTAGGATTACAGGTGTGAGCCAGTGCACCCAGCCTACCCTTTCCTATTAAGGAGAAGTGACTTGCCTTTCTCCTTACCTCTGATTTGACTCTCCGGAGAGTCCACACAGAATGCACATTTTGAACAGCATCATAAGTCATTACAATAGAGGGGTCAGTATTGAGGAAAACAATTTTCATTGCATGATCTACAACATATTGCACCCGTGATGAACCAAAAAGACCTTAAAAATAAAATAGAAAAATCAGGTATAGAACAATGGGCTTTACAAGACTGATATTTATGAACAGAGCTCTTAAAATTGTTAAAGATAAAGAACAACCAAGCCAAAGAGAGCACAAAATTTATTACTATCTTAAATAATTAACTCTGAATTTTTAATAAATTTACTTTAGGCATCAACTTCCTTAAAATACATTAAAGATGAGAGCATTACAAGTTTTAGCTTCACATACATGCTGTTGCTAAATGTTAAGATTTGTGCTGACTCTCACCATTACACGAATCAGCCACAGGTAAAAGGTCGATGATTTCTTCAACTGACTTATTTATAAATTGCACTCAACTATTCTGCCAAGTTTGACTTCCTTATTGGTTCTGTTTTTCTGTATGAAAGCTGTACTCTATAATTACTATTCAGACAGTGCCGAACAGTACACTGTTGTTTCTGCTTTACTAGTTACACATGCAAAATAAGGTTTTTCCCAGTGAGTTCAGCTTTTAATCTAAAGTACCATGGACTGGTCTCCATATCCTTATTTGACAGGAAATGTTTCCCACTCAGTTAAAATACTGAAAAATTTTAAAATATGATTCTATAATCATAAGAAATACTTTATAAATAAAAATCATGCCACCATCTCAAAATATCTACTATTAATACATTAGAGAATTTTTGGTTTTTTTCATACATATATACACACTTTATACATTTTTACAAAATTATAATCATACTGTGTTATTTGTATCCTACTTGACATCACAAATAAGCAACTTCTAGTTCACTAAATATTAGTCAAAAATATGATCAATAATGGCTACACTCCTCCCTCCAGTCCGTGCCTCCAAGATGACAAAGAAAAGAAGGAACAACAATCATGCCAAAAAGGGGCACAGCCACATGCAGCCTATTCGTTGCACAAACTGTGCCCGACGTGTGCCCAAGGACAAGGCCATTAAGAAATTTCATCATTCGAGGCTGGGCAGGTGGCTAACGCCTGTAATCCCAGCACTTTGGGAGGCTGAGTCAGGCGGCTCACGAGGTCAGGAGATCGAGACCATCCTGACTAACACAGTGAAACCCCGTCTCTACTAAAATAAAAAAAATTAGCGGGTCATGGTGGCGGGCCCCTGTAGTCCCAGCTACTCGGGAGGCTGAGGGAGGAGAATGATGTGAACCTGGAAGGTGGAGCTTGCAGTGAGCCCAGATCCCGCCACTGCACTCCAGCCTGGGCAACAGAGCGAGACTCTGTCTCAAAAAAAAAAAAAAAATTCATCATTCGAAATGTGGTGGAGGCCGCAGCAGTCAGGGACATTTGTGAAGCGAGTGTCTTCAATGCCTATGTGCTTCCCAAGCTGTATGTGAAGCTAAATTACTGTGTGAGATGTGCAATTCACAGAAAAGTCGTCAGGAATCCACCTTGTAAAGCCCACAAGGACCAAACACACCCACCAAAGCCCATGTAAGGAGCTGAGTCCTTCAACACTGAAGACAAGGCCAGGCGTGGTGGCTCATGTCTGTAATCCTAGCACTTTGGGAGGCCGAGGTGGGTGGATTGCCTGAGCTCAGGAGTTCGAGATCAGCCTGGGCAACAGGGTGAAACCCCATCTCTACTAAAATACAAAAAATTAGCTGGGCGTGATGGCACACCCCTAATCCCAGCTACTAGGGAGGCTGAGACAGGAGAATCGCTTGAACCTGGGAGGCAGAGGCTGCAGTGAGCCGAGATCGTGCCATTGCACTGCAGCCTGGGTAACAAAGCGAGACTCCGTCTCAAAAAAAAAAAAAATGAAAATAAAACGACTAAAAACAGACTATTCTCCAGAGAAAAAATAAAATGGAAATTGTACTTAAAAAAAAAAAAAAAAAAGGCTGCGTGCCATTTAATCCCAGGCTCTAGTATGTTTATTCGGGTTGTCTGCAATTAGTAACAACATAAAATTTGAACTTTTTCTGTAAAAGATCAAAGACTAAATAGGGCAGTTTGCTGTCCACATACTGACTCTATCACATAATCTTTGTTATTTCCTACAACCCTTTAAAAGGTAAAAACCATTCTTATGTTGGGTGCGGTGGCTCACGATGTAATCCCAGCACTTTGGGAGGCCGAGGTGGGTGGATCACCTGAGGTCAGGAGTTCAAGACCAGCCTGACCAACATGGTGAAACTACGTCTCTACTAAAAATACAAAATTAGCTGAGTGTGGTGGCACATGCCTGTAATCCCAGCTACTTGGGAGGCTGAAGCAAGATAATCGCTTGAACCCAGGAGGCGGAGGTTGCAGTGAGCCGAGATCGCACCATTGTATTCTGGCCTGGGCAACAAGAGCAAAACTCTGTCTTAAAAAAGAAAGAAAAAAAAAAACCATTCTTAGCTCACAAGCTTTACAAAAACATGCTGCAGGCCAGATTTAGCCCATGGCCTACAGTTTGCCAAGACATAATACAGAAGATAAAAAGCAGCTAGGCACGGTGGCTCACCCCTGTAATCTCAGAACTTTGGGAGGCCGAGGTGGGTGGATCACCTGAAGTCAGGAGTTCGATACCAGCCTGGCTAACATGATGAAACCCCATCTCCACCAAAAATATAAAAAATTAGCCAGGCATGGTGGCGTGTGCCTGTAATCCCAGCTACTCGGGAGGCTGAGGCAGGATAATCACTTGAACTCGGGAGGCAGAGGTTACAGTGAACTGAGATCACACCACTGCACTCCAGCCTGGGCCACAGAGCAAGACCCCTCTCAAAAAAAAAAAAAACCCAAAACAACAACAAAAAATAAACTTTACTTCATCTAAGTATCATTCATTTACTTATTAATTATTAAAGAACAAAGCATCTACAGGTAGGTTAATAAATATATCGGTATTCCTCACTGATTTATATGCCTTATTTTTACTAAAATAACTGTTGAGCAGTTAATACCATGATATTCAAGAAAGTCAAAATAGAAGTTATTTTTGTAAAATGTTTACATTATTTTTATAAGTCAGTTTTCATATAAGCGCCTTTATAACCTCCCTCACCAAAGTCAAAAAAAAAAGAGCTTATCTAAAAGAATATAGAAATACACTTACTTCCAGATTTACAAACAAGTGGAGTTATTTCATCTAGTGGGTGCAGCATGCTGAACATAGTAGGTAAAGGTTCTCTAGCAATAAACAAATAATCAATTAATTACCAATACGAGTATGTCTGTGCACAAATTTTGCACTTCTATTGAAAAGAAATCTCCAGATTACATGAGCAACTAGAAACCTACTATCTCAAAATGCAATCTTCTAAACTTTGTACATACTATTTTTCACATTGTCTTCTATTTCATTCCTAGAAATCTCTCCCCTTAGAGTAATTCTATCAATGCACGAACAGAGGGAAATCAATATAGCCAGGGAATTTCTGCAAACAGCAGTCATCACAGTACAGAACAAATGGAGTAATGTGCATAAAGCGGTCTTTTTTTATTGACCTCTCTTACTGGCAGTGTGTCTTTGGCAGCTAAGAAAGAAATTTATTCTCCCATATCTGCTGACAAAGGAATGCATTTTTTAAAAAAGGAAGAAACAAACTACTTCAAGTAAATTAAGTCTGCTTTTTTTTTCTGAGATGGAGTCTCACTCTGTTGCCCAGGCTAGAGTGCAGGGGCATCATCTCGGCTCACTACAACCTCCACCTCCCACGTTCAAGCGATTCTCCTGTATCAACCTCCCGAGTAGTTGGGATTACAGGCACACGCCACCACGCCCAGCTAGTTTTTTTGTATTTTTAGTAGAGACGGGGTTTCACCATGTTGGCCAGGCTGGTCTTGAACTCCTGACCTCAGGTGATCCACCTGCCTCGGCCTCCCAGAGTGCTGGGATTACAGGCGTGAGCCACCACACCTGGCCAGAAGCCTACATTTTTTAAGGAATTATTTTTTTTAGAGCGAAGACGGGCTTTCTTTCAAAGCATAAAGAGATGAAAATCTATCAGCAATTTCTTTAAGACTTAGCAAGTGCCTACCTCTTGCACCACAACATGCCTGACAGGTGCTGTATGCTGCTGCCCTTCGGTGTGCTCATAATTCATAGGGGGCAAGATAAACACGCCGCTAGTAAACATCTGCCATTTATTGCATACTTAATACCTACTAGGCCCTGTGTCAAAGCTTATATACATTTAGCTACTTTAACTTTGCATAAGTCCTAAGAGGTAAATGATAACATTCCTGTAACGCGTAAGGAAACTATAGCTAAGAAAGCTCTAATGATCTGCTCAAAGCAGCACAATGAGAAAATGGCAGAGCTAAGAACTGAATCTTGTTATTTATTTTTTTTTTGACACGGAGTTTTGCTCATCGCCCAGCTGGAGTGCAGTGATGTGATCTCGGCTCACTGCAACCTCCGTCTCCCAGGTTCAAGTGATTCTCCTGCCTCAGCCTCCCGAGTAGCTGGGATTACAGGCACCTGCCACCACGCTTGGCTAATTTTTTGTATTTTTAGTAGAGACAGGGTTTCGCCACGTTGGGCAGGCTGGTCTCGAACTCCTGACCTCAGGTGATCCACTCGCCTCGGCCTCCCAAAAGTGCTGGGATTACAGACGTGGGCCACCGCGCCCGGCCAAATCTTTTTTGAAGCCATTTATTTGCATATTCAATTTTACCACTTAGATTGGGAAAAAAGGCTAATTAAGTGCCAAGTGCGTAGAGTTCATGAGTGTACATACAGGCTGAGTATCCCTTATCTGAAATACTTGGGACCCTAAGTGTTTTGGATTATTTACCTTACACTAACGGTTGAGCAACCCTAATTCTTTTGGGGGTACAAGTGGCTTTTGGTGACACAGAATTATGTAGTGGTGAATTCTGAGATTTTAGTGCACCTGTCACCTGTGTAGTGTATGTTGTATGCAATATGTAGTTTGTTTATCCCACACCTTCTTCCCACCCTCCTCCTTCTGAGTCTCCAAAGTCCATCATAACACTCTGTATATAGCCTCTGCATACTCCTTGCTTAGCTCTCACTTGGAAGTGAGAACATGCAGTATTTGGTTTTCCATTCCTGGGTTACTTCACTTAGAATCATGGCCTCCAGTTCCATCCAGCTTGCTGCAAAAGACATTATTTCATTTCCTCGTTATGGCTGATTAGTATTCCATGGTGTATATATACATTTTCTTTATTCACTCATTGGTCAATGGGCACTTAGGCTGCTTCCTTATCTTTGCAATTGTGAATTGTGTTGCAATAAACATACATGTGCATGTATCTTTTTCACATAATGACTTTTATTTCCTTTGGGTAGATACCCAGTAATGGGACTGCTAGATTGAATGGTAGACGTACTTTTAGTTCTTTAAGGAATCTCCATACTGTTTTCCATAGATGTCATACTAATTATGTTCCCACCAGCAGTGTATAAGCATTCCCCTTCCACCACATCCATGCCAACATCTATTGTTTTTCTGACTCTTTAATAATGGCCATTCCTTAAAGAGTAAGGTGAGATCTCACTGTGGTTTTAATTTGTGTTTCTCTGATCATTAGTGATATTGAGCAGTTTCATGTTTGTTGGCCATTTGTGTATCTTCTTTTGAGAACTGTCTATTCATGTCCTTTACCCACTTTTTGAGCTTCTGTCTTGCTGATCTGAGTTCCTTATATATTCTGGATACTAGTGCTTTGTTGGATGCATAGTTTGCAAATATTTTCTCCCACTGTGTGAACTATCTGTCTATTCTGACATTTCTTTTGCTGTGCAGAAGCTTTTTATTTTAATTAGGTCCCATTTATTTATTGTTTTTGTTGCATTTGCTTCTGGTGTTTTAGTCATAAATTCCTTGCCTAGGCCAATGTCCAGAAGAGTTTTTCCAAGGTGATCTTCTAGAATTTTTATGGTTTCAGGGCTTAAAGCCTTTCATCCCTCTTGAACTGACTTTTGTATAAGGTGAGAGATAAAAAAAACCCAATTTCATTCTTCTAAAAAAGGTATCAGTTTTCCCAGCACCATTTACTAAATAGGATGCCTTTCCCCCAATTTATGTTTTTGTAAGCTTGTTTGTCAAAGATCAAATACTTGATTACAAGTATTTGGCTTTATTTCTGGTTTCCCTATTCTGTTCCATTGGTCTATGTGCCTACTTTTATACCAGTACCATGCTGTTTTGCTAATTATAACCTTGTAGAATATGTGATGGCTACATACTTGTTCTTTTTGCTTAGGATTGTTTTGGCTATTTTGGGCTCTTTTGGTTCCACATGAATTTTAGAATTGTTTTTTCTAACTCTATAAAAAAAAAGATCTTATTTTGATGAGAATTATGGTGAAATCTATAGATTGCTTTTGGCAGGATGATCATTTTCACAATATGGATTCTTCAAATCCATGATCATGGGATGTGTTACCATTTGTTTGTGTCATCTGTGATTTCTTTCAGCAGTGTTTTGTAGTTCTCCTTATAGAGATGATTCACCTCCTTGGTTAAGCATATTCATAGGTTTTTGTTTTTGGCTCTTTGCTGCTCTTATAAAAGGGATTGAATTTTTGGCCAGGTGCGGTGGCTCATGCCTATAATCCCAGCACTTTGGGAGGCCAAGGTGGGTGGATCACCTGAGGTCGGGAGTTCGAGACCAGCATGACTAACATGGAGAAACCCCATCTCTACTAAAAATACAAAAAATTAGCCAGGCGTGGTGGTGCATGCCTGTAATCCCAGTTACTCAGGAGGCTGAAGCAGGAGAATCGCTTGAACCTGGGAGGCAGAGGTTGTGGTGAGCCGAGATCATGCCACTGCACTCCAGACTGGGCAACAAGAGCAAAACCCCGTCTCAAAAAAAAAGAGACTGCGTTCTTGATTTGATTTTCAGCTTTGTCATTGTTGCTGTATAGCGGTGCTATTGATCTGTGTACATTGATTTTGTAATCTGAGACTTTACTGAATTTATTTATCAAATCTAGGGGTCTTTTGGAGGAGTCTATAGGGTTTTCTAGGTATATAATCATATTATCAGCAAATAGTGATAGTATGACTTCCTCTTTTCAAATCTGGATGTCCTTTATTTCTTTCACTTGCCTGATTGCTCTGGCCAGAACTTCCAGTACTATGCTGAATAGAAATAGTGAAAGTAGGCATCTTAGTCTTCTTCCAGTTCTCAGGGGGAATGCTTTCAACTTTTCCCCATTCAGTATGATGTTGGCTGTGGGTTTGTTGTATATGACTTTTATTAATTTGTGGTAAGTCCCTTCTATGCCTAGTTTGTTTTTATCATCAAGGGATGCTGAATTTTATCCAATGCTTTTTTCTGCATCTATTGAGATGATCATATGGTTTTTAATTGTTTATGTGATGTGTCACATTTATTGACTTGTGTATGTTAAACCATCCCTGCATCCCTGAGACAAAACCCACTTGATCATGACATATCTTTTTGATGACAGCAACCCTAATTTGAGAATCCAAAACCTGAAATGCTCCAATAAGCATTTCCTTTGAGTGTCATGCTGGAGCTCAACAAGTTGCAGATTTTGGAGAATTTCAGATTTTTGGATCAGGGATACTCAACTTGTACTGAGATGAGAGAAAATGGCATATATCTATGCTGTCAACATGAAAATTATCATCATCTCAAACTTTTAGATAAACCTCAGAACCAACACAAACACACAAATCCCAAGCAGTAATATTCTGAAGTGAATAAAATGAATACCTGGGTGAACCTGGAGGTACTTCATGTGAAGAAGCGCTTCGTTCAAACAGCAATCCATATTTAGTGGGCCAAACATTTGCAACCTTTCAGGTAAAAGGGTGGGAAAAGATAGAAGTAAGAGAACCTACCCCTTTATAAAATGTTTTAAAGAAACATTACAGAATGTTTTATTTTCCAATTTAGTAATAGCTTTACAAAGTAACATAATCATTAAATACGGTATTTTCTTAAAAAGTAATACAAATAAGCAACTCTAAGATAAAATCAAATCTAATAAAGAGGAGTTGTTCAATGTGAAATTCCTGCCACTGGCCAGGATCAGTAACAAAATGACAATGTGTTAACAATAGCCCTAGGCATTAAAAAGACGATGAGTAACAAAAAAAGACTGGTGTTATTCATATGCCTTATTTAATATAACCAAAAGTTCTTAGGTATCATTTAAACCAACAAACACATACCACAGAAGACTTCCTAATTTACTTCACTAAATAACTTATTTTCTTGTGAAGTACAGAAAAATGGTAAGCCACTAAAGCTGCCAAAATTTAGTTATTTTGAGTAAAAATAACATTTTTGACTACTACGAAACATGAGACATAAGACATGCCTCTAAAACCAATTAATTCAAAAATGTTCTCCAACAAAACCCCCCCAAAATTTGAAACACTTGTTTACCTGAAATGGTAATGAAGCTATGTAATCCTTTCCTTCTATGCTATGCATGTTAATACATGAGCTTTGCAATATACATATGCATTTTTCTACTTCATTGCTACCTGAAAAGAAAGGGTACAACAAGACTTATGTGTTTTTTCCCTCAAAGGAGTTCAATCCTAACAGCACAAATTATTTAATGCACAATATAAAGATGCTTATGGTAAACCACTATTACTAGTGGCTACTTCATTTGAATGAAAAATACAATGAGATAAATATTTGGAATCATCATAAGAAAAATAAAATTTCAAAAAGAAACTTACTGTAGGCCTTTTCAGACTTATCCTGTGATATAATGAAGTCACACCACAATGCCTAAAATCAAAACAAAATGCTTACCTAAGAAAATTATATCTAAATAATCATCTATTAACTAATGGCATCTAAATAATAATAATAGCATCTACGTAATAACTTTGCCTCCTCAGCTCAACATGTACAATCATGGGAACAAAAAGAATAAGAAAAAATAAATTAGAGTAATAAATGATAAATATGATAAGGAAAGGCAAAATATGTTTACAATTAAATTTTATGAAAAGATCCATAGGAATTAAAATTTTAAATTAAAAAAATAAATTTTACAAAAAGAGAAGACAAGAATCAAAAAATCTACCAGATAGAAACTTTGCAGCAAAAATTCAAATAGTAGCTCAAACCATACTAAACCCTATATCCTCTACAAAACTAAAGATTATTCAAACTTTATAATCTCCAGATTAAACAACTGATCTTAGACTCTCTCTAGACTGACTTTTGAAAAAGTCTTTAGAAAAACTAACTCCTCCCTTTCTTAAAAGCCCATCTTACAAAATATAAACTAGGAAAAGCTATTAAACTTTAACTGACATACCTGGCAATCACTTATTATTTAACAGCATTTTGTGTTTTTTTTTAAACTGTGGTCAAATACACACAATATGAAAATTAACATTTTAACAATTTTTAAGTAGACAATTCAGTAGCATTAACATTAAATTGACGAGCTTAGTACAATTTGTGAGCTTGTACAATACTGCACATTTCCAGAACTTTTTCCTCATCTCAAACAGAAACTCCGTGCCCATTAAACAATACTCCCCATTTCCCAATGCCCTGAGCTCTGGTAACCTCTATTCCACTTTCCCTATGAAAGGGCCTGTGCTAGGTATCTCATGTAAGTGAAACTGTACATTTGTCCTTTTATATCTATTTTATTTCACTTAACATAATGTTTTCAAGGTTCATCCATGTTATGACATGTATCAGAATTTTATCCCTTTTTAAAGCTAAACAATATTCCACTGTTAGCATATACCACATTTGTTTATCCATTCATCTGTCAATGGACATGGGTTGTTTCTACCTTTTGGCTATCATAAATAATGCTGCTGAAAACACTGGTGTACAAGTATCTGTGAATCCCTGTTCTCAATTCAATTGTGCATATACCTAGAACTGGAACTGCTGGATCATAATGGTAATTCTAAGTATAACTTTTCTTTCAAGAGATGGGGTCTCACTCTGTCACCCAAACTGCAATGCAAGGCATGATTCTAGCTCGCAGCAGCCTAGAACTCCTGGGTTCACATGACCCCCCTGCCTCAGTCTCCTGAACAGCTTGGGAGTACAGGCATGCACCACCATGCCTGGCTACACGTGTAACTTTTTGAGAAATCGCCAAACTTTTCCACAGCAGCTATGTTACATTCCCATCAGCAATGCACAGGAGTTCCAATTTCTGGACATCCTCACCAACATTTGTTATGTTTCTTTAATAACAGCCAACCTAGTAAAGTGGTATCTCATTGTGGTTGTAATCTGCATTTGCCTAATGATTAGCGAAGCTGAGCATCTTTTCATGTGCTTACTGACCATGTGTGCATCTTTAGAAAAATGTCCATTTAAGTCCTTCTGCCCAATTTTTTAATTGGGTAGTTTGTTTTATTGTTGAGTTGTGGGAGATTTTAATGGTTAAGAAATGAAAATTCAGGAAGAAAACCATGCATGAGAGCTGTGCTCCAACCTGAAATGTCCAAAATCTACAATGCACCGATTACAGTCTCAACTTCCTTTGATGAAATCCCATCCTCTCAGCCTCTAAAAGTAAATATTTTAACATCTCTTTTATCCCTGATATCTAAGAGATCACTAACCCCTTCCACATCTCCCTCTGCTTTATCACCCCTTCTTTGCCAAGGCACCAATCTTTTACCTGAACAGTCACAAAATAGTGCCCCTGACAACAGTCTCCCTCCTCTCCAGTCAATCCTATATATATATTGCTAACAAAGCAATCTCTTCTCAAAACACAAAATTGATCGCTTCCATTTTAAAATCCTTGGCAGGCTCCCTTCAGCACACAGTTTAAAATCCAAATTCCTTGGTTTATATACAAGGCCCTTTGGTCTGTATACTGCCAGCATCCACTTGCATCTCTCCACACCCACACTTCGTGTACAGCCATTCTGAAGTTTAAAAAGTCATCTTTTTCCATAATTCTTTTTGCTGTGATTTCCTCTGCCTAGAATGCCCTTCTGCCACCATTTTATAACACAAATAGCATCTTCTTTGAAAAACCCTCCCTTTGGCACTCAGTCCTTTGGGCTCTCATCACTCTGTGGACAGGTAGTTATTATACAGCATTCAGAATACAGCATTTCAGGTGATCTGTTTGTTCTCCTTTCTAGGCTATGAGTCCTTCAATGGCAGAAACTACATTCACCTTTGTAGCCCCAGCATAATGGCTGAAACAGAGTGAGACTAAATACTTGCAGAAGACCAGGCACAGTGGCTCACGCCTGTAATCTCAACACTTTAGGAGGCCAAGCCAGGAGGATCACTAGAGCCCAGGGGTTCAAGACCAGCCTGGACAACATAGTGAGACCCCCATCTCTATTAAAAAACAAAAAGAATAAATGAAAAAATAAAAAGAACAACCAAAAAAAAAATACTTGCAGGATAGGTAAAACAATGAACAGATAAAATCTGAGTCACATATACCTGATATTATTTCATAAACAAAATAGAAAATTATCTTTCTCCATATTAGCAAGAAGATTAAGTAACAATATATTTTCCAGATCAAAAGACTGAAATTCCAAATCTTACAATTACACTTACAAGTGATCTTAAGATAAAGGAGATAATATATCTAACTGCACTTCCATAGAATCTAGTAAATAGGCAACTGTTCTTGGAGAAATTAAGATGAAGATATAGAAGCAAAGAACTACTTGGATATCATCAAATGCACTTTTCACATCTATACTAACTATATGAATTATATGGGAAAAAATTTACCATCAAAAAGATCACTGGCTTCAACACTCCAGGACACAAATGCTTTCACATATGCCCTCAAATGTTGGAATAATGATTCAGTTTATCCTTTCCAATAAATAGAATACAGTACTCATCAGGAAATAGTTAACGGTAGGCGGGAGGAGTGGGAGGAAGCAGTATCCAGATACAAAGATTTCAGCATTTACAAAAATGAAACTTAACATTAGTCAAAGCCTCCAAAACCTCGTCAACCCTAATTCAACTACAATAAATGCATTAGTTCTTCCTCCAACTTTTTGTTATAAAAATTTTCAGTAAGAAAAGTTGAAATAATGCAGCAAACATATTTCACCTATATCCAACAATCATGAAAATTTTGCCATATTTGTTTGTGTGTGTGCATTTGTGTACATATGGGATTTTCGGAATGGGAATGCTGACTGTTTAAAAATAAATTGCACACACATCATGACATTTCACCCCTAAATACTTCACCATGCCTTTTCTAAAAATAAAGATGTTCTCCTATAAAACCATAAAATCATCGTCCCTGAGAAAAAAATAATACTTCTCTAACATCAGCTACTGGCCAGTAATTTTCAACTTTCCCAAATTTTCCCCAAAAATATCTTTTTAGCTAGAAAACCAGGACTCAATCAAAGTTCATTTAACAAGGATCAAAAAATACTGCATTTGGTGATGTCTCTTTAGTCTCTTTCAATGTAGAACAGTCCCCACCTTTTTTTCTTTCTCCGTGACTTTTTTAAAGAAACCAGAATGTAGACTATAAACTTTTTATAATGGAAAATTTCAAATAAATACAAAGTAAACAGAATAGGATAATGAATCCCCATCAGCCAGTTTTAATAATTATCAAGCTTGGCTGGGCATGATGGCTCACGCCTGTAATCCCAGCACTTTGGGAGGCCGAGGTGGGTGGGTAGATCACAAGGTCAGGAGATCGAGACCATCCTGGCTAACACAGTGAAACCCCAGCTCTACTAAAAATATAAAAACAAAATTAGCCGGGTGTGGTGGCGGGCAACTGCAGTCCCAGCTACTCGGGAGGGTGAGGCGGGAGAATGGCATGAACCTGGGAGGCAGAGCTTGCAGTGAGCTGAGATCATGCCACTGCACTCCAGCCTGGGTGACAGAGCAAGACTCCATCTCAAAAAACAAATAAATAAATAAACAATAATAATAATAATAAAGCTTTAGCCATTCCTAGCTATCTATTTCCTTATCTCATGGTATTTTAAAATATAATTCTCTATTGCCTATATTTCCTATAAATAGGAAGTTAGGTCTAAATATTCATATTTTTGGGAAGAAAACTTAGATGACATCATGTACTTCATTCTGTATTATAGCTAGAAGCACATAATACTCCTTCATGTCACTACTAATTATGCTAAACTCAATCACTTGATTGAGGTGGAGACTGACAAATAACTCCAAAGTAGAGGTACATTTGTTCCTTCACATTTACCAGGTAATCCACAGGGTGATGTGTTGGTGCCATGGTAATATTCTTTCAACCAACAGTGTTAGTATCCATTTACAATCCTTGTTGGAATCAATTATTGCACTGGAGGTTACAAAATGGTGATATTCTAATTCTACAATTCCTTTTACACTTATTAGCTAGCATTCTTCTCTAAGTACAAGTTTTCCTTCATCAAATGGAGATGAACTGCATGTCTTCCTGAAAAAATATGGCAAATGCTTAATTCTTTCCCTTTCATTATCAACTTTCAGAACAGTTAGTTATAACAGCCAACTGCAATGGCTGCAAAGCAGATTTTTTCCTTTCTCTCTACCATTATGAATCCCACGATTTTTATTTATTCAAATCTTTGCAATCAATTATAGTAATCATGTGTTAAAATATTTCTGTACTCTTCATGTTTTATAGGTTTTTGCTGGCAATAACAAATTGAATTACATAAGGACAGAGTGTTTAAAGATTACCATTAAAGTGACAAAGAAGAGTGTAAAAAAAGTGATGATATAAAAATAAAATTAAATTTTTATTTTCCTGCCATTATCTTCACATTATATTATGTCATGTTACAACGTACACCCAGCTGCTGAGATCATTAGGCTGGTTTTATCATTTCTGTTAAATTTTAAAACAAAACTTTTTTTTAATTGCATTAAATAGTGAATCAAATGCTAAAATTCAAATCAACTCACCTGCTGAACAGGACTGTCAACTGTAAATGCTTTATAAACTGCCAATGCCTGGCTTTTACTTCCTTTGCTCCATATCACCATATTTCCAGCAACATAGAGTTCCTCATCATAGTCCACATCTTCTCCAATTTCACTTACTCCTTTCCTTAACTGCCAGCTTTCCTTAAAAATTAACACATGTAAAACATATTCAAGCACTCTTTTTTTGTTCTTCAAAAATCTGGAACAAAATTTATTTGCCCATGGAGTAAGACTCAATTCAAACACAACTCCTACAAAGTTTGGTACACTGATTAACGGAGGATGTGGATATATGCATTACACTACAGAATTACATGAAGAATTTACTCAATAATTCTCTATATTGAATGTTTTATATTATTCCTCTATATTACTCTGCCAAAAACAAAAACGAACAAAAAGTACACCTTCTCTATAGTTCCAAAAGTCAAATCACATGCTTGGGAGACTAAAAGGACATATTAAGTATATGAGGTAGGGTAGGGAAAGGACAGTGAGGTGCACGTGGGAATCACTTGGGGAGTTCACACACAAATGCAGACTTCCTGCTTCGCAATCACATATATATTCACCTTCTTTTCCTTTGTCCCACCCACCAAAATGAATGGAAGAAAGAGAAGTTTCCATTTGTAACTACATAGGCTTTCCCTCCCCGAGATTTTAGTATCCCAAAGGGATATGACAATGGAATAAGGCAGGAGGGATTCATTTTCTGACACACACTTAACATCTCATTCCTCTACTTAAGAACTATTACTCGCCGGGTGTGGTGGCTCACGCCTGTAATCCCAGCACTTTGGGAAGCCGTGGCAGGTGGATCACCTGAGGTCTGGAGTTTGAGACTAGCCTGACCAACATGGAGAAATCCCGCCTCTACTAAAAAAATACAAAATTAGCTGGGCGTGGTGGCACATGCCTGTAATCTCAGCTACTCGGGAGGCTGAGGCAGGAGAATCACTTGAATCCAGGAGGCAGAGGTTGCGGTGAGCTGAGATTGTGCCATTGCACTCCAGCCTGGGCAACAAAAGTGAAACTCCGTCTCAGGAAAAAAAAAAAGCTATTACTCTACCTACTTTTGTGGCATTTCTTCTCTCCTTTAGAAACATGTAAATCTTCTGCAGCAGGGACTACTTCTAATCTCTACCATTTAATCATTAGATAACATGAAATCTGGTCCCCACATATTAAGTGAAAAGAAAAAGGTTTAAAATGGACAACAATCATACTACTGAACCTGACTCACATTATAACACCACAAGTTGGCCGGGCACAGTGGCTCACGCCTGTAAACGCAGCACTTTGGGAGGCCGAGGCGGGTGGATCACCTGAGGTCCGGAGTTCAAGATCAGCCTGACCAACATGGAGAAACCCCATCACTACTAAAAATACAAAATTAGTAGGGGTGGTGGTGCATGCCTGTAATCCCAGCTACTCGGGAGGCTGAAGCAGGAGAATCACTTGAACCCGGGAGGCAGAGGTTGCGGTGAGCCAAGATCGCACCAGTGCACTCCAGCCCGGGCAAAAAGAGCAAAACTTCATCTCAAACAAAAAAATTGAAAAATAAAAAATAAATAAAACCACAAGTTATAGAGGGTATCTAAATAAGTCGCTATGACAATGTAATAAAGTCATTATTTTCAACATTTATTGAAATTACCACACCTTAACTCTACTCTAGAAGTGGCATCACACCGATCTCTCAGTTGCATCTTAGTAGCCTTAAATTACAAGTAGATTATATCACTCTACATTTCAAAAACACAATGGGAAACTCAATGGAACCTTCTGTTTCTCGTGGATTGTAACCTCCTGAAGGGATCCCACCAAGCCAGCAGCACCATCAGAAGACCATAATTCAGAAGCTGGCTGCAGCTGGCGAAGTTGAAGGTTCAAAGCATTAGGGTGGTGCTTGCAGTGGTCTCGACCAAAAGGAACAAATTCCTGCAAATCCCTTGCTGCAATCATCGTTGTCCTTTCTTCATAGAAGTTCGACATGGGTTCCAAATATCAACATTATTTCTGTATGAATTCAAACACATTCTGGTCAGCTTCCAGACTCAAAACTAGAATAAAAATACCATAAACACACAAGTCATTAATCCTTACATGGGTGTCAAGTAATTATATCAGACTGGTAAGTATATAAGTTGGTCATAACATAAAAGGGCATTCTAGATCTGATTCAGACAGTTGCAATTATCACATTTTAGTCACAGACTGACAGTTACCACTATAGGAAACCACTGAGATGCAACAAGTACTTATGTCCCGCACCACCTATCCCGTGTTTCCCACTACTATACGCTAATTTTTCCATACTTTATATATGAAGTATTTAGACAAGTTGTATTCTATGGTCCCATAACTACATGGCTTTTCAACATTTAAGGTCATTTCTGGTTAGATGCCAGAACCTCATTTGAAAAGTACATCTAAGGGATCATTGTCATATTGGAATAAAACAATAAAAAACCACACATTACTCTAATTCATCAGAGGTTGAACTGCTTTCAGCTGACCAATCTACAAAAGACATAGGTTTTCAAATGTCTTAAGTAGCTGTGACACCCCCAATCCCACCTAAATATATAACTACAATCAATTTCAATTATTGGTCGAAACCCAAAGAACCGAGGCATGAATAACTCTAGCCATGGAACAGTTATGCTTGCAGATTTAAGGGTACTAGGTTTTAATTAATTATTACATCTAATTAATCTAATTATTAATCTATTACAGTACAGTTTATTACTAAAAAAATGTGGATGAACTGTTAAAGCCTTCATCACAAGGTTAGGTAGCAGCCAGGCTTTAGACAAAAGTACAGATAAGCATAATTAGATTGTCCTTCGATCCACTTTCCTGTACCTGTTTATATATACCATGTTCCTATAGACAGCATTTTTAATGTTAGGAGCCTAAGACTTTTGAGATGATGCAAGCTAGTCTTAAGACCCCATCAAGGAACCACATTAGCATGAGAATGTGGTTTATCTCTCTGTCCTATGACTTCATCCTTCATTCTCTGACCAATCAATACCTTAACCCACTACCCTCTCTTTAAAACCTCTGGACCGGGTGCGGTGGCTCACGCCTATAATCCCAGCACTGTGGGAGGCCAAAGCAGGCGGATCACTAGGTCAGGAGATCGAGACCATCCTGGCTAACATGGTGAAACTCCATCTCTACTAAAAATACAAAAAATTAGCTGGACTTGGTGGCGGGCACCTGTAGTCCCAGCTACTCGGGAGGCTGAGGCAGGAGAATGGCGTGAACCCAGGAGGCGGAGGTTGCAGTGAGCCGAGATCATGCCATTGTACTCCAGCCTGGGCAACAGAGCAAGACTCTGTCTCAAAAAAAAAACCAAAAGCAAAAAAAAAACCTCTAGACCTTAACTCTTTGGGGAGGCTGACTTGAAGTTTCCTCAGTCTCCTAGTTCGGTGGCCCTGCAAGTAAAACACTTTATCTGCTGCAATCCCCGTTGTTTCCGTGTATTGACTTGCTGCTCATAGGGCAAGAATCCTATATGGTTACACAAACAGCCAAAGCCTATGTAGTTCCTTTGCAGCTCCTCCAAAGCCACAAAGTTATTTTGCTGTGAATTAAATGTTATTCTTGGCCAGGCACGATGGCTCACGCCTGCAATCCCAGCACTTTGGGAGGCTGAGGCGCGAGGATCACCTGAGGTCAGGAGTTTGACACAAGCCTGGCCAACATGGTCAAACCCTGTCTCTACTAAAAATACAAAAAAAAAAAAATTACTCAGGCATGGTGTGGGCGCCTGTAATCCCAGCTACTTGGGAGGCTAAGGCAAGAGAATCGCTTCAACCTGGGAGGCAGAGGTTGCAGTGAGCCGAGATCGCGCCATTGTACTCCAGCCTGGGGGACAAGAGCAAAACTCCGTCTCAAAAAAAAAAAAAAGAAAAGTTATTCTGGATATAATTATGTCACAAAACATGACACAAGTTTTGTTCTTCCTCCTGCTAGAAATAAATGAGTACTGGGACACTTGAACTTGGAACACAAGTAAAAAGTGCCTTATAAAACTTACAAGGGGCAGGGCGTGGTGGCTCACGCCTGTAATCCCAGCACTTTGGGTGGCCGAGACGGGTGGATCACGAGGTCAGGAGTTCAAGATCAGCCTGGCCAAGATGGTGAAACCCCATCTCTACTAAAAATACAAAAATTAGCCAGACAGTGATGGCGGGCGCCTGTAATCCCAGCTACTTGGGAGGCTGAAGCAGAGAATTGCTTGAACACGGGAGCCAGAGGTTACAGTGAGCTGAGATGGCGCCACTGCACTCCAGCCTAGGAGACAGAACAAGACTCCTTCTCAAAAAAAAAAAAAAAAAGAAAACCCCACAAAAAAAAAAACCTTAAAAGAAAACAAAATTCAGCTGGTCTTCCTATATTTTATTCAACAGAATAACCAACATCAACGAACTTTTGACTTTATGAAACTTTAGTTCTGCAATTTTATAATGTTATTTTCTTATAACTTTGAGAGAAAATTACAGAATTGTTAAAGAATTATCATTTTGTACCGATTAATGCCACATATTTAATACTTTTTCAGTACCCCAAACTTTTAGAAATGTTTTTACTTGTTAGGTGCAACATAAACAGCTACACGTAAAAATACTATTAAATTTATATGCTATAAATAACAGTATCAGCAATGATTCCTACAAACACTACCCTGCCAAAAAAAAAAAAAAGAGACCCAAATGCACACTAACGGGAGCTTAAGTCTCCACAAGAGCTTCCCCAGCCTTTCTAGAGGACGGTGAAAACAGGCTGAGAGCCCGAGGCTCAGAAAAACAGCTCAGAGGGGCTGGAGGCCAGTCTGAAAGCTGAGGCTGCACATGGGATGCTACGCACAGCTCAGGAAAGAGGTTGGCAAGCAGGAGCCGGAAGGAGCACCCCAGCCCGCAGGCCAGGAGCGCCCGCAGGCCCCCTCAGCCCCGGAGCACGCTCAAGGCCCTCCCTCGGGTTCCCAGTACCCCGGGTTTCCAGACCTACGGCCACCAGGGGAGGCTCGGCCTCGGGACGGGTGCGAGAGTCACGCGGCGCGCGACAGACCACCAAGTGCTGCGGTACGGCGCCCGCACCTGTATAACTCGGGACGCGTCAGGCGCGGCGAGCCCCGGCTGCTCCCCGGAGGCGCAGGGGCCGAGGAGGCCCGAGGGCAGCGGCGGGGTCCTTCACAGTGACTCTTGGGCCGCAGCAGCTTCTCATTCCCTCTCCCTCCCCTATTCTGGAGGAAGAACGGGCAACAGCAGCGGGCTCGAGTGCTAATGGCAGGAAGGCGTGCGAGACGTTCAAATGGACGCGTCCATCTTGACTTTCCCGTCTTGCCTCGCGCCGGGGCGGGGCATCGCGGGAGGTGCGCGGCGTCCTAGCAGTCCTGGCGCCTGCGCTGTTGAGGGAAGACCGCGGCGGGTTACAACTTGGGGGCTATTTCCACCTTCCGTGCGACTGATGCGAACCCCGAAGCCGGACTCTGTCTGCTACAGTCCTGGCGTCCAAGTTCTCTTTAGCTCATGTCACTAGGGACCTGAACTGCCTTATAGATCTCAGGGTTTTTTCTTCTGGTTTCGCTTCCGCCTCCTGACCCCACGTGGAGGTAGGCACCTCAGGCTGAGGGTGGGGAGCAGGGGTTGCTGATTTTCTCTACGTGCAGTGAATGCTCTATGCCTTTTTCGGTCCATACTCTTCGAAGAGTGGATGAACTGTGTGAAGGTCCTCACAGAAACGTTGCTTGCAATTCCCAGATTCAGAGACACTTCTTAAGGCGATTCAAAGACCCAAGTTAAGAACCCCAGCGGCCACTCGCGCCTGTAATCCCAGCACTTTGGGAGGCGAGGCGACAGGATTGCTGGAGCCCAAGAGTTTGAAACCAGCCTGGGCAATATAGCGAGACCCTGTCTCCACAAAAGAAAAATTTTTTTAATTAGCCTGGAGGCGTGGTGCGCACCTGTAGTCCCAGCTGCTTGGGAGTCTGGAGGATCACTTGAGCAGGGAGTTTGAGGCCACAGTGAGCTATGATCGCGCCACTGCACTCCATCCAGCCTGGGCAACAGAGCAAGACCTTGTCTCAAAAAAAAAAAAAAAAAAAGAATGGGTTATAGGAGAAAGGTTAGAAACAAAGATTCATGAAACAGTTAAATACAAATATACCTAATTGATATTTTAAACTTTTGTTTGTGTGTGTGTGTGTGTGTGTGTGTGTGTGTGTGTGTGTTTTTCTTGAGACAGAGTCTCGCTCTTTCGCCCAGGCTGGAGTGCCGTGGCACAATCTCGGCTCACTGCAACCTCCGCCTCCCGAGTTCAAGCAATTCTCCTGCATCAGCCTTCCAAGAAGGTGGGATTACAGGCGCCCGCCACCACGTCCAGCTAACTTTTGTATTTTTAGTAGAGACAGGGTTTCACCACGATGGCCAGGCTGGTCTCGAACTCCTGACCTCGTGATCCTCCCGCCTCGGCCTCCCAAAGTGCTAGGATTACAGGCGTGAGCCACTGCGCCCGGCCAATATTTTAAACTTTTTTAAAAAAAAAAAGTTTAGCAACCCCATCAAAAAGTGGGCGAAGGACGTGAACAGACACTTCTCAAAAGAAGACATTTATGCAGCCAAAAAACACATGAAAAAATGCTCACCATCACTGGCCATCAGAGAAATGCAAATCAAAACCACAGTGAGATACCATCTCACACCAGTTAGAATGGTAATCATTAAAAAGTCAGGAAACAACAGGTGCTGGAGAGGATGTGGAGAAATAGGAACACTTTTACACTGTTGGTGGGACTGTAAACTAGTTCAACCCTTGTGGAAGTCGGTGTGGCAATTCCTCAGGGATCTAGAAATACCATTTGACCCAGCCATCCCATTACTGGGTATATACCCAAAGGACTATAAATCATGCTGCTATAAAGACACATGCACACATATGTTTATTGCGGCACTATTCACAATAGCAAAGACTTGGAACCAACCCAAATGTCCAACAATGATAGACTGGATTAAGAAAATGTGGCACATATACACCATGGAATACTATGCAGCCATAAAAAATGATGAGTTCATGTCCTTTGTAGGGACATGGATGAAATTGGAAATCATCATTCTCAGTAAACTATCGCAAGAACAAAAAACCAAACACCGCATATTCTCACTCATAGGTGGGAATTGAACAATGAGAACACATGGACCCAGGAAGGGGAACATCACACTCTGGGGACTGTTGTGGGGTGGGGGGAGGGGGGAGGGATAGCTTTAGGAGATATACCTAATGCTAAATGATGAGTTAATGGGTGCAGCACACCAGCATGGCACATGTATACATATGTAACTAACCTGCACATTGTGCACATGTACCCTAAAACTTAAAGTATAATAATAAAGTTTAGATTTACAGAAAAACTGCAGATAGTCCAAAAATTTCCCACATACCCTATACCCAGTTTCTACATCCAGTTTCCCTATTATTAGTATTTTACATTAGTATAGTACATTTGTTAAAATTAATGAAATATCAACACATTATTAGTAATTAAAATTCATACTTTATTCAGTTTTTTTTAAGAGAGTCTTGCTGTGTTGCCTAGGCTAGAGTGCATTGGCACAAACACAGCTCACTGCAGCCTTGAACTCCTGTGCTCAAGCAGTCCTCCTGCTTCAACCCCCCAAGCAGATGGGACTCCAGGTGCAAGCCACTGCATTAGTTTGTAGAATATCCCTTAACTGAAATTTGTCTGATGTTTCTTCATGATTAGCCTGGGGATATGGATTTCAGGAAGGAAGATCATAAAGTGTCATTTTCATCACATCATATCAAAGGTACTTATCAACAGTATCACTTATCGCTGCTGATGTCAACCTTGATCACCTAACTGAGATAGTGTTTGTCAGATTTCTCTACTATGATGTTACATTTCCCCACTTTCCATATTGTACTCTTTGGAAGGAAGACAATATGTGCAGCCCTCAGTTACAGAGTGAGGCCAGTTGATTTTGTTGTTGTTTTACAAACTTGCAAAAGCAAATGAAGGAGGGAAGCATCTTTTCAACAGTTAGTGTTGCAATATTTGTATATTCAGATGGAAAAAATGAATCTTGATTCATACTACACACCATATACAAAAATTAAAGTGCATCAAAGACCCAGATATGAGAGTAAAGCTGCCGGGCGCGGTGGCTCACGCCTGTAATCCCAGCACTTTGGGAGACCAAGGCAGGCGGATCACCTGAGGTCAGGAGTTCAAGACCAGCCTGGCCAACATGGTGAAACCCCATCTCTACTAAAAATACAAAAAATAAATAAATAAATAAAATAGCCAGGCGTGGTGGCAGGCGCCTGTAATCCCAGCTACTCAGGAGGCTGAGACAGGAGAATCACTTGAACCTGGGAAGCGGCGGTTGCAATGAGTCGAGATCACGCCATTGCACTCCAGCCTGGGGTACAAGAGCGAGACTTCGTCTCAAAAAAAAAAAAAAAGAGTAAAGCTATACACTTAGAAGAAAACATAGCTGTAAATCTTCATAACCTTGGATTAGGCAATGATGTCTTAAATATGGTACCTAAAGCACAAGGAACCTAGGAAAAAATTTGATAAGTTGGAGAAAAGTTTTAAATTTTGTGCTTCAAAGGTATTGTCAAGAAAGTGAAAAGACAACTCACAGAATGGGGGAAAAGATTTGCAAATAATCTGATAAGAGTCTGTTATCCAGAATATGTGAAGAAGTCTTACAACTCAACATAAAAAGACAACCCAGTCTAAAAATGGGCAGAGGATTTGAACGACATTTTGCCAAAAATATATTATACAAGTGGCCAAAAAGGACGATAAAAGATGACCAACATCATTAGTCATTAGGGAAATGTAAGCCAAAACCACTTCACACCCAGTAGGATAGCTGTAATCAAAAAGACAGACAATAACAAGTGTTTATGAAGATTTGGAGTTATTTGACCCCTTGTACATAATTGATAGGAATGTAAAATGGTGCAGCCGCTTGGTAAAACAGTTTGACAGGTTCTCAAAAAGTTAAACGTTGGTCTCTTCCAGGAGCTACCGCCAGAAGATGGCAGCAGCCGCCAAGTTGTCACTACTAGAGAAGTCCCTGGGACTGAGTAAGGGGAATAATAAATAAAGTGCTCAGGATGAGTGACAGATTCTGGTTCTTCAAACAAACAATGGTCCAAGTCTAACAGGATTGACTACTATAGCAGCTCATCTAGTCAAGCAAGCTAACAAAGGATATTTGCTAGGGAGTACTGCAGAAGAAAAAGCAATAGTTCAGCAATGGTTACAATACAGAGTCACTCCAGTAAAAATGATAGCCACACACTGGTTTTTTTTTTTAGTTTTTTTTTTTTTTGAGATGGAGTCTCACTCTGTCACCCAGGCTGGAGTGCAGTGGCGCTATCTCTGCTCACTGCAAGCTCTGCCTCCTGGGTTCATGCCATTCTCCTGCCTCAGCCTCCCGAATAGCTGGGACTACAGGCGCCCGCCAACAACGCCCGGCTAATTTTTTTGTATTTTTTTTATTAGAGACAGGGTTTCACCATGTTAGCCAGGATGGTCTCGATCTCCTGACCTTGTGATACGCCCACCTCAGCCTCCCAAAGTGCTGGGATTACAGGCGTGAGCCACCATGCCCAGCCCACACCCTGTTGAAGGATCTTATTTCATATCTTGAAGATAAAGTCTACCTTACAGGATATAACTACCTTTGCAGATATCCTATTGTACTATGGACTTCATCGCTTTATAGTTGACCTGACAGTTCAAGAAAAGAAGAAATATCTTAATGCGTCTCGCTGGTTTTGTCACATTCAGCATTATCCAGATATCAGGCAACATCTGTCTAGTGTTGTCTTCATCAAGAACAGACTATACACTAATTCCCACTAGAAGCTATCCGTGCCGTACAGAAGATGTATTAAAAATGTTTTAACTGGAAAATGTATTCTGACCACAGGACTAATATAAATTAATATACAGTCATTCATTATTTGTTGAAATCTATAGAATTTTTAAAGTGTCAACTTGTGTCTGAATGTTTTATTTGTTCTTTAGTTGAAGCTTTTTTTGTTTGTTTTTTTTTTTTGAGATGGAGTCTCACTCTGTCTCCCAGGCTGGAGTGCAGTGGCGCGATCTCAGCTCACTGCAAGCACTGCTTCCCGGGTTCACGCATTCTCCTGCCTCAGCCTCCCAAGTAGCTGGGACTACAGGTACCCACCACCACGCCTGGCTAATTTTTTGTATTTTTAGTAGAGACGGGGTTTCACCATGTTAGCCAGGATGGTCTTGATCTCCTGACCTCGTGATCTGCCCATCTCAGCCTCCCAAAGTGCTGAGATTACAGGCGTGAGCCACCACGCCCAGCCTTTAGTTGAAGTTTTGCAATGTTTTATGTAAAAATTTAACTGCTATTAAAAAAACAAGTTGAGATCAAGTTACAAAATTAACCTTGTTTTTAACAAATGACATTTATTTCAATAAAAGTTGCAAATCAGTGGTTTAATCTAAAATAAAAATAGGTGTCCTTTCAATGGTTGACATATTTGGCTATTTATTAACCTCTTTCATATTCTCAAATTTCTTTTCCCCTTTTGGGTATTTATGGAAGTTTGTTAAGAACTGTGATTAAAAGAAAAAAAAAAAAAAAGGCTGGGCACAGTGGCTCACGCCTGTAATCCCAGCACTTTGGGAGGCCAAGGTGGGTGGATCACCTGAGGTCAGGAGTTTGAGACCAGCCTGGCCAACATGGTGAAATCCCCATCTCTACTAAAAATACAAAAAAAAAAATTAGCCAGGCACAGTGGCAGGCGCCTGTAATCCCAGCTACTCAGGAGGCTGAGGCAGGAGAATTGCTTGAACCCAGGAGGCAGAGGTTGCAGTGAGCTGAGATGACGCCATTGCACTCTAGCCTGGGGGACAAGAGCGAGACTTCGTCTCAAAACAACAAAAAAAAAATTCTGTGTGTCTACACTAGATACCCCTAGATGGCACATATAGGTTTGTGACCTATCTGTCTCCAAAGTTGAGAAACAGACAGAAAGAGTTACAAACAAGATATTATAAAAGATTAATTACTATACCTTGCTTTTATGAGGAAGGGAAAAGGCTTTTTATTTTTAATTTTTACACACAAAAACAACCACAAGCTTAGGTTTTACAACTTCAGCCACAGGTCCAAAGGAAATTCAGAACTCAAAAACTCACCAATCTAGCAGCAGCTCCATCATGCACACACATTTTTTTTTAATTTTTTCCCCTTCCTCCCTTCCTTCCTGCCTTCCTTTTCTCCTTTCTTTCTTTCTTTGACATAATTGTGCTCCTAGTGGCAAGCAAACAAGAGAAATACCATAAAGAATGCCAGGAGCTTGCAGTGAGCCAAGATCGCACCACTGCACTCCAGCCTGGGTGACAGAGGAGACTCCGTCTCAAAAAAAAAAAAAAAAAAGTCATTATTGAGCTCAGTGCGTTGGCTCATGCCTGTAATCCCAGCATTTTGGGAGACCGAGGTGGCAGATCACCAGAGATTAGGAGTTCGAGACCAGCCTAGCCAACATGGTGAAACCCCGTCTCTACTAAAAATACAAAAATTTAGCCGGACATAGTGGCTCGTGCCTGTAGTCCCAGCTACTCGGGAGACTGAGACAGAAGTATCGCTTGAACCCACATGGCAGAGGTTGCAGTGAGCTGAGATCTTGCCACTGCACTCCAGCCTGGGCAGAGCAAGACTCTGTCTCAAAAAAAAAAAAATTATTATCAGTTGATTTCCTGTTGTCTGCCACCTGACAGATCACCAAATCACCAGCCATTCCCAGGAAATGACAAGAGCCAGACCTCTAATTTCAGTGTGTTGTACAGCAAATGGAATCTCTTATATGTAACATCTCCATTTCTCCAACAAACTATAAGAAGAAGAAACTTATTTCCAAGATGGTTTTGGCAGGTAGAATGGAATCCTTTTGTATGCGCCATCTCAACTCCTCTAAAACTACAAAGACAAAGCACTTAGACTACTGTATTTTGCTCAAGAAACTAAATGGAGTTGCTTACAGGCATTATGTGGTTTCCCAATAAATTATAAGTGCAGTTTCCCAATAAACTACAAAACCTAGACCTCTGTGCTTCTGGTATGTTCTTCAGCATGCTGAATGGAGTCTTCTACATCTGCCATCTCTTGGGAACAGGCCCCAAAATCTGGCCATAAACTGGCCCCAAAACTAGCCACAAACAAAATCCCTGCAGCATGGTGACATGCTCGTGATGGCCTTGACGCCCACGCTGGAAGGTTGTAGGTTTACCGGAATGAGGGCAAGGAACACACCTGACCCACCCAGGGCAGAAAACTACTTACTTAAACCACAAACAATAGCGTGAGCTATCTGTGCCTTAAGGACATGTTCATGCTGCAGATAAGTAGCCAGAGCCCATCCCTTTATTTCGAGGTATCCCTTTGTTTCCCGTAAGGAATACTTTTAGTTAATTTATAATCTATAGAAACAATGCTTATCACTGGCTTGCTGTCAATAAATATGTGGGTCAAACTCTGTTTGGGGCTCTCGGCTCCAAAGGCTGTGAGGCCCCTGATTTCCCACTCCACACCCTATATTTCTGTGTGTGTGTCTTTAATTCCTCTAGCCCCACTGGGTTGTGGTCTCCACGACCGAGCTGGTCTCAGCAGCCATCTCTCTCTCTTTTTGTTTTTTTTTTTAAAAACAGAGTCTCGCTTTATTACCCAGGCTGGAGTACAGTGGCACAATCTTGGCTCACTGCAACCTCGACCTCCTGGGCTCAAGCGATCCTCCCATCTCAGCCTCCTGAGTAGCTGGGACCACAGGTATGCACCACCATGCCTGGCTAATTTTTGTATTTTTTGTAGAGACGGAGTTTCACCATGTTGCCTGGGCTGGTCTCGAACTCCTGGGCTCAAGCATCTGCCTGCCTCAGCCTCCCATAGTGCTGGGATTACAGGCATGAGCCACTGTGCCCGGCCTACATCCACCGTCTCACTTTCCCTCAATCTTCAAGTGCTAGACTTTGTATTCCCAGTATGGCTTTATGCTGACTTGAGACCCCTCTAAGCATCATTTCAGTGCCCCAGTGAACCCTAATGTTTAAACATTTGCACATCATAGATATTGTTCAGCATAGTGAAAGGAGTTTTGTACCTATACTATCTCAAGTTTCCAAAAGCTATAAGGGCTAGACACTGATCCTTCCACTTTATTGTTCACCTCTCGAAATGCAGCCTCTACATGCTCTAATAATTGTACTTCCCATATGCAGTTGACTGTGGTGATTTGAGCCTTTTAAACACACAACCTGACTTTGCCTCCCCAACCTCCCCCCAACAAATTACATAAGCTGGATACTAGTATTTCCAGTCTGTTGTTCAGCACATGGAATGAAATGTCCTAGGTTCTCCATCATTACACCCCAACAATTTCAAAAACTGGGCTCTTGGCCTCCTAGTATGTGGCTGAGCATGTTAAAGGAAGTATCATGACAGAACTCTCAATTCCATAACAGACACAAGTGCCAGACAAGGCAACTTCCACTGTACTTCTCAGCACAGTGAAAAAATACACTATCTCATTTTTTTTTTTTTTTTTGAGATAGAGTCTCGCTCTGTGGTCCAGGATGGAGTGCAGTGGTGTGATCTCAGCCCACTGCAACCTCACCTCCCAGGTTCAAGTGATTCTCCTGCCTCAGCCTCCCGAGTAGCTAGGACTACAGGCATGCACCACCATGCCCAGCTAATTTTTTTTATTTTTTTTAATAGATACAGGGTTTCACCATGTTAGCCAGGCTGGTCTCTAACTCCTGACCTCAGGTGATCTGCCCTCCTTGGCCTCCCAAAGTTCTGGGATTACAGGCATTAGCCACCATGCCTAGCCCACTAGCTCATTTTTCTTTTTTTTTTTTGAGATGGAGTCTCGCTCTGTCACCCCAGCCGGAGTGCAGTGGTGCCATCTTGGTTCACTGAAACCTTCGCTTCCCAGGTTCAAGCAATTCTCCTGTCTCAGCCTCTTGAATAGCTGGGACTACAGGCATGTGCCACCACGCCTGGCTAATTTTTTTGGTATTTTTAGTGGAGATGGGGTTTCGCCACGTTAGCCAGGATGGTCTCCATCTCCTGATCTCATGGTCTGCCCGCCTTGGCCTCCCAAACTGCTGGGATTACAGGCGTGAGCCACCGCACCTGGCCCTAGCTCATTTTTCTAACAAACTGTAACACTTAGATATGCTTCTCATGCCTCTTCCAGGATGCTAAATAGGTTGTCACTTACCCACCAACTATAAAAGCTCAACAATTGGCCTTCTGTACCTTGTTCAACACAATGAGGAGCATCTTTAAATGGTGCTGCCCCATTTCCAATGGGATGAGAGTGAGATTTTACTTTTAATGAGTTTTTCAGCCTATTGGATGGATTATCTTGAAAGACACTCCAAGAAACCACTAAAGGAAATACTTTATTCCAGTATCGTGTTCACTGTGCTGAATGGAGTGTTTTACTTGTACTATTTCACTTTACAACAACTATAAAAGCTATTGTACTGTGAGGGTTAATTCCAGCAGGCCTGAAATTAGCTTGAACTGTTTTGAAGTTCCTGCGTGGCAATGACCCCTGGCCAAGAGCATGAAGCATATTGATTAATAATGTTGCTTTTTAACCATCAGTCTGAGGAGCTTCAGGGAAACTTGTACTACCATCAACTTTGCTTTTCGAAAACAATGAGATAAATGATTTGCACCTGGTCTCAGCGAGACCCCTCCAACCCCTGCCACAGGGCTCTGCTGTTGAGGCTGGTTATGCCTTAAGACTATGCCGATGACCAGCAAAATATAAAAATCCCCAGCTGAGACTCCATTTTCGATCCCATTTCTGAGGTGTTCCATGCACACATCAATGGTTTTTGATCCAACAGAGAAAGTGCATCCTGCCACGTTCCTTACAGAAATTAGGACAAAGGAGCTGGCACCTGGCCTATCTGGCCATGAATAGCCTTTGACTGAGATGCTTATTCTTACTTTACTGCTATTTGCTATATTGTGTCCTCTTACTGTAACAAACTCGAGATGTTGGATCTGGTCAGTAATTTTTTAGCAGTGAAACCGTTTAACTTCCACTTAACGATTATACAACTGGCCGGGCGCAGTGGCTCACACCTGTAATCCCAGCACTTTGGGATGCTGAGGCAGGTGGATCATGAGGTCAAGAGATGGAGGCCATCCTGGCCAACATGGTGAAACCACGTCTCTACTAAAAATACAAAAATTAGCTGGGTGTGGTGGCACACACCTATAGTCCCAGCTACTCGGGAGGTTGAGGCAGGAGAATTGCTTGAATCTGGGAGGCGGAGGTTGCAGTGAGCCAAGATCACGCCACTGCACAACAGCCTGGTGACAGAGCAAGATTCGGTCTCAAAAAAAAAAAAAAAGGCAATTATATGACTGCACTTGTGTATGTGTGTTTGATTCAATATTTCAAATGGTTTACATTACCTAAAATATATGCCCCCAAAGGCCTTAAACCTATACTCCCATTATGTTGTTCAGCACATTGAACAGGGTCTCTTCCATGCACTGTCTGTGTTATGCAAGAAACTACAAGATGCTTGTACGTCCCTCAAGATTTTTGGCATTATGAGTTGACTTTTCTTACGGGCACCATTCCAGTTATCCAGCAAATTTTAAGAACTTGGCACTTACATTTCTAATATATTGCTCAGAATACTGAATGAAGGACAAGAGGTCAAGGGGTTTAGAAGCTGTGGTGTTGAAGTACCATTTATAAGGTACCGAAACTACCAAAAGTCATGGCAGGGATAGTGTAAAGGGAGTGACTGTGATGCAGGCGCTGCATCTTCAGAGAATTAGGAGAGACTCAGGGGTCCCTACGTGGCTGCAGCAAGCAGGGCTGGTCTAGTCTAATGACATCAGAGTCAAAGCCAGAGACTAGAGAGTAGGGACACATAATGGTCTTAAGACAGCAAAGAGAATATCACATCCAGACCCAGGGACAGGGAGGTGAGTGTAGGAAGCATGGTTCACCAAAGGAAAACCAGGGTGCTATTACTAGAGTATTGTGGTATGGATGCTAGCTGCTGGGTGAGTGAGTGCCAAAGTGGTCTGAAGATTGCTTTTTTTTTTTTTTGAGACGGAGTCTTTCTCTCTGTTGCCCAGGCTGGAGTGCAGTGGCACCATCTTAGCTCACTGCAACCTCTGCCTCCCAGGTTCAAACAATTCTCCTGCCTCAGCTGGGATTACAGGCATGCGCCACCACAGCCAGCTAATTTTTGTATTTTTAGTAGAGACAGTGTTTCACCATGTTGACCAGGCTGGTCTCGAACTCCCGACCTCAAGTAATCTGCCCACCTTGGCCCCCCAAAGTGTTGGGATTACAGGTGTGAGCCACTGTACCCAGCTGATGGGATAGAAGATTTCTGAGGGAGGTGAACTGGGGGGTCTACATGGTAGACTAGAGGCAGGAGGGGGAAATAAATTACAGGTATAGCTGTAGACAGAGCTGAAAGGGGTAGGGGACAGGGGTAAGAGGACAAAGAGAAGCAAGGTATGGGTTTAGACATAGGGTCATTGAGGACTACGTCTTCACACATTTCATTTGTGTGTGGCCTGGCGCGCTCCTATGGGACCTTCAATTGGAAGCCTCAAGTCCTGTCACTGATACGTTGAACATGTTTGACAGATAGATTGTGACCACAATGCCACTTTACCTTGGTTACAGCTCTTTCACACTTGAATCAGTGGGGGTAATCTTCCCTAGCCCTTAGATGAACACTGCAGCAGGCCTTTAACATTCTCTCTTTTTCTTAGGTATTAAACAGTAGGGGCTCCTACTTGTAGCACAGAGTCTTAGCTGACACAGGAGACACAGTGGGCATTGGAGAATGGGTTCCAGGTAAGTGTCTTCTTGTTGAAGTTGCACAACAGCCTTGGAACTAGTTATGTAATATGGGGTCCGGGTTGTTTTTTGTTTGTTTGTTTGTCGCTCATATTTTCCTACATGTAGTCTGATCACTTGAATAATTAGGACATTAAATTGCAATATCATTTGGATGCACAAGTACAAAATTAACATTGTAGAGCTGACATCTCACAGTTTAGCTAAATTTTGGCATTTGCAGATTTTTAAAAGCATAACTGCAACTTCTTTGACACTTCTATCTTCAAGAGGTTGGGCTTGAACCTCTATGGCTCCTCCCCATGAGGGTGGGGTTGTGACTGCTTCCATCAAGAGAGTAGGGTGGAGTTATGTGACCTCCGAGGCTAGGACATAAAAGGCCACGAAGCTTCCTCCTTGTTTACTGGAATGCTTGCTCTTGGAGCCCTGAGCTGCCATGCAAGACTTCCAGCTACTCCAAGGCCACCATGGAGAAGCCTAGTTTAGGTGCTCCAGTTAGTCTGCAGCCCTAGTGCCCAAGTCATCCCAGTGCAGATGGCAGCTATGTGAGTGAATGAGCCTTGAGATCGGGGTTAGCCAACTTTTTATCTAAAGGGCCAGATTGCATGGCTTTGTGGGCCACATAATCTCTGTCACAATTACCAACATGAATGACTGTGTTTCGATAACGATTATTTGCAAAAAGAAGCCATAGGCCTGCAGGTTATAATTTACTTTACATGATTCTAATCCCCAACCATTTGAGCCTAAGGTCCCAGGCAGATATGGAGGAGCAAGGACAACCTATTTCCCCTGTGCTCTGTCCAAACCTCCGATCCACAGAATTCAGGAATCTAATAAAATGGCTGACATTTTACTCCCACTATGTTTGGGGTGGTATATCAAACACCGGTAGATAGCTGAAGAGTATTGTACAAGGCAGGCCTCAACAAGAAAGTGAGATTTGAGCTGACTTGGAGGAGAGCCAACTGGGAAGCTGTGTGTCTAGGGGAAGAGCATTTCAGGCAGAGAGAACAGCCAGTGCAAACCTTTGGGCGGAGGAGTGCTTGGTATATGTGAGCAATAGCAAGGAAATTGCAGGAGAACAGCTCTGCCGAGGTGTCCTTGGCAATCTTGCACATCTCTCGAGGCCATGTAGGCAAGGTATGACCACGGTCTGACCCAAGTCTTGTTGGACTGCCCTGTGATTTCCCCTAAAGCAGGGATGGGTAAGCCTGGTGAGGAGCCACTGGTAGGCAGTTTCCTATCCCTACCCCATGGGAGACTGCTGCAAGGCCATTTCTCTTCCTTCTCCAACGTTTCAGTTGACTGCAGGACTTTCCATATCCCTCCCTCCACCGCCCAGCCCGCTTCCCTCCAAGCATACAGCGGCAGGCTCCTGTGAAGTCTATAAAACTGCTTGGTGTAATTTAGACTTGGCTACTCAGCGGCAGGGCTCATGTTGTCTTATTTATTTATTTATTTATTTATTTATTTTTGTTAAATTATGTAGACCCATAGGATAACACTGACCCTTCCAGTTTGGTGTTATCTTGTAGGCCTAAGGATGCATGGAGCTGACACCACACTGATTTTGCTTTTGCTGTCGGTGTAAGTAATAACCTGTCTAAACCCATCTGGGCTGCCTGTCTCCTTCCCGTAGCCAAATCTACGGGAAGTGTCCAGCCAGTGTAGGGGTCAAGGGACCGCTTGACGAGACCAACGTAAATTGAAGAGGCGTAAGGAGATGAGGCCAAAGAGGAAAGGGGACCAGGTCACGTAGAACCTCGTAGACCACTGCAGAACCTTGGCTTACGTACGCAGAGACAGCAGGAACCACTGATAGGTTTAGGGAGATTTGAGGAGAGGGACATGATTTGGCTTATGTTATGTTGTTAAAGGGACCACATTAAAATACATTCATTCTAAAAGTGTTACCTTTAAGAAACTACGTATATAAATTAAGTTACTGTTGCCATTATTAGCGTAAGTAGTTACATTTCTCTTACGACTCACTCTCTGCTACTGCCTCTTGGACCCTGCACACCTTGTGGAGGCCCATGAGAGTGACGTGCTGTGGTTCCCCCTCTCCCCACTCCTGCTCTGCACTTTGTCATTCACGTTCATCTCCCTCCTTGAGTGTCACCTCTCTCTGGCTCGTCACGGAGCCACGGCAAAGCGTCCTTTCCCAGGAACCCCTCCCCCTGGGGAGGTGAGCTCCTCGCCGCCAGGGCCGTGTCGCGCACCTCGGGCCGGGTACCCAGGCGGCGCTCGGCGGCGAGCGGAATGGATGTGGAGGAGCGCTCGGCAGGGAGCGCTGCCGCCCTGGCCTTGGCCTCTGGGAGCGGCGCGGCCAGGGTTTTCTGTGTCAGCCAAGCCCGGAATGCGGGGGCGCCTCTGGACCCTCCTCTTGGGTCTGGGGGCTGCCTCGGGCATCCTCTACTCCTCTCCCACCTTCTGTCCTTCCCCATCTCCCACCCACACGTGTGGGGCCCCGGACCCGCGCAGCGGCCAGAGCCTTCCGCTGTGGACCTCCAGTCCACCCCTCCCCTTCACTTCTCTTTCCGGCTCCCTCCGGGTCTCTCAGCCCCCTCCCCTTCCTCTCCGCCCCCTTCCCCGCCGTCTGCCCAGCGGCGGCCTTCGGCCCGCCCCTTCTCTCCAACCCCCTCCCTTTCCCCTTTACGCCCCTCCTCCCCCTCGTCCTCCCGCCCCCTCCCACCCCAACCTGCTGGGCCCGCCGGGACTCGCCCCCCTGCCCGCTCCTCTCCTCCAGCCCCGGCCGGCCTCGGCTCGGCCCCCGGCCCGCCCCTTCCAGCCCTCGGCACCTCCCGCCGGCCGCTTGGCTCCGCCACTCGGCACTCACTGCCCGGGCCGCCCGGACAGGGAGCTTCGCTGGCGCGCTTGGCCGGCGACAGGACAGGTTCGGGACGTCCATCTGTCCATCCGTCCGGAGAGAAATTACAGATCCGCAGCCCCGGGATGGGGCCGGCCCCGCTGCCGCTGCTGCTGGGCCTCTTCCTCCCCGCGCTCTGGCGTAGAGGTGAGTGCGCCCGGCTGGGGGCCAGGCGAGGGGGTGGGGGCTCCCAGGAGGAAGCAGGGGCCTCTGGGGAGGGAGCGCGTCCACAGGGGCGCGCCTGGCTGCTGGACAAGTTTGCAAACACCCTCCACCCACTGCGGTGCCAGAGGAGGGGGCGTAGGCGAACCTACCGTCCACTGACCGCGGCGCCTCAAGCGTCCCGAGGGCACCCAGCCTGGCTTGCGGGTGCGCATCGTGGTGAAGCCGGGTCGGGGTCGGCGTTGCAGGCTCCCCTCTTCACCGCAGAGGAGGAAATCGAGCTCGGCCGGGCGCGCTGCAAGTCCTGAAGTTCCGACGAGTGGAACGTAGGTAGCAGGTCTGGTCTGGGATGCGACGAGAACTTTCCACTAGAGTTGCATGGTGGGGCCCCGCTCTGGCCGGAGTCCCGGGGGCCACAGATCCGGTCTCCCGAGGGACCGGCGCGGGGCGAACGAACGGGCTGCGGGAGTCGGAGCCGCAGTCCGGGAGCCGCGATAGACTGAGGCCGAGCGACGGGCCAGGGGGGGACGGCAGTCCTGGCTGCTCCCAATGGGCCCTTACGGGCATTATTAGTATCCCTTTTTAGGGGCACCCAGAGAGTGTGGGAAAAGGGGAGCGTTCTTTTCACTCCTGTTATGGCAGAACAGAACTTACAGTGCTCGGCAGCGTTTACGTTTATCTGGATTCAGCGAAGTGTTGTTACAGGCTTTTTTTTTTTTAATTTGAGACCGAGTCTCGCCCTGTCGCCCAGGCTGGAGTGCCGCGGCGCGATCTCGGCTCACTGCAGGCTCCGCCTCCCGGGTTCAAGCGATTCTCCTGCCTCAGCCTCCCGAGTAGCTGAGACTATAGACGCGCGCTACCACGTCCGGCTAATTTTTGTATTTTTAGTAGAGACGGGGTTTCACCATGTTGGCCAGGATGGTCTCGATCTCTTGACCTCGTGATCTGCTCTCCTTGGCCTCCCAAAGTTCTGGGATTACAGTCGTGAGCCACCGCGCCCGGCTTGTTCCAGGCATTTTAATACAAGATGCTGGACTGATACGTGGAGGCAAGGAAGGCCGGTTTCATTCTGCTTGAACAGCTTATTTGGGGAGTGAGTGATGAACAGATTTCAAGTTTGATCGCTGATGCACTTCTTGAGGAGGCTGGAATAAACTTACCAGGCTTTACCCAAAAGAAAAAGAAAGGGGAAAAATGCTAAATAAACACATTCCAAGTATTTTCTCTCAGCTAAAAGGTTTCTATTTCCATTCAGCATGTAGATTTTCTCTCTTTTGATCGAGAATGCACTTGACTAGCCTTCACCTATTACAGTCAAAGATGTTTTTTAGGAATACCTGGAAAGCTCAGTTTATAGTCAAGTAAGTTACTTAAAAGTTTTTCCTTTGAGATTTTCCTTTGAAAGCTCATTTACTCAAATGAAAAATTCTTAAACAGTGCACCCACTTTTTGCACGTTAAATTACATAAGCAATTTATAATTTGGGGCAACATAGCAATTTGAAACAAACTTTAAGAGCCAGGCAAAGAACTAAAGCAGTTCTGTTCTCCACTGCCCCTCCCTCCACCAAACCTTCAAAAATTCCTCAGCATTTCTGCCAGCCCCATTTTTCATAATCTGCTGCAAATCTGTTATTTGTTGCTACTAGTGAGGACTGGCCGTGAATAGTCTTGGAGGTAGTGAATGTGGTGAGAACTATGGAGAAAGTAATGGGAACAATAGTTTTGTGTTAAATACTTAAAAATTGGAGTGCTTTTGTTTTTCTAAAATTTTAAAAGGCTGTAATAACAAATTTTTGTAGCTGACAATCAACTTTAATCAGACAATCATAAAAAGGCCTTTTAAAATCCACCCAGCTGGAAGAATGAAAAGTTTCACCAATCGTTCTTGCACTTTTTGCTTTTGGTTTTGAACTTTACCTATGAGATGTGTGACAGTTTTACATCTCACCTTGTGAAAAGCTTAAAGAATGGGATTCTCACTGGCAGAATTACAGCACAAAGGAGTGCTGTATGAAGAAATTAAACATGGAAATTAGACTCTTCATCTAATTTTAAGATTTTCCTATTACACATTGTGGGTCTGAGTGCTTTGCTGACCACACAGGGGAGACAGAGAGAGAGACAATGAGAATATGTGTGTAGATTCTACACTGTTAGCAGTATAGAAGAATGGGTAAATAAAATTTAAGCATCACTTTAACCCAGGAAATCCCCTCTGCCCCCCAACACACATACACACTACACGTCTCACAAAGACATGCACACACAGAACTGGAACTGCCAAACCAGGAGCATTTCGAGGCTTTCCAGTCTTTCCTTTCTGCTCAGTCTCTGATGGGGGTGCCATTGAGCAGCAAAATGAGGCAAGCGGTGGCTCTCTGAAGGGCCAGGGAGAGGATGGAGCAAGATAAATATAAATGTGGATAAAAATGAATGCATTATGAGGACTTAGCTCATGACGAGGCTGTGTGTGCAGCTAAACTCAACCCTTAGAGTAAATTAGGCTTTTAAGATTCTTTAATGTTAATATTTCTTTTCCAAACTGATATTGTAACATGTATTCCAGTATATTGTAAACATCTTCCCAGAGGGAACTTTTAAGTTGTTCTGTTGCTTGTGGGCTTTATTCCAAAGGCTTCAAATGCTTTTTGAAAGTACATCGTGCATATTTTAAAAATGAATACTTTTAGAAAATTATTCTGACCCATTAAAGTGCTGAGTGGAATTCTTTTCTTTTCTTTCTTTCTTTTTTTTTTTTTTTTGGCAGGTTCTCATTCTGCCACCCAGGCTAGAGTGCAGTGGCACCATCACGGCTCACTGCAACCTCAACCTTCCGGGCTCAAGTGATCCTCCCACCTCAGCCTCCCAAGTAGCTATGACCACAGGCACATACCACCATGCCTGGCTAATTTTTTATTTTTTGTAGAGACAGGATCTCACTATGTTGCCCAGGCTGGTCTTGAACTCCTGGGCTCAAGCGATCTTCCCACCTTAGCCTCTCAGAGTGTGGGGATTATAGGCATGAGCCACCATGCACAGCTGAATACAATTTTTAAAAAATTAACAATAATTATGTTTTTTTGTTTTTGAGATAGAGTTTCACTCTTGCTGTCCAGGCTAGAGTGCAATGGCACAATCTCGGCTCACCGCAACTTCCCGCCTCCCGGGTTCAAGCAGTTCTCCTGCCTCAGCCTCCTGAGTAGCTGGGATTACAGGCATGCACCACCACGCCTGGCTAATTTTGTATTTTTGGTAGAGACAGGGTTTCTCCGTGTTGGTTAGGTTGGTCTCGAACTCCCAACCTCAGGTGATCTGCCTGCCTTGGCCTCCCAAAGTGCTGGGATTACAGGCATGAGCCACCACACCCAGCCAATAATTATATTTTTAAATCTTAATTTTTGAAATAATTTCCAGATAATTGTAGAAGGGCCAGTGAGTTACTAGTCAGCATTGGTCAAGAAGAGGTTCAATCTTTTTATGCCTGTGAATTGGGAACATGCTGCTGGGTAGAAAAACTGAGCTGGGACCTTGAACACACATGTGAAACAGTCGCTTTCCATATAATAGCCAGAATGAGATTTTGGAAACGAATCTGATTGTATTTTCCATTTGAAAATCTTCCAGTGGCTTCCTGTTCCCTACTAGAATTTGCAGAGACTCACAGCGAACCTCTTTGACCCATTTCCATTCACTTCCCTCTTGTTCCTACCACTCCAGCCACCTGTGTCTTCTTTCTAGGGCCTGAGCAGCCTTTGCAGTGACTCTTCCCTCTGGCTGGAACCTTTTTCCCAAGATCTCGGCATGCTGGCTTCTTCTCATCCTTTGGGTTTCAGTTCAGAGGTTCTCCTTGAGAAGCCTTCCCCAATAACCACCCCCTGCCAAAGTATCATATGCATACACCCCACTATCCCTTAAATTTAATTTCCTGATAATGCTTCTCACAACCTGATCAGTTCCTTCCTTCCTTCCTTCCTTCCTCCCTCCCTCCCTCCCTCTATTTCTTTATTGACAGAGTCTTGCAATGGCAAATTCTCTGCTCACTGCAACCTCCGCCTCCCAGGTTCAAGCAATTCTCCTGCCTCAGCCTTCCCAGTAGCTGGGATTACAGGCACCTGCCACCACAGCTGGCTAATTTTTGTATTTTTAGTAGAGACAGGGTTTCACCATGTTGGCCAGGCTGGTCTCGAACTCCTGACCTCAGGTGATCCGCCTACCTCAGCCTCCCAAAGTGCAGAGATTACAGGCGTGAGCTATGGCACCCAGCCTTACCTCTTTGTTTACTCCTTTTCCTCCACTGTCCCCCCACCACAAGGTAAGCTCCTGGTGGCAGGGCTGCTGTCTTTTTCACTGCTAACACAGCATGGAGCTCATACGGGTGCTCAGTGAGTATCAGAGCACAGCATGAAGGAACCAAGCCCCTGCATGTCTTACCAGGTGCTCTTCACCCTTATCTTTTCCTACTGGCTTTTCCAGAAACAGAATTGCTGGAGCTCCCATGCCCTCACATTCGGGGCTTGGTTAATAGAAAACAATCTTTTATTTTGCTGTGATGCCAATGTGATTTCATTGCTGGAGGAGCTAGTCAATTAAAACCAGACAGATTTTTGGGCTGTATTAACCCCAAACATATTTTACATTGTCCTAACTATTCCAACTAGAAAAAAAAATGTCAGAAGGTAATTTTTCATGTTAAACACAGTTCTAACAACTCCTTGCTCAGGGGCAGGTAGCCCTGGGTGCCTTGACTTTGGCCCTTGCCGTTAGTTTAATCTTAACCCAAAGCACATGGCTCTGAATTGGTATGTTTCTCAGCAGGAGATTAATTATTATAAAAACTGAAAGGGGTCTCACACTGTGTGAGGCACACTATGCCTCTGGGGACTGGAATGAAAGTGTTAACCGGGACTGGCTTCTGGGGCTTTGGGGGTGGTGATTAACTTTCAGGACCTCTGTTCCTTTTTGGGTACAGTGGGAGGCTCTTTTCATAGAATTGTTAGGAGGACGTAATGAGCTAATGGCAGGTGATATGTGCTTAAAATATATTTGCCATTATTACCAATGGTTCTCCTCCATTCTTCTGAACTCAAGTATGGGGGAAATGTTTTTCCTAGACAAAAGGTGTTGGGAGGAGGGTTCTTTTCTTATTGAAGTGTATCCTGAATGGTCCACCCTCCATTGTTCAGAATGCTTTGGTGAAGGGGCCCTCCGGTGTCGCCCTAGAGTGCCCAAGTCCTTTGCTGCAGCTCTTTAGGTTTTTGTTTCCTAGTAGTTTGAGCAAAACCCACCCAGGACCAAGCAGTTCTCCAGAGAAGCAGGGCCCGCCCTGACTGCCATTCCCCTCCTACTCCTGCCCCCATACCTTCCCTTATGGAGTTCAAACTTGACATAGTACAGGAATAGCTTCTTGTCATGTGCCTCTCAGGAAGGTATAAAAATGAAGTCCAGTTCCTGTTCAACTTTTCCCACATAACTCTTTTCCAAACTGGGTGTGGTTTAAATTTTTTTATTTTTATTTTTTGTGTTTGTTTTGTTTTAGGGTTTTTGAGTGTGAACATCCAGAAAATTCTTTTTTTTTTTTTTGAGATGGAATCTTGCTCTGTCGCCCAGGCTGGAGTGCATGTGGCGCGATCTCGGCTCACTGCAACCTCCGCCTCCTGGCTTCAAGCAATTCTCTGCCTCAGCCTCCCAAGTAGCTGGGATTACAGGTGCCCTCCACCAGACCTGGCTAATTTTTGTATTTTAAGTAGAGACGGGGTTTCACCGTGTTGGGCAGGCTGGTCTTGAACTCCTGACCTCGCGATCCACCCACCTCGGCCTCTCAAAGTGCTGGGATTACAGGAGTGAACCACCTCACCCAGCTCAGAAAATTCTTTTCCTTTTTACCACATCGAGCTAGGTTTTCCCAATGAGGTCAGTTGGCTGCAACATAGAGAAAATGAGGCTTTGGTTCTTAGAGTAGATTCCGTGTACAGGCGTGAGTATGTGTCCGCAGGTGGTCTTGTAGGAAATGCAAAGGGCGCCAGGTGCACTCCTGGCTTCTGGTACTTCCTGCTTAATGGCATGGGTGAGCCAACCCTCAGGTGCCCGGGAGGGAGCCCTGATTACTCTCCCTCTGGCACTCTGGGCATTGGCTAACCCGTGACCGGAGTTAAACCAGTTCCCTCTCTTTTCATTCTATGTCTCCCACTCCTGCCTCCAGCCGAAGTGCTAAAAATGCAGCCTGGCAGGGGCAGAGAATTCCATTAGGATCAGCAGGCCCCTTTTGGAGAACAAGGATACTAAGAATACCTGCCATCCTGGCACTTCCTCCCTCCTAGGCCTTACTTTTCTCTGTCTGAACCATGGCTGTTGAACTGGGTGATTCTTAGCCACAGGAAGGGAGGGCCTAGATCTTCCCTAGTTTTGTGAGACTCTGCAGCTGGACAGCCATCCCTTCATGGGAGCTGCCACATTTTCACTCTCGGGGCCTCTGACAGGCACTAGGATCTAGGGACATGGCCGGCATGTGAAACCCTGGGCTGCTATGGCCAGGTCACCTCCTCAGGTCCTGGTGTTTCAGAGTGATAAAGAAGAAAGGGTGATTATGTCTCAAACATTTCATTGAGAAACCTACACTGTTCTTTTTTTTTTTTTTTTTTTTTTTGACATGGAGGCTCACTCTGTCACCCAGGCTGGAGTGCAGTGGCGCGATCTCAGCTTACTGCAGCCTCCTGGGTTCAAGCGATTGAACCCAGGGTTCAACCTCCTGGGTTCAAGCGGTTCTCCTGTCTCAGCCTCCCGAGTAGCTGGGATTACAGGCACCCATTACCACACCCAGCTAATTTTTGTATTTTTTAGTAGAGACAACGTTTCACAATGTTGGCCTGGCTGGTCTCGAACTCCTGGCCTCAGGTGATTGGCCCACCTCAGCCTCCCAAAGTGCTGGGATTATAGGCGTGAGCCACCGTGCCCAGCCAGAAACCTACACTCAATTCTAAAGCATTTTATTTCATCCTTCTTGGCTAGTTCTTCAATTATCAGTGCTTCTTTCACTCAATGGTAAATGGATTTTCCATGAGTCTTGGAGGTGGCAGGCAGGGAGAAGGGGCAGAAGGAAAGAGAAAGAGAGAACAGATGTTGGCTTTATGTTTGGAATAAAATTACACCAAAAGCTAAGAACATTTATATTTGTGCTTAGAGAAACCCCATTTCATTTCAGAAGCTCAATGCCTGGATTTTTTTGCCAGCACATTTTACACTTGTATGTTTCTCCTTGTACTCTGTGCCTCCATGTATTTCTGTTGGTCCCTTGAAAACAAGATCCAATCATCACAGGGTTAGTGCTCTGCCCTAGGTCACTCCAGTAGGGGTCCATCCTCCGGATTTAGATCTCAGGTTGGCACTTATGCAAATGCTTTCTGACAGGTCCCCTTTTTTGTGTAATCTGCTTTTTCTTTGAGGATCTAGATACCTCAGCATTCAGGGACAGTAAACATCTTAGAACTTGCCTTAGCTGTGGTCTTGCCTCTCATTAGATACACAAAGAAAAGCCTTGTTTATTTTGGAGAAGGAATTGTTTTGTTATTTTAAGCCTTAGGGCCTTGTGGTTAGAGCTACCAATAGTAGATTGGCTTCATTATGGTTTTGAAAATGATCACTTTCACAAGTAAGAACAGGCTGTCTTAGTGGAGAATATTAGAACAGAGACTCAAACTTAACTGAAAGTTGTTTTCTGTCACTGTGCCGCTTAGGGAATTCTCAGTGCGGTGATAAATATTCATGGACTTCCCAAGTGTTGTGTGTGCCTGGAGGCCAGTTTTTCACTTGTTCCAATTAACGGCAGGCTGCCTCCACACAGGAAGTGAAACCAGCCTTTAAGCCTTTTTACAATTCTGGCACATGATTTGAAGATTTGGTGATGAAAGCAATGTTCTTTGAAAGTTTTGGAGCAAATAAAAAAAAGAAGCTTTTTAGATTCACTCTTAGTTTAAAAAATAACCACTTGGGGAGTTGAAAGATGTAAGTTCTCATCCTAGCTTTGAGAGGAACCTGCAGGGACAGCTGGGGTATAGTGTGTCCTCCTTCTAAAACTCCACATCCTCACTTGTCAAATGGGAAAGCAGATGGATGATTCTAGGCCCCTTTGGGGCAGAACACTGATTCCATCTAAAGGGGAGAGGTGGGAAGGGATACTTTCTCCCATGCCGTTTGGGACACAGAGCCTCAGCCTGAGTTTGACCCTCAGCCCTGTGCGTGACTCTCGGTGTGAACTTTCTTAGACATCAGCCCAGAAACGGAGATGGAGGCTGTGTGAAGAGTTTCATTAAAAATGAGTGATGCAGCCAGGTGCGGTGGCTCACGCCTGTAATCCCAGCACTTTGGGAGGTCAGGGTGGGTGGATCACCTGAGGTCAGGAGTTTGAGACCAGCCTGACCAACATGGTAAAACCCTGTCTCTACTAAATACAAAAAATTAGCCAGGCGTGGTGGCGCATGCCTGTAATCCCAGCAACTTGGGAGGCTGAGGCAGAAGAATCACTTGAACCCAGGAGGCGGAGGTTGCAGTGAGCCGAGATTGTGCCACTGCACTCCAGCCTGGGCAATAACAGTAAAACTCCGTATCAAAAAAAAGAGTGATGCTAGTGGGTTCTTTGCTGTTGACAGTTGCCATTCCCTGCCACCTGGGCTGTCTGTTCCTCCAGTAAGTACCCCCTCCAACTCTGGGGCAATAGAATAGTCTGGAAACATGGAGGTATATTTCTGAGAATATTGGATCTCCCCAAACACATATGACCTCTTCCTGCTAAATCTTCTGAGAGACAGAGGGATGGACTAAGCTTTTTCCGGGGTGGATGGAGTGGGGCATATCCCCCCTGAGGGGGAACAGCAGAATCTTCAGGATCAGGGAGAATGATGTCATTTTCAAAAGTTTATTCATTCAATATTATTATGTCATTTTATAATTGGAAATTTAAAAAATATTTTGTGATATAAACTGTAGAATGCAACGCTCTTAAATATTCTGGCTGGGAAGATAAGGATAAAGACAATGATTCATGACAGGGGTTCTCAAGAAGAGGTATGCTTCAGAACTACCTAGGAAGCATTTTCGCAAGGTAGAAGCTCAGGTTCCCAGGACCCGTGGACTCAATCTTTGGGGCTGTGGCCCTGCCTTGTGTATGTCCAAGCTATTCTGTGCCACCTCTTTCGTTACACTCCACTGATGCAGTATATCTGATGTCTGATTCTTGGGCAGTGGTGGGGAGCCTCTCTCTATTACCCCATCCCAGGAGGGGTATGTATCAGAACCTGGCCATTGAGGGTAGGAGTAAGCTAATTATGCTTATCCAAGGGAGGTGGCAATTCCTAGACAAAGTGAGAATGTTGAGCTGGATGATTCATTAAGCCAAGTGCCCTTAGGATTTTAGGACCTGTTGGTGGAAAGAGATACAGCTAATCAGGTGGGCCAACCAGTAAATAGTAAGGCCTTTCCCTTTTTACCATTATATTTTTTCCTCTCAGCTACTCTTTATACTCACATCTTATTATAAAATATTTAGGATACACAAAAGGATTTAACAGGTAATAAAACTCGCCTGTGTACTCACTACTTGACGTAAGAAGTCAGACATTAACACTACAGTGGAAGTCCCCGGTCGTTCCTCTCTCCAGTGTCATCCCCTCACTCCCACCCAGAGAAAACCATTATCCCACATTGGGTGTTTCAATTCCCATGCATGTCTTTATCCTTTGATCATGATTGACATGATTATGTTGGTAACACTCTATAGTGTTGTTTTGCACCATGTCAGTTACATTTGATTGCATATAACAGAAAACCTTACTTCAGTGGTGTAACCAAAATGGGAGTATTTTTCTCATACAACAAGCAGTCTGACAGCAACCAGGTTGGGATTAGACAGTGGCTCCATGATAAAGTCAATGACCTGGCTCTTGGCTCTGACATCTATAGTGTATGCTTTTAGAACACATTGTTCCTTAAATGGCTGCTGTGCTTCTGGGCATTTCATTTGCATTCCAGGCAGAAAAAAGCAGAAGGGAAAAGGACAAAAAGTCTCATACCAGCTGAGTCTGTCCTTTTTATCAAGAAGGTGACTGGAACATCTCAACAGCAAAAAACAAGCAATCCGATTAAAAAATGAACAAGTGATCTAAACATATTTCTCAAAAGAAGAAATACAAATGGCTAACAGATAAATATATGAAAAAATGCTTAACATCACTAATCATCAGGGAGATGTAAACCAAAATTACAACCTGGTTTCATTTCATTGCATTTAGGATGGCTATGTCAAAAAGGCAAAAAATAACAAATGCTGGCAAAGGTGCAGAGAAAAGGGAACTCATACACTGCTGGTGGGGATTTAAACTATCACAGCCACTATTGTGGCAGGCCAGGTCTCGGTAACGCAGGCCTCTGTAACAACTGTTTCAGCACTGAGTGGTTAAGTTAAATATTAAAAGCTAATAGAGCCGGTGCCCTCATACAAAGGCTGGAATGTAATGAAAGCCCACCAGAAGTTTTGCCCAGGCCTTTCCTGGGCCTTGACTCATGACAAGATAACAAAGGAATTCTTAACAGGCCTCATTTAGGATTAAACAAGTTTTACTGGGGATCTTAAGAAATTCCCCAGACCTCCACAAACAAGTTTATTGGGGGTCTGAAGGAACTCCTCAAACCTCCATGATTTAGCGGGAGACAAGATAATAAGGATAATCACCCCAGCACCTGGATTCACTTAGATTAAGTACATTTACTGAGGCTCCAGAAGAAGGTCCTCAGGACTCAGACCTTAGTTATAGATTAGAAGAAGTTAATCACTTATGTCTTTAAATGAATGCACACTTCCATGTAGACATATAGCTTAGAAGGTATATAATCCCTGGAAAACGTAATTTTGAGTTGATGTGGTGATGTTTTCCAGGCCTTCTCCCTGTACCCAGGGAGAAATAAACTCCCTTCTTTCCCAGTTCATCTGCATCTCATTATTGGGCATGAGAATAAGCAGCCCAACCCTCAGTTCGGTCCGGGAACACTATGAAGAATGGTATGGAGGTTCCTCAAAAAACTACAGATGGAACTACCATATGATCCTGTAATTGCACTACTGGTCATTTATCCAAAAGAAAGGATATCAGTATATCAAAAAGACATCTGCACCCTCATGTTTAATATAGCACTATTCACAATAGCCAAGCTAAGGAATCAGTCTAGGTGTCCATCAACGGATGAATGGATAAAGAAAATGTGGTATAAGCTTTGGCAACATGGCAAGACCTGGTCTCTACTAGAAATAAAAAAATTAGCTAGACATTGTGGTGCATGCCTATGGTCATAGCTGCTCAGCAGGCTGAGGTGGGAGGACTCCTTGAGCCCAGGAGTTTGAGACTGTACTGAGCTATGATTGCCTTACTGCACTCCAGCCTGGGCAACAGAGTGAGACCCTGTCTCTGTTTTTTGTTTTTTTTTTTTTGAGACAAAGTCTCGCTCTTGTCCCCCAGGCTGGAATGCAGTGGCATGATCTCAGCTCACTGCAACTTCTGCCTCCTGGGTTCAAGTGATTCTTCTCCCTCGGCACCCCGAGTAGCTGGGATTACAGGCGCCTGCCACCACGCCTGGCTAATTTTTGTATTTTTATTTGAGATGGGGTTTCACCATGTTGGCCAGGCTGATCTCGAACTCCTGACCTCAGGTGATCCACCCGCCTCAGTCTCCCAAAGTTCTGGGATTACAGGCATGAGCCACCTCACCCGGCTGACCCTGTAACTTAAAAAAAAAGTGTGTGTGTGTGTGTGTGTATATATATATATATATACAAATGGAATACTATTAAATATTTAGCCATAAAGTAATGAAATCCTGTCATTGGTAGCAACATGGATGGAACTGGAAGACATTTGGTTAATTAAAACAAGCCAGAAACAAAGTTAAACACCACATGTCCTCACTCATAGGTGGAAGCTAAACAAAAAAGTTGATTTTGTAGAAGTAAAAAGTAGGACAAAGGTTACTAGGGCCTGGAAAGGATAGGAGGAAGGGGAGGATAGGAAGAGATTTGTTAAAGAATTCAAAATTACAGCAAGATAGGAGGGATAAGTTTAGTGTTCCATAGCACTGTAGGATTACTATAGTTAACAGTAATGTGTAATGTGCTCCATAGATATGTACAATTATGTTAATTAAAGCAGCTTTTAAAAAAGAAGGTGATAACTCAATACGAAGCCCTATGCTATGGACTTCAGCTAACCTTTCCCTGATTATTCCAAGCTGCCAGGAAGAGTGGCAAGTCAAGTGTGCTAGCTGGGCAAGTTGCCACCCTGAATGAGATTGGGTCCCCTTTGTGGAAACAAGGGGAAATGGGTGCTGAGCAGGACGCTAGCAGCAGCTTACCACATACATGTTATAAAATTTCATATAAATAGTATGCTTTCTTCTTCAGCTTGCTTTTTCACTGTTTGTGAAGTTTGCTAAATTCATCTGAGTTGAAAAGTGTAACCTTTGTTCATTTATCTTCATAGACAAATATGTAAATATACCATAGTTTTATTTATCCAATCTCCTCCTTTTGTTTTTTTGTTTTCTTTCTTTTTTTTGAGACAGAGTCTCACTCTGTTGCCCAGGCTGGAGTGCAATGGCGCTATCTCAGCTCACTGCAACCTCCGCCTCCTGGGTTCAAGTGATTCTCCTGCCTCAGTCTCCCGAGTAGTTGGGATTACAGGTGCACACCACCATGCCCAGCTAATTTTTGTATTTTTAGTAAAGATGGGGTTTCACCATGTTGGCCAGGCTGGTCTTGAACTCCTGACCTCCAGTGTGATCTGCCCGTCTCAGCCTCCCAAGTGCTGGGATTACAGGCATGAGCCATAGCGCCCAGCCTTTTTTTTTTTTTTTTTTTTTTTTTTTGAGTTGGCTGTTGCCCAGGCTGAAATGCAGTGGTGCCATCATAGCTCACTGGAGCCTAAACTCCTGGGCTCAAGTGATCCTCCCACCTCAGCCTGTTGAGTAGCTAGGACTACAGGTGCATGCCAACACAGCCAGCTGTTTCTTAACTTTTTTGTAGAGATGAGGTTTTGCCACATTGTCGAGGCTGGTCTCTAACTCCTGGGGTCAAGTGATCCTCCTGCCTCGGCCTGCCAAAGTGTGGGGATTACAGACATGAGCCACTGTGCCTGGCTTCCAATCGCTTTATTTATTTATTTATTTATTTATGACGGAGTCTCACGCTGTCACCCCGGCTGGAGTGCAGTGGTGCGATCTCGGCTCACTGCAACCTCCACCTTCCAGGTTCAAGTGATTCTCCTGCCTCAGCCTACCAAGTAGCTAGGATTACAGGTGCCCACCACCATGCCCAGCTAATTTTTTTTTTTGTATTTTTAGTAGAGATGGGGTTTCACCATGCTGGCCAGGCCGGTCTTGAATTCCTGACCTCATGATTTGCCCACCTCGGTCTCCCAAAGTGCTGGAATTACGGGCATGAGCCACCACACCCGGCCCCAGTTGCCTCTTAATGGGCATTTAGGTTTTCCTGAATTTTTCTATTACAAACAACGTTGCCATGAACATTATTCTTTTCTATTGTGAGGTTTCCTTTGCCATAATTAAATGTGCAGATTTTAAGTGTGGAGTCTGATGAGTTTTAATAAATATAGGTATCAAAACCCCTATCCAAGTTAAGAGCCCTTAACCTTCTTACATGTCTCCCTATGGACATGTGTGAGTCTAGGAGTGGAAACACTGAGTTGTAGGTTATATGCAATTTCAGCCCCATTATATGTTGCCAGTCCTGCACATCTTATAGGCAGGTTATTGCCATGGGAGATCTGGACTAAGATATTTCTTCCCAAGAGTACTCTAAACAGATCTGAGAATACTCCTCAGGGCAGGTTGCAACTAGATTGTGAAGTGAGTGATGCAACTGGCTCTTTCGCCACTCATGCTTATCATTCAGTGCCCCATCCTCACCCTTGGCTGTCACACACTGGAGCCTTCCCTCAGTTCAACCCTCAGAACCACCTGCAACCCAGGGCTCAGTAGCTGGGGCTTGTATGTGGACTGCAAGGTTAGGGTAGTTGGTGGCTGTGAGAAGCCCTCTTCATTCCTTCCTAGCCATGGAGAGCTGGGCAAGTCGTTTAGCATCTGGGAACCTCAGGATCCTCATCTATGAACTGGGGACAATTCCAGTGATACACCCTTCACAGGATTAGAGAAGACTGTCTAGGTAAAAGGCCTGGCGAAAGGTGAAAAAGTTTCTGTGTGGGTTGATACAGGTACTGGGTCCTTTGCTTTTTACCCAGTAGAAGATATTGAACATAGATTTGTAACATTGCTTAAAGGACCTCTATGCCAGGAATCAAGGACAAAGGCCAAATATATACTTTGAAATTATACTACAATCTGTATATCAATTTGGGGAGAATTGATATTTTTTCTAGGTTGAGATTTCCAATTTATGAACACAGTATATCTCTCCATTTAGTTATATCTTCTTGTATTTCTTTCATCAGTGTTTTGTTGTTTTTAGCAGAAGAGTTCTGTATGTGCTTTGTTAGATTTATACCTAAGTATTTCACCATTTGGAGTGATTGTAAATGGTATTGTATTTTTAATTTCAATGTCTATGTGTTTATTGCTTCATATGTAGAAATACAATAATTTGTATCTTGCAACCTTGATAAAATAACTTATTTGTTCCAAGGAGACTTTTTTATAGATTCCTTGGAATTTTCTTTTTTTTCTTTTTCTTTTTTTGAGATGGAGTCTCACTCTGTCACCCAGGTTGGAGTACAGTGGTGCAATCTCAGCTCACTGCAACCTCCGCCTCCAGGGCTCAAGCGATTCTTGTGCCTCAGCCTCTGGAGTAGCTGGGATTACAGGCGCATGCCACCACCATGCCTGGCTAATTTTTTTGTATTTTTGATAGAGGTGGGGTTTCACCATTTTGGCCAGGCTGGTGTTGAACTCCTGACTTCAGGTGATCCACCCACCTCAGCCTGCCAAAGTGCTAGGATTACAGGCATGAGCCACTGTGCCTAGCCTTCCTTGGAATTTTCTATGAAGATAATCATATCTGCAAGTAGCAATCCTTTTATTTTCTTCTTTTCTGATCTTTTCTTTCTGATGTGTTTTACTTCTTTTACTTGCTTTATTGCATTGGTTACAACTTTCAGCACGGTGTTGAATAAGAATGGGGAAAGCAGATATCCTTGCCTTGTTCCCATCCATTTTTTTTTTCAGATCTTTATTAAGTTGAGGATGTGCCCCTCTTTTCTTTCTTTCTTTCTTTCTTTCTTTTTTTTTTTTTTTTTTTTTTGAGATGGAGTCTCCTCTGTCACCCAGGCTGGAGTGCAGTGGCACGATCTTGGCTCACTGCAACCTCTGCCTCCCAGGTTCAAGTGATTCTCCTGTCTCAGCCCCCAAGTAGCCAGGACTACAGGTGTGCACCACCACGCCCGGCTAATTTTTGTATTTTTGTTTGTTTGTTTGAGACAGAGTCTTGCTCTGTGGCCCAGGCTGGAGTGCAATGGTGCAATCACGGCTCACTGCAAGCTCTGCCTCCCGGGTTCATGCCATTCTCCTGCCTCAGCCTCCCAAGTAGCTGGGACTGCAGGTGTGAGCCACTGCGCCCGGCCTAATTTTTGTATTTTTAGTAGAGACAGGGTTTCACCATGTTGGCCATGCTGGTCTTGAACTCCTGACTTCAGGTGATCTACCTGCCTTGGCCTCCCAAAGTGCTGGGATTACAGGCATGAGCCACCATGTCTGGCTTCTTCCTAATTTTCTTAGAGGGTTTTTTTTCCCCCATGAGCGAATATTGAATTTTGTTAAATGAACAATATGATCATGTGATTTTTATTTTTTTAGTCTGTTAGTATGCTGGATGACATTGTCTGATTTTCAAATACTGAACTAGCTTTCTATCCATGGCATAAATTCCACTTGATTGTGGTATATAATTATTTTTATATATTGGTGAGTTCTATTTGTTGATATTTTGTTAATAATTTTTTTGTGTTTATATTCATGAAGAATGTTGATCTGTTTTTTCTGTATTTTTGTCTGGTTTTGGTATCAGAGCAATACTAGCTTCATAAAATATATTAGGAAGTTCCACCCTCTCTTCTAATTTCTGAAGGAGATTATGTGGAATTGGTGTTAATTCTTCTTTAAGCATTTGGCATAATTCTCCAATGAAACCATCTGGGCCTGGAGATTTGTTTTTCGGTAGTTTAAAAAATTATGAATTCAATTTCCTTAATAGTTATAGCCTGATTCAAATTATCTATTTCATGTGGGGTACATTGTGATAGTTTATGTTTTTTGAAGATTTAATTCACTTCCTCTATGCTACCAAATTCATGTGTGGTTATTTGTACTATTCACTTATCCTTTTGATGTCTGCAGAGTCTATGGTGATTTCCCCTGTTTTATTCCTGATATTAACAATTTGTCTTCTCATTTTTTTCTTTGTTGGTCTTGTTAGAGGTTTGTTAATTTTATTGGTCTTTTCAAAGAATTTGTTGTTTGTTTCATTGATTCTGTATTGCTTTTTTTTTCATTTTCTTTTTTTATCTATTATTTTCTTCTTTCTGCTTGTTTTGGGTTTATTTTGCTCTTTCCCTGTGTTCTAAACTTAAATGATGGATTTGAGACTTTTCCTCTATTTTAATACTATAAATTTTCCCCAGCACTGCTTTAGCTGTATCCCACAAATTTTGACATGTTGCGTTTTTATTTTCATTTAGTTCAACGTATTTTTTAAAATTTTTTTCTTGACACTTCTTTGACCCATGGACTATTTAGAAGTTTAGTTTGCGGCTGGGCGTGGTAATCCCAGCACTTTGGGAGGCTGAAGCGGGTGGATCACCTGAGGTCAGGAGTTCGAGACCAGTCTGACCAACATGGTGAAACCTCATCTCTACTAAATACAAAAAATTAGCCAGGCTTGGTGGCACGTGCCTGTAATCCCAGCTATTTGGGGAGCTGAGGCAGGAGAATCACTTGAACCCGGGAGACAGAGGTTGTAGTAAGCTGAGATTGCACTATTGCACTCTAGCCTGGGCAACAAGAGCAAAAACTCCATCTCCAAAATAAATAAATAAATAAGTTTAGTTTGCAAGTGTTGAGAATTTCTATTGTGTTTCTGTTATTAATATCTGGTTATTTCCATTGTAATTAGAGAACATAGACTATATGATTTCAGTTATTTTTAATTTGTTGAGGTTTGCTTTATATCATTGATCTTCGAAAGAATGTGTATTCTATTGTTGGGAAGAGTGTTCTATAAATATAGATTATATTTTTTTCTTTTCTTTATTTTTTTGAAACAGGGTCTCATTCTGTCACCCAGGCTGAAGTGCAGTGGCACTCTGATGGCACCATCTTGGCTCACTGCAAGCTCCGCCTCCCGGGTTCAAGCAATTCCGCCCACCTTGGCTTCCCAAAGTGCTGGGATTACAGGCGAGAGCCACCGCGCCTGGCCCTTCAAGTTCCCTTTTAGCCTTGCTTTCTTTCTCCTCTCCTTTCAGGACTTCAGTGATACGGATTTTAGATCTTTAATAGTAGTCCCAGAGACTCTATTCATTTTTTTCAGTCTCTTCTCATGGTCAAATTGAATTCTATTGTTTTGTTTTTAGTATACCGATTCTTTCTTTTGTTCCCCTTTCATTTTACTGTTGAACTTATCCATTGAGTTTTTAAATTTTTGGTTATTGTATTTTTTTAGTTCTAAAATTTCCTTTTGATTTTTAAAAAGATCTTCTATTTCTTTACTGAGACTTTGTATTTCTTTGCTGTGGCTTTCTGTTTTTTCATGTTTCAAGCATGTTCATAATTGTTCATTTAAATATTTTTATGATTGCTTCTTTAAAAGATTTTTCAGAAGATTTGTCATTTTGATGTTGGCATTTCATTCTGCTTGAGATCAGTTTTATTTATTTATTTATTTTTTTGGCACACAGACATTTTGAGACCCTGGATCTTAGTTTAGTCTTCTGTTTTACCTGTTTTCCTCTGACTTGCTCTGGCTGGGGAAGAGGGCATGCTGCCTCGTTGCTGCCAGGTAGGGGTAGAATTCTAGGTTCCTCACTCAGCCTCCATTGACATCTGAGTGTGGGGATATCTTCATTACTGCTGGTCAGAGGTCAGGTGGCAGTTCCGGCTCCCCACCAGGCTTCCACTGATACCTCTCTGGCTCAGAGGGGTAGAAGTGCCTCATTTCTGTTCCAATTCTTCCCCACCTGGCCTCCCCAAACACTAGAGTAGGGGGAAGGATGGCCTCCTTTCTGGTTGGCAGTGAAAGCCCTGACTTTCTGCAGGCCCCAGATACTGCCCCAGTAGGGAGGAGGAGAGATGCTTCATTGCTTCATTAATGCTGGGTGGGGATGGAAGGCCTGGCTCCCACATGGTCCTCACACCAGTCAGTGGGGCTAGACATCTTAGTTCTCTACTTCCTCTAGGCCCTTTCTGACGCCACCCTGGAGGGCCACTTGTAGTACTTCTCTATAGCTTGGTGAGGGTGGAAGTCTAGATTTCTCACTTGACTTTTGCTGGTGTGGATGGGGACGGGGCCGTGATGTGTTTTGGGTTGCTTGCCTGGAGTAGAGCAGTTTATTGTCTAAAAGTTTTCTGTCTGGCTGGGCTGCCCCTTTCCTTGTCTTTAGCTCCTAGTCTAGGACATATGGGGCAAAAGGAAACCGATTTGTTCTTGAGTCCTGAGGTTCCTAGCCAGTCTGCCTGCTTCTCTCTACCTTTCAGAGTTTTGTCTTGTTTTTTAAAATTATGCTAAAAGACGAGGCCAGGCGCAGTGGCCGACGCCTGTAATCCCAGCACTTTGGGAGGCCGAGGTGGGCGGATCACAAGGTCAAGAGATGGAGACCATCCTGGCCAACATGGTGAAACCCCGTCTCTACTAAAAATACAAAAATTAGCTGGGCGTGGTAGCGTGCGCCTGTAGTCCCAGCTACTCCGGAGGCTGAGGCAGGAGAATCGCTTAAACCTGGGAGGTGGAGGTTGCAGTGAGTCGAGATCGTGCGACTACACTCCAGCCTGGTGACAGAGTGAGACTCTGTCTTAAAAAAAAAAAAAAATGCCAAAAGACACATAACATATAATTTACCATCTTAACCATTTGTAAGTGTAGAGCTCAGTGGAATTAAATATATTCATAATGTTGTGCAGTCGTGGCCACCATTCATTTTCATCCTGTAAAACTGAAACTCTGTAACCATTAAACACTAATTCCCCATTCCCTCTCCCCTTAGCCACTGGCAACCACCATCCTATCTATATTCTGTTCTATGTGATTTTTGACTACTCTAAGTCAGAGTTTTGAAAATGCTTATTTAATATCTAGTGTTCTGGGGTGTACTTAGTGGGAAGAATAGGGAAAAGTACATCTAGTCTGTTTTTGGAGGGGATTCTTTGTTCTCTGTTACTTAGGGAGGACTTTAACAAACTTCTTGCTAACAGGTCTGGTCTTCCGGAGATAGTCACATTTTAAAAGAAAATTGTTTTTTCCTTAAGGATCGGCTTTTTAGTAATAGTAATTTACGTACTGGTAGGCTGGAGTATATGTTTTGGGAGTGGCATGATGGAAAAGTTAACATGAACTGAGCATCTCATCTGGGTCTTATGAAAGCCACAGTTGGGCCTCCGGCAGTATCAACCCCAGACCCCCAGAGGGGAAAGCCCCTTTGAGACCCTGGCCAGACAGTATTGCCTCAGAGCCTTTCTGTGACAATTGGCATGCTGCCAGTGGAGAAAGCAGAGGGAAACCTTTGGTTAAGTAAACATGATATTGTATACAGTATTCATATTTCATTGCAAGAGTTGAATGGTCTGAGTCAGCATAATCAGTTCCATATGTTTGGCATTGATAGTCCAGGCATGACTAGTTGCACCTTTGAAACAAGACAGATCAGATGTTTCATGTTAGGAAAATAATAGCTGCCATTTATTGCATGTCTGTGGATGCCAGACACTGTGCATTGTTTCACGTGCAATATTCCACTCTTATCTTGGAGAGAAAACAGGTACTGAAGTAGAGAATTCAGGTACTGGTGAGCTGGAGGGTATGTTTTGGGAGTGGCATGATGGAGAAATTAAACTTGGGGACTCAGCATCTCTTCTGGGTCTTGTGAAAGCCACAGCTGAGTCTTGGGGAGAATCAACCCCAGAGCCCCAAAGGCTGGAGGGAAACTGTCTCATTTTACAGAAAGAGGAGAGTGAGTTTTGAATGGACAGGTGACTTACACAAGGTCACCTGGCCTCTACGTGGCTGAGCTGGGGCTATGCCTTGTCCCTCTGACTTTAGGGTTCTTGTTCTCACCCCACCTCTCCTGCAGCCTCCTCATCTCCTAAAGCACGTGCAGTCAAACCTGGGCCCTCTGCATGAGGATTTGCGAGCTCCATCCAGGCCATTCAGTGCCCCCCATCCCTGGCCTTCCGCAGCCCCCTGGCCCACCTTAGAGTGATCTGTGCCACTGAATCTATTCCCTAAAGTAGGGGTCTGACCCTGGCTGCACATTAGAATCATAAGAGGAGATTTTTTTTTAAATCCCAGTGCCCAAGCTGCACCCTGAGCCAATAAATTCAAGCCCTGGGTGGGACATGGGCATCAGAAGCTTAAAAACATTTCCTGGAAGATTCTGATGTTCCGCTGGGTTTGACAGCATAGTGGGAGAGTTGGAAGAAGATAGTGAAAAGTCGAGGTCAGATTCTGGAAGGCTCTTTTCTGGTTGCATTGGTGCCCCCCATGGTAGGGACATGGACATTGCAGTCTGTTTGGGAAGCTTCTTTTGCAAAGCACCACCAAGAAAAAGGCAAATGCCCCAGTGAAAAAGTGGGGGACAGGCTGAAAGGGATGATGAGAGGGTACCTAAAGCCCTTTGGGGCCCTTGGGGCTTGCCCTGCTAACATGTGTGTTCAAGGCCAAGCAGAGAGGTACCTCTGCTCATTTTGTTTTTTGATGTTTTTTCTTTTTCTTTTCTTTTTTTTTTTTTTTTTGAGCCAAAAGGAATGTATTGGGCCAGGGGCAGTAGGAAGGTCACCCCACTGATAAGCAAGCCCCTTGTGCTTTTGCTCAGATGTCTCAGCCCCTTCATGCTGCAAGCCTTGGTTCAGAGAGGTTGGATAGCTTTCCTGGTGTGCCAGGTCCCTGTTTGCCCCTCCAGACCCACTCTCCATGCTGCTCTAAGCCCCAAGAAGCAGCCTGTGGGAAGGGCAACAATGAAATCCCTAGTGCTGTGGCTCCAGCTGGTTTTGACTAAATGATACTAAGTTATATTTGTTCCTCTAAGTAAATCCGGGGTGTTCCCATATTGGTTGCTTATCTGAAATTCAGGTGTAAAGGGCTGTACTGTTTTTTATCTGGCAACCCAATGCCAACACCGTGTTTTACAGGCAACTTCACGTTCCTTCCACCGTGCAGGCATTTCTGGGCTTTCACTGGCACTTGGGCTTTTCTCCTCCTGTGGCTGGGCTGTGACCTCTTGGGGCACACACTGCCCAGCCATTTACTTCCTTTCCTTCCTGCAAGCGCCAGGCCTGTTCTCTCCAGCACTGACTCAGAGCCAGCCACCCGCTTTCTCTTGCAGGGCTTTGCTACACTTAGGGCAAATGGGTGGCGTGATCGCCTCTTCCTCCTTTAACATTCTCCAAGTGGCCCAAGGGTCACTCCAGTGAAGTTAATAATTACCATTTGCAATTTAGGACTGATCCATCAGGTCAAGTGAGTTCTGATTGAAGGTTGTTTTTTTTTTTTCTTTTTCTTCTAATGAAGTGTTGCTACTCTGTTTGTTTGTTTTTCTTCTAATGAAGTGTTGCTACTCTTTATTTTATTTATTTATTTATTTATTTTCCGAAACAGAGTCTCACTGTGTTGCCTACGCTGGAGTGCAGTGGCGTGATCTCAGCTCACTGCAACTTCTGCCTCCCGGGTTCAAGCAATTCTCCCTGCCTCACCCTCCCGAGTAGCTGGGATTACAGGCGCCTGCCACCAGGCCTGGCTACTTTTTGTATTTTTTAGTAGAGACAGGGTTTTGCCATGTTGGCCAGGCTGGTCTTGAACTCCTGACCTCAGGTGATCTGCCCGCCTCGGCCTCCCAAAGTGCTGGGATTACAGGCGTGAGCCACTGCGACTGGCCACTACACTTTATCAATCAGGAATCCTTTGGGTATTGCATAAATAGTACTAAGTAGAAAATTTCCTTTTGTGCTATGTTTGGCCTCAGCTAGCTGTGGGGGTAAAGGGAGTGGGGTGGGAGTCCTTAACCTGGGTGACAGGGCAGCTGCTCAGGACATGATTCAAATATCAGCCTGGTGTGTGCACACAGAATGTGGGGTGGGGGCACTGGTCTAGGTTCTGCGTTTTCTCCTAGAGAGGGTAGGGAAACAGGGATACCAGCATTTACAGGATTCCAGATGCAAAAGCCTTTCTCTGAACTTTGGGAGGTGAAGGCGGGCAGATCACCTGAGGTTAGGAGTTCGACACCAGCCTGACCAACATGGTGAAACTCGGTCTTTACTAAAAATACAAAAATTAGCTGGGCATGGTGGTACCTGCCTGTAGTCCCTGCTACTCAGGAGGCTGAGGCAGGAGAATTGCTTGAACCCTGGAGGCGAGGTTTGCAGTGAGCTGAGATCACACCACTGCACTCCAGCCTGGGCTGTGACAGACTAAGACGCGATCTCAAAAAAAAAAAAAAAGCCTTTCTCTAAATCACAAACCCACCTGCAGAAGGGCTGTAGGGCTGTTTGATAGCAAATACCTTCAGCAGACAGCAAGACTGGTGAGGAAACAGCATACCTCTGGAATAAGGTGCATCCTCTTGGCCATGCATTTATGTGCCATATGTTCATGTGTGCTTGAGTTGGGAAGCAAAGAACCTCTAGGAACTGAAAGATAAGCCCTCACTCTTTTGCAGCCTCCTCTGGGCCTCGTTTTTCTTTTATTTCTATTTTTGGTAGAGACTTGTCTCACTCTGTTGCCCAGGCTGATCTTGAACTCCTGGGCTCAAGCAATCCTCCCGCTTCGGCCTCCCAAAGTGCTGGGAGCCACCACGCCTAGCCTGGGCCTCTTGAGTTTGAGGCTGAACTTTAGAGAGCTCAGCTGATGCTTCTGCCCATTTTATTGTTGGGGAAGGAATAGAAAGAGCAGGAGTAATGGGTCCCACAGGCTGGCACTCACTCCTGCCATTACTGTAACTCTGGTAGAGGAGCTATTCCTCTCTCTTCCCAGGTGCCTGGGATCATAAAGCAGGCTGATGGCACACAGCATCCTGGGGTAGCTGGGGTGGGGTGGAACTGAACAGGGTTCACCAGCCAGCACCCTCAGTCCCACAGGGCTGCCACCTGCCCTGCTCAACCCTCTTCCCACAGCATGGAGGGACTCCAGGGCCAGGGAGGCTGCTTGCTGCCACATCCCCACCCACTATCATGGGACCTGCAATTTCAGTTGCTGCTGCTTTCTTTAGTCACCTCGGTGATCACCTTGGGCTGTGATCACCAAGCTTCAAGAAAATCAAAGGAGCTCATGTTAGGAAAGGCTGGTGGAGACCATCCCTGGAGAGATTGAGAGATGCCTTAGAGCTAAGAGCCCTTCGCATCCCAAGCCCGATGTATATTTTTTCCTCTCACTCATGGCTGGCAATTATATTACTCTAGTATTGCCCTTCCCCATGCATTGTCCAAGGCAGACATCACTAATTAAACTCAGCCCTTATCCCCGCAGGGCCCAGACCTGGCTTTAGAAATTCCTACTTTAGGTGGCCAGCAGGCCAGGGTTCAGATGCAAGCCAGTAACAGCCATGTCAGCCAATATTTTTGGAGTGTGCTGGTGGACTCGATGCCTATCAGCTCCTACTGCTGAGATCCTCTTGTCCTCACAAGAGTTCAAAGAAGTTATAGAGCTTTCCTGAGGCCATACCTTGAGGTGGTGAGGGACTGGGTGGGCCTCAGCCCTCTGACTGCAAAGCTGCTAGCTAACCTCTGAGCAGCACTGCCCACCAGCCCTTCTGCCTTTGCACACTGCATTTGACAAGTGCTCAGCAAGGATTCATGGATTTGAGGGTAGGATGCACTAGTTGATCACATGGAAAATAACATTCTTTACTGGCTTGCCCTAATGAACGAATTTTGAGTCTAAGAGACTATTCACAAAGTCCCTAAATGTCTGAGCCACTGTAATTGTGTGTCATAGGCATGCTGACAGCCTCTCCAAGTTCTGTCTCCAGCCACAGCAGTGTCCTTGCCTGGACCACCTCTCTTCCCTGCTCACCCTTCAGGACCTCTGCACGTCACACCCGTTTATTCTGTAAATGTTTGCTGCATGTGACTCCATGCCAATCATCATGATGGGTTCAGATGATGCCACCTCCAGCCTTCAAGGAAGTTACAGACAAGTATGTTCAGAAAAACAGGGCAAACTCACACAGAAAAATGGGCAGTATGTGAATAAACATTCACTAATCAGGTCCCTTGGGCCTGTCCTGTACTGGGTGCTGAAGAAAGATGATGGAGACAAAAGCCCTGACTTTAAGAAGCGGACGCTAGGGCTCTGGTCAAGGGCTGCATGGTGATTGGAAACACATGGGCACAGTGCAGGGGTGCTGCACCACACAAGTCCAGGACTGGATGGAGTGGCCCCTGGAGTTGGTAAATGCAGCTGCTGGAGCAGCTGGGCGGCTACTCTGGGACCTGAGTGGGAGGCTAGTGATCCAAGGCAGCTTAGCAGCACTCGTTTATGTGAAGTTAAAATTCCACTCCAGCTGTTTATCCAGTCCACATGAGGAAGCAATCCTGGAAGAAGGTGGGAGGGATAAGGTGGAGATTTCTTGTGAATTCCACCCAAATTACAACCAGAGGCACCCCACTTTTCCATGTGCTGTGTAGAAAGGACCACATTTGCATTAAGTCTTTGATGTGGGTAAGCCTTTCAGTCTGAATTCATCTGCAATCACTACCCAAAAATAATTTTGAGAGTATTCCACTTCTGTGGGGGAAAAACAGGGGGAAAAGATACGTTATACAACCAAAGTAATAGAAACAATGAAAAATTTAGCAACTTAAAATATAATTTCTAATTCATCATTGCCCAAACCCTTGGGTCCAAAACCTTGGAATGGTTTTTGTTTTGGCTTTTTTTTCTTCACATTTTGTATAATCACCCAGTGCCCCCACACAGGGCTGGTGAGGTTATGCATTGCACAGCTCTAGAGAACAATTTATACAGCCAACAACGATGTGAATGGCAATACCACCCCACTAAAATTGTGCAGTACGAGCCTCACCAATCTCACCAGCCACGTGGGGGTCCAGCCTCAGTCCCAACAGTTCTCAAGGGTTAGACCATGGAAGATTTTTACTAACTCATAATAAAATGAGAAAATAATTAAAATAATAGCTAACATTGAGTGCTTACTGTGATCCAGACAGTAATAACTCCTTTATTCCCGTTGGCAACCCTATGAGGCACCATGGTTGCCATCCCCACTTTCCCTGTGAGCAAACTGAGCCTGAGCAGCCTCGAGCCACCAGCTGTCCACTCCTGAGAACTCTCCTTTATGCCAGGATCGCATCTTTCCTCAATATCTGGTGTCAGACTGACTTTCCTTTGTGGAACACTGGTGGTAGTGAGGATGCTGTTGCTGTCAGCCCCCTCTTCTTGGTCTCCTGTATCCTTCCTACTCTTCACTGACTGCCCCTGTAGTCAGGTCTTCACTGCCTTCCTGGAAGGTTCCCACTTCCTGCTCTTCTTCCTCCTACTCAGCCAGTTGCTGGTGCCAGAATCCCCCTCATCAAGCCTAGCTCTGAGCCTTGCTCTCCCTTGCTCAGAAGCCTTCCAGGAACTTCTCCTGCCTCGACTGGGATTCAGGGCTCTCCACATTCACCTTAATTTTGGTTTATCTCCCATTTTTGTTCTAGCAGAGTAGCTCTACTCTTCAGCTAAATTGCTGTTCCCAAACTGGTTGGGCTACTTCCTGTCTCTTCAGTTTCCCACCACCTTTGACCCTGGCAGCCCCAGGCACCTTCTCCATCCCTCAGATCCATCCTTTACTCACTCATTCAACAAACCTATTTTGAGCACCTCCTACATACTGGCTGTAGTGTAGGTGGTAGGTATCATGGAGCTTTCAGTCCGGCAGTGGAGAAAGAACTGGATGAGTAATCGTAAGATGTATTACAAAAGGGTCCTAGCACCTAACCTGGGGGTGCTAACTATAGGAGGTTAGTCAGAGAAGGCCTCCCTGATGCTATGGGCAGCCTCCCCTCCCCACCCCCAGTTAGCCATGTCCATCTCCCCTTTAGCTCCTGGGACCCACTGTGGCTCTGTTCCTGAAATAAGTCTCTTTCTTTATCCCATTTGACTGTCGTAGCAAATCTTGAACCCAGGAGGTGCTATATAAATATCTGTTGGCAATCAAATCATTCTATCAACTTCTGGTAAATCAAATTGTACAGATCAGATATATATATATATATATTTTTTTTTTTTTTTTTTTTTTTTTTGAGATGGATTTTCGCTCTTGTTGCCCAGGCTGGAGTGCAATGGTGAGATCTTGGCTTACTGCAACCTCTGCCTCCCGGGTTCAAGCGATTCTCCTGTCTCAGCCTCCTGAGTAGCTGGGATTACAGGCACCCACCACTACGCTTGGCTAAATTTTCGTATTTTTAGTAGAGACGGGGTTTCACCATGTTGGCCAGGCTTGTCTCGAACTCCTGACCTCAGGTGATCCACCCACCTCAGCCTCCCAAAGTGCTGGGATTACAGGCGTGAGCCACCGCGCCTGGCCCAGATATCTTTTAAACCATCTAGAGTGTTGAGTGATTTCAGGGTAGGTTTCGTGGCTCCCGGACTTCAGTGATGTCACTTTAGTGGGTGGCCTTGCCCCTAACCAAGTTAACACTTTGTTTGGTGAACAGCTTGGCTCATGGAAAACTGAAGATTATACCCCAAATTGTAATCAGAGGTTATTATCTTGCAGGGTTGGGCTTACAAAACAGACTTTATTATTATTTTTTTTAATTTTTTTTTTTTTCTGAGACAGAGTCTCGCTCTGTCCCCCAGGCTAGAGTACAGTGGCGCGATCTCGGCTCACTGCAAGCTCCGCCTCCCGGGTTCTGCCATTCTCCTGCCTCAGCCTCCTGAGTAGCTGGGACTACCCGTGTCTGCCACCATGCCCGGCTAATTTTTTGTATTTTTAGTAGAGATGGGGTTTCACCGTGTTAGCCAGGATGGTCTCGATCTCCTGACCTCGTGATCCGCCTGCCTTGGCCTCCCAAAGTGCTGGGATTACAGGCGTGAGCCACTGCGCCCAGCCCCAGACTTTCATTTTATATTGTATATGCTTCAATAAATATTTGAATTTTTTCACAACAAATTTGTTAAGTTCCTAATTAAAAATTTAAAATATTCTTAAATAAATTAAACCAATGAAGGTATAATTTGCTTCTCCCACTTCCCATTTTTGCCTTCTAAGAAAGGGACCTATATTTAAATGGGGGAAAAAAGTGATTTGGATTAAACCCCTAACTCCTGAGTCCTCTGTAGCTCAGTGAATAGGAAGAACCACAGATGAGTGTGCCCACCCAAGTGGCAAAGGTGAATTGTCAAGGCTTCAAAGTACATGAATAAAGGGCCAAGTGTGGTGGCTCACGCCTGTAATCCCAGCACTTTGGGAGGCCGAGGCAGGTGGATCACAAGGTCAAGAGATGAAGACCATCCTGGCTAACATGGTGAAACCCCGTCTCTACTAAAAATACACAGATTAGCCGGGCATGGTGGCGCGCACCTGTAGTCCCAGCTACTCAGGAGGCTGAGGCAGGAAAATCACTTGAACCTGGGAGGCAGAGGTTGCAGAGAACTGAGATTGCGCCACTGCACTCCACTCCAGCCTGGTGACAGAGCGAGACTCCATCTCAGAAAGCAAACAAAAACAAAGCCTACATGAGTAAGTAGAGCACCCTTGAGGGAGCTCTGCAGGTATGAGACAAACAGCCAGAACATGCATTGCTGCAGAAAGCATCCACACATCAGAGGAAGGGGAGCCCCCTCCTCCTACCAAGAGCATAGGTCCACCCTTGTGAAGGTTTGCCTGGCATGTGGGCTGTGAGTGACTGGAGAGGCAATGGTCCCTGTCTGTTGTCATCCTGATCTTCACTCCCTAGCATAAGTGAACACTCCCATGATGGCACATTCATCTGTCTGGACAGCTGGGCTCCAGGCCAGCCCACAGCTGACCCACATAGCCCTCCCCTAAAGCACACAGAAGGCCCTACACTCCCACACTCACCAAGACCTCAGGATAAGGAAAAGTCTTCCTGTATCCTTGTAGGAAAATCTCTTCTCTTCTATCTGGCATTGATCCTGACTCACTAAGGAGGCAGTTCCCAAAGGCAACAGCCATGAGAGTTGGCCCCCAACATCAAAGGGGCCTGGGAGGGAGCAGTTGCTGGAATGGGAGAGGGAGCTGCATGGCAAGGGCTCCCAGACAGGGGTATGCCCTTCAGTTGAGGCATATGTGCTGTCCAGAGTGGCTTGGCAGAGAGGAACCTAGAGGAAAAATTCCCAGATCCCCTCCCTTCTGCCCCACGATTTCCTACTTATATCTCCCATTAGCCAATTAAATACTTAACTGAATACTTAAATTTAAAAAATTCCAGCCTGGGCACATACATAGCCAGACTCCCTCCCTACAAGAAAAAATTTTAAACTAGCTGGACATGGTAGCACGAGCCTATAGTACAACCTACTCGGGAGGCTGAGGTAGGAGGATCGCTTGAGCCTAGGAGATTGAAGTTGCAGTGAGTTACTGTACCACTGCTCTCCAGCCTGGGTGACAGAGCAAGAAGGCCCTGTTTGTTTAAAAAACAATTATTTGTTGTTCATCTGAAATTCAAGCTTAACTGGGCATCCTGTGTTATTTGCTAAATCGGGCACAACTCTGAGCAAAGAACACCCTACTCCCTGCACACACACACTCAGGAGCCCAGGAGGGCATGATGTCCTGAGCATGGCAGGAGGCCAGCCCTTGAGCAAGGATGGAGCCCCCACTGTGTACCCCCAGTCACCAACCCATAATGTAGACTGCTAGGCCTATATCTCTCTCACCCACCTGTCTCACTCACTCCCTCCCAACGTATTTGAATAGATAACAACCAGTGTAGAATCTGTGTCCAAAAATGCCACTCAGAAAGCTAAAAGTACAGCTATTATGAGCCTTCCCTTGCTCAGAAACCATCTAAAATACTTGTGGACCAGATGAAATAAAAACATTTCCAGGTTTATTCCAGCAAGCAAGCATTTTCCTGGAAGCTTCAGTATTCTATAGCTGGTAACTTAAGAACACTTTTTTTGTTGTTAAGGCACAAAAATTGTAAACTCATCTCTTTGTGGCCATGAGCAGCTTTTTTTTTTTTTTTTTTTTTTTTTTTGAGACAGGGTCTCACTCTGTCACCCAGGCTGGAGTGCAGTGGCACAATCTTGGCTCACCACAGCCTTGATCTCCTGGGCTCAAGCGATCCTCCTTCCTCAGCCCCCCAAATAGCTGGGACTACAGATGCATGCCAACACATCTGGCTAATTTTTGGGGTGGTTTTTTTTTTTCGAACCTCAATCAGCTTTTTAAAGACTATCAGCCAAATTTGCAGCATAGTCTCTGACAGAGCAGACAGTAAGAAAAGTTATTTATTTTGAGACAGGGTCTCTCTCTGTCACCCAGGCTGGAGTGCTGTGGTGCTACCTTGGCTCACTGTAACCTCCGCCTCCCAGGTTCAAGCTGTTCTCCTGCTTCAACCTCCTGAGTAGCTGGGATTACGGGAATGTGCCACCATGCCCAGCTAATTTTTGTATTTTTAGTAGAGACAGGTTTTTGCCATGTTGGCCAGGCTTGTCTCAAACTCCTGACCTCAGGTGATCCTCCTGTCTCGACCTCCCAAAGTGCCAAGATTACAGGTGTGAGCCACCGCGCCTGGCCAAGAAAAGTGACCTTGAGCCCTGCTGTGTCATCACCTTCTTCTTATACTGCTGAGTTGGGCATGAAGGACTTGGAATGAGTCAGTAATAAGAAAATTTTTATTTTTGGTGGGGGTGGTTACATTTCTTCAGGACTCTTCCAGAGGCGAGTTTACAAACGAATGAACTGGTGAATAAGAATATGTCCAGATGTGTGTGTTAATGAATTCTGCTTATCTTTTCCTGGGGCACAGAGGACACCCCAGTGCTCTCTCTTCTTGGCCTAAGAAGTTGGGAACCTACTTGGGAAACTCTTCTTATTTAAAAGGCTAAAATTTGGATGTTCTGTTTTACAGCTATCACTGAGGCAAGGGAAGAAGCCAAGCCTTACCCGCTATTCCCGGGACCTTTTCCAGGGAGCCTGCAAACTGACCACACACCGCTGTTATCCCTTCCTCACGCCAGTGGGTACCAGCCTGCCTTGATGTTTTCACCAACCCAGCCTGGAAGACCACATACAGGAAACGTAGCCATTCCCCAGGTGACCTCTGTCGAATCAAAGCCCCTACCGCCTCTTGCCTTCAAACACACAGTTGGACACATAATACTTTCTGAACATAAAGGTGTCAAATTTAATTGCTCAATCAGTGTACCTAATATATACCAGGACACCACAATTTCTTGGTGGAAAGATGGGAAGGAATTGCTTGGGGCACATCATGCAATTACACAGTTTTATCCAGATGATGAAGTTACAGCAATAATCGCTTCCTTCAGGTATGTGTTCTTTCTTCCTTTTTTATTTTTTTAGTTTTAATATTTATTTATTTATTTACTTATTGAGACAGAGTATCATTCTGTAGCCCAGGCTGGAGTGCAGTGGCACGATCTCAGCTCATTGCAACCTCCACCTCCTGAGTTCAAACGATTCTCCTGCCTCAGCCTCCGGCGTAGCTGGGATTACAGGCGCCCACCACCACACCCAGCTAATTTTTTTTTTTTTTTTTTTGTATTTTTTGTAGAGATGAGGTTTCACCATGATGCCCAGGCTGGTCTCAAACTCCTGACCTTGGGTGATCCGGCCACCTAGGCCTCCCAAAGTGCTGGGATTACAGGCATGAGCCACCTTGCCAGGCCTCTTCCTTTCTTTTTAAATGTCATTATGCTAATGCTGCCTCAAAAGCAAAAGCCTTTTGTTTTCTATTTAAGCAAACCACTGGTCCCTTTAGAGAGTTGAAGGATAACTGACAGTGTGTGTTCAATCTGAGCTTGGCAGTGTTGGAACTGTTGGTTAACAGATACTCAGGGGCTGGGCCTGGGAGGCTACTTCCCACCTGACCTACATATCATATCAAGTACAGCTGGACCCAAGAGCTCTACCAGTGAGTGGGAACAGTGTTTCTTACCGGGTAGGAGGAGACGTTAAAATCACCCTGGCCATGTGGGGCTTTTTAAACAGTGCAATTGCTTGAGCTAGAGAGTTCTGGGCTATAGTGTGCTATGCCAATTGGGTATCTGCATCAATATGGGGATTCCCCCCACTACCACCAAAAGCAGGGGACCACCAGGTTGCCTAAGGAGGAGTGAACTGGCCCAGGTCAGAAACGGAGCAGGTCAAAACTCCTGCACTGTTCAGTAGTGGGATTTCACCTGTGACTAGCCACTGCATTCCAGCCTGGGCAACATAGTGAGACCCTGTCTCAAAAAAAAAAAACCCCCAAAAAAAAGCCAGTGCAGCTCTCTCGTCCCTTCAGTTACCCTGCCGCCCCTGCCTTCCACCTCTCCCCACCGCCTCCCAGTGCTGATGTAGCCCCCGTGCACCGTGGGGCAGGAAGAGATGGAAAGTCTGTCTCTGGAAATGAGACAGGCCCTAAGCCTCAGACCATCATCTCAGTACTCCACTTTGTTTTTTAAGAGCAAGCTAGATGAGGTGGAGGGTTGTGTGTGACAGGGATAAGCTAAGCCAGGACTTATATCTGGAATACTCTGTTTTCCCAGGGACCCAGCTGTCATGTCTCAGAATGCTGCAGACGGGCAGGTAGATGCTTCTCTTCTTGCCACCCCTTTTGTATTCTCCACTCTTTCCTCTTAGCCAGGAGGTGTTTTGCTTTTCTGTTTTTGTTTTTTTGCATCAGGACTTCGTTGCGTGCACAGTTTTAGAATTGGGTTGGCCTGTGGTTGTTAAAAGCACAAAATGAGGTCAGAGCCACACAGGGTGGAAGCAAGAGCCTTTTTCCTGCAATTTCTCCACTTTGGAGTGGAGCCTTCTTTGATCTGTTACATTTTCACTTTCTGTGACATGATACTTGGCACCATCCCATACTGTGTCATGCCTTTTAGTGAATCATTTTGTTTCCTTTTCAGAAAACCACCTCACAATTACCACAGACCTAACTACTCAGGTTAGTGTGCCAACACTTCCACAAGATGTGCCCTTTTTTTTACATTTTTTCCCCCAGGTTGTAGGCTTGCTTAGTGGATAATCCCTTAGCCTCCAGGCAGAAAATGCAACTTCCACATTACTCTGGCTGAGTCTCTCGGCAGCCGTTCTCAGCCAGTGGCTAAGACTGCTTAGGAGATTTGACTATATTTTTTCTGCATCAACTATAAAAAGCAGATGTCTTACAATTACATAGACATAGCTTCTGAAGAGATAAGTAAAACTATCATTTAATAATAAGTGAATGACCGAGGCAGGCGGATCACGAGGTCAAGAGATCGAGACCATCCTGGCCAACGTAGTGAAACCCCATCTCTACTAAAAATACGAAAATTAGCTGGGCGTGGTGGCGCACGCCTATAGTCCCAGATACTCGGGAGACTGAGGCAGGAGAATTGCTTGAACCTGGGAGATGGAGGTTGCAGTAAGCCAAGATTGCACCACTGCACTCCAGCCTGGCAACAGAGCGAGACTCCATCTCAAAAGAAAAAAAAAAAAAAAGAAGTGAATGAGGAGTAGTTTAAAGATTTCAAGAACAGCAAGCTGGCACATTGGTCTCATTGGGTGTCACCTAGGAGGGGAGCATAGCCCTACCTTGCTGTCTCTCTGGACTTGGCCAGTGTATGACTGTGGGTGAGCTGCCTCATCTTCCCTGGTCTATTTTCCAAAGGAAGAGATGGACTTGGACCATGTGACTGCCAGCTCTACTTCTGCTCTCAGATGCCATGAGCTGTTCAGAGGACTTAAATTGTAGAGTTTTAAAATTTTGATTAGTCAGTTTCTTGTTTTGGACCCATCTCTTTAGAGTACAGAAGATGACCTGGGTATTATTTTGAGAACTTTAGAAATTTGGAGTAGAATTTATTCTACTGTGTGTTTTCAGCTTATTATATATAAACTCATTCTAAAGGAGAAAAATCTTATTTGACCTCCAAACTAAGCCTGAAAGCAAATTTAGCGATCAGAATTTTTGCAAATGATGAGCATTTCTTTTTTGAGACGGAGTCTTGCTCTGTCGCCCAGGCTGGAGTGCAGTGGCGCGACCTCGGCTCACTGCAAACTCTGCCTCCCAGGTTCATGCCATTCTCCTGCCTCAGCCTCCCGAGTAGCTGGGACTACAGGCACCCGCCACCATGCCCAGCTAAGTTTTTGTATTTTTAGTAGAGACGGGATTTCACCGTGTTAGCCAGGATGGTCTCAATCTCCTGACCTCGTGATCCACCCGCCTCAGCCTCCCAAAGTGCTGGGATTATAGGCGTGAGCCACCGTGCCTGGCCATGATGAGCATTTAGTTGAATTAGGTAGCATACAGGATGATACCAAATTTGCCTGTATATGATTCTTCAACTTTATTAAGATAATGTTCAGGGGCACAGTAGTTGTACAGTGATTCAGTGAAATAAATTATAGTTGTAAGAGTTAAAGAAAGAGGAAAGAAACATGAAATGCAGCTTAACAGTTAAAGATGGGTTTATTTTAGAGAAATAAGCCTGAGAGGGGCTCCTGGCCAATTTTGGTGAGGAGCATTATCTTTTATAGACTAAGAGTATATATTAGTTTCAGGGTAGGGGGCTTATCACAAGCTTGGAATGTTTGTATGTTGGGGAGAAGTTTATAGCAGGGTTGGAATGTCTCTGGTCAGATGGGAGGTTATCTTGGGGCTGACATCTCTCTGGCCGAAGGGGACGTTATCTCAGGGCTGGCATGTCTCAGGTCAGGGAGGGGTTTGGAGTGTTTTTGGTTGGAGATGTTATTTGTTTTTTATGGTCATGCTGACCTTAGCCATTAGGCTGATGCCCTTTAGATTTAGGCGGTTTTTAATCAAGGTGAACTTTAGAATGACAGTGCTTGTCCAAGATGGCGATACTCCTGCTCTGTCAATAGTTACTTAATCAAGATGACAAATATTTATATAATTTCTTGGCAAGAGAGGATGATGTTGGAGTTGCTAAATGTGCATTGTTTTTTAGGTGAGGACACTGAGCCCCATGAGCAGGGTCACTAGGCAGTGAGCTAGTCTTACTTAAACAGGGAGCCTGATTTGCATACCTGCAGTGACCTCTCTTCTCACATCTCCTGGGCCCTAAGGAAATCTACTGTGGCTCCCAGGAACAGTGAAGAGTTAAAAAATAGTTTTAGGCTTTCAATATAAGTAATTTTGTTAGAAATTCATTAGCCTGCAATTTTGCTGGAGTTGCCATTAGCGACATCTATGTGGACTATGTTTATTCAAGAGAATGTGCAATTAAAATCACTAGGGGCAGAGAACATAGATGTATATTGGCAGAGGTCAAAAGGACTCTAGAGAGAAACACCTGGTATTTTCAGTTTGGTCATGGGACCTTTTTTTTCTAAAAGGTATTAGGATCACACATAGAAATTCCCGTAAGAATAGGCAGAATTTATGTGAATTTTTAACATGATGAGGTCTCTAGATTGAGGACCCCATACTTTGTATCTGCACTCATTCTTTAAATATGGCACAATCGTGAGTTACTAGAGACTGACCCTGTGTTTTATCTTTCTTTTCATTATACTTTAAGTTCTGGGATACATGTGCAGAATGTGCAGGTTTGTTACATAGGTATACACGTGCCATGGTGCTTTGCTACACCCATCAACCCATCATCTACATTAGGTATTTCTCCTAATGCTATCCCTCCCCCAGCCCCCCCACCCCAACAGGCCCCGATGTGTGAAAGTTCCCTTCCCTGTGTCCACGTGTTCTCATTGGTCAATTCCCACTGATGAGTGAGAGAATATGCAATATTTGGTTTTCTGTTCCTGTGTTAGTTTGCTGAGAATGACGGTTTCCAGCGTCATCCATGTCCCTGCAAAGGACATGAACTCATCCTTTTTTATGGCTGCATAGTATTCCATGGCATATATGTGTCACATTTTCTTAATTCAGTCCATCATTGATGGACATTTGGATTGATTCCAAGTCTTTGCTATTGAGAATGATGCTGTAATAAACATACGTGTGCATATGTCTTTATAGTAGAATGATTTCTAATCCTTTGGGTATATACCCAGTAATGGGATTGCTGGGTCAAATGGTATTTCTGGTTCTAGATCCTTGAGGAATTGCCACACTATCTTCCACAAAGGTTAAACTAATGTACACTCCCACCAACAGTGTAAAAGTGTTCCTATTTCTCCACATCCTCTCCAGCATCTGTTGCTTCCTGACTTTTTAATGATTGCCATTTAAACTGGTGTGAGATGGTATCTCATTGTGGTTTTGATTTACATTTCTCCAATGACCAATAATGATGAGCTTTTTTTCATGTTTGTTGGCCGCATAAATGTCTTCTTTTGAGAAGTGTCTGTTCATATCCTTTGCCCACTTTTTGATGGGGTCGTTTGTTTTTTTCTTGTAAATTTAAGTTCTTTGTAGATTCTGGATATTAGCCCTTTGTCAGATGGATAGATTGCAGAAATTTTCTCGCATTCTGTAGGTTGCCTGCTCACTCTGATGATAGTTTCTTTTGCTATGCAGAAACTCTTTAGTTTAATTAGATCCCATTTGTCAATTTTGGCTTTTGTTGCCATTGCGTTTGGTGTTTTCATCATAAAGTCTTTGCCCATGCCTATGTCCTGAATGGTACTGTCTAGGTTTTCTTCTAGAGTTTATATGATTTCAGGTCTTACATTTAAGGGGAAGAGAAGGGAAAGCATCTGGTCTTTGGTCCTAAAACAGCACCTGTCCTAGTTGAAGATGTGGTTTAGAGTATCTAATGGCCCAGAGCTTTGGTTACTCCTCACACCTTCCATTGCTCTTACACCCTCTTTCCCGTAGTGGCCCCTGCTGTTATATAGCTCTCTCCCTTCCAAAGGAAGAAAGGACTGTGATAAAGTCATTTACTCTAAGGAAAGCTGTAACATTCACTGGTGATGTCATTTTAGACACCAAGAAATAGAGATATTGTAAAAATCAATACACATATGCAAGTACACACTAGTTATCAAAATGGCCATCCTTGCACATGAAGGTGTTTTCCGGCAATTCATTATTTGTTGGCTGCATAGTTAACTGAGGGATGGCTGAACATTGAGGCAAGTTGGGCAGACCTGGTCCCTGTCCTCCTGCTCATGGTTGTGAACAGAATGGAGGGGAAGGGCCAAATCAAACGTCAGGTGCGGCAGCGCTAAGGTACTGTTGCCTTCAGATTTTAGATTTGTCCCTGACGTATTAATTTAGAGGAGGAGGAACTGGCACCAGGACTGGGGGAGGTACACTTCTGCCTCTCAGGAGCAACCGCATCTTGCAATCAAATCTCAGTTAATTGAAACTTGGGGAAGAAAGATGGAAATAATAGGAGCTCATGGACATTTAAGTACGAATCCCATGTACTCTGGAAAGACTAAGGGAGATTTGGCATCATGCACAAGAGTGTCCCTGAAAGATTTTTAAACTACTTGGTCTTGGCTCGTGTGTGTGTGTGTGTGTGTGTGTGTGTGTGTGTGTGTGTGTGTGTGTTTAAATTATTTTAATAGTAATGTATGTATTTTGTCAAAAACTTGGAAAATACCAAACATACAAAGAAAGAAACAATGGCTTATAATTGCAACTCTGAGAAAAATTTTCCAATTATATATAAATAAATTAAATGTTCTTGAAATTAATCTTTTATTGCATAGATGATTATATATCCTGTTTCATTCAGTTTATATTATGAATATTTCTGTATATTATTAAAAGTCTTCAAAAAAATTTTTTTGTTTTTTGAGACAGAGTCTTGCTCTGTCACCCAGGCTGGAGTGCAGTGGCGTAATCTCAGCTCATTGGAACCTCCACCTCCCGGGTTTAAGCAATTCTCCTGACTTAGTCTCCTGAGTAGCTGGGAGTACAGGCGCCCGCCACCATGCCCAGCTAATTTTTTGTATTTTTAGTAGAGACAGAGTTTCATGGTGTTAGCCAGGATGGTCTTGATCTCCTGACCTCATGATCTGCCCGCCTCGGCCTCCCAAAGTGCTGGTATTATAGGCATGAGCCACTGCGCCCGGCAAGTCTTCAAAATATTTTAAGGTATTTTATTGCATAGATGATTACATATTCTGTTTCATTCAGTTTATATTATGAACATTTCTGTATATTACTAAAAGTCTTCAAAATATTTTAAGGCTGCTATATGCCACTGTAATCTGCTGTTGTGAAATAAAAGCAAATATAGAAGGATGCAAATGAAATTATAAAATTAAAAATTTTTTAATTTTTGTAAATGAAAAATTCTTTTTAAAATGCTGAGTTTGGGGTATATACAAGGGAAGAAATAACTGATGTTCTGCTCCTAGCCTAGGTGCCCTCTTGAGCTATGCTTGTTTTATGCTAATAATCTCCCTCTTTTTTTCCTGTTTCACTTGGATGTCTGTTATTGTTGATGGAGCCAGGAGTCATCTTTGATTAATAGGTGTAGAAAACATTCAGTGTCTGCTACAGGTTGAGGTCCCTCGAGAGCATTCACCTGGCCTCCTTTATGAGACTTGAGTCAGTGGGCTGGGCCTCCTCCTTGGTGCTGTAGCCACTAACCTGCCTCACCTGTATCCAATATCAGCTCGAAACTAGCATATCCGTTTGTCCAGGTTCCAGGACACTGCTTGGCCAAGACCTTTCACTGGAGTCTCCAAAGAAGGGTGTAATTTGGGATATATATTATAATTAGCTCTGATGTCTAGTATAGCAAGTAAACAGCCCTCTAGCTTGGGTGGAAATGTGCCCTGGTCAGGCGCAACACTCCAGAAGGGCAGCAGCCACCAGACCAGACGACAGGGAAGCCCAGCTCCCAAGCAAAACCAAAAACTGGTGGGAGTCTTGTGGTGAGGGGAAAGTATTTGTTGTTTTCTGTTTAGTCTAGGGATTCACACTGCTTTTTAAATTCTGGCATAGTTCCCAGTGGCTAAAGCTGGAATGATTCTACTGTTTCATTAAATTTTCTTTATAAAAATGTTAAGTTGGGGCCAGGCATGGTGGCTTATGCCTGTAATCCCCGCACTTTGGGAGGCCAAAGAGGGAGGATTGCTTGAGCCAGGGAGTTCGAGACCAGCCCGAGCAACACAATAGGACCCCATTGCTACAAAAAATTAAAAAAAAAAAAATTAGGCAGACATGGTGGTGCACACTTGTGGTCCCAGCTACTCAGGAGGCTGAGGTGGGAGGATCGCTTGAGCCTCGGAGTTTGAAGCTGCAGTGAGCCATGATCCACTCCAGCCTGGGCAACGGAACAACACTGCCTCGAAAACAAAACAAAACAAAACAAAAGTGGGTAGTTTGCGTCTCCTGACATCCTGTTTCCTTTGGGGCCCCCATCTCCATGCATCTCCATGCAGGCTCCTGGTACTGTGGATGCTGTGTTTTCGGGGCCCCCATGGGCTCTCTGTGCTGGGCTTTTCCCTCCCATCTTGCCTTACTGGGGCTGATGCCTGTTGCCGGTTCTTTATTCTGCTGCTCTTGGTGGCAATGAGAACAGAATCTAGAAAATAAAAATCTAATTTCTTTAACCAAACTATCTGCTGGAAAAGCTGTTATTAACCACAGATGCCTGATACTTTCTGACTTGCGACCTGTTCACAAGACTTCCTTTCAGCTCGAACTTCCTTGCCCTTGGCTTACCCTGTCGGCACCATGTGAACGGTGGCAGGTAAAAACAGGGCGCTTACAGTGGACCTATTTCTTAAAATTATTTTTTTCATTTTTAATTTTTTTGACATGGTAAAACATATATATAACATAAAGTCCCCCATTTCAACCCATTTTGAGTATACAATTCAGTGGCATTCACGTTTTTGTGCAACCATCAGCACACGTTGCACATCCATCTCCAGAACTCCAGTAGAGTAACCACTACTCTATTTTTTATTTTTATTTTATTTTATTTATTTATTTTTCTTGAGACAGGGTTTCACTCTGTTGCTCAGGCTGGAGCGCAGTGGTGCGATCACGGCTTATTGCAGCCTCGACCTCCCAGGCTCAAGCGATCCTCCCACCTCAGCCTCCCCAGTAGCTGGGACCACAGGCATGAGCCACTGTACCTAGCTGTTTTTTGTTTGTTTGTTGTTTGTTTTTTTGTATTTGTAGAGACAGGGTTTTGCCATGCTGTCCAGGCTGGTCTTGAACTCCTGGGCTCACGTGATCCTTCTGCCTCAGCCTCCCACAGTCTACTTTCTTTCTCTGTGAGTTTGACTACTACAACTACCTCATATAGGTGGCATCATACAATATTTGTCCTTTTTTTGTATTTCTTTTAAAAAGACTCTAGAGCATAACTGCTACTTCCAAGTCATTTCTGAGCAGGCTAGACTGGTAGTGGTAAGGACTGAGGGTTAGAGACATGCTGTGTGTGTATAAGATGTGCCTGGGCTAACCCAGCCTGTGCTGCCCTGGGGTGATGGGTTTCTGCAGCTGCTGGCCATGCAGCTGTACCCAGGTGGTTCCTGTCTAGACACCATGGCTGAGTATGTGCCATTTCTTTTGTCTTCCCTCATTCAGATGTTTGTATTTGGCCAAAATCTGATGAGATTTTTATACCATTTTTTTTAAGCAGTGGTAGAACATTCTGACTATTCAAAAAGTCTTTTTTCCACTCCAGCCCCCAGCCCTCTCCCTGTAGGGAATGGAGATTACCCATCTCTTGGGTATCTTTCCAGAGATATTCAATCCCTATGTAATCCTATGTATGTCTGTATGTGTGTGCTAGTCTCCAGCATGGTGTGTTAATCTAATAGAATGCTACTCATAGCTGTGGTTAAATCAATACCCAGGGTATTTTTTTGTAGCTATGGAAATTCTGTTTTCAGCTGAATCATGTAATATGCTATAATTATATTTTACTTCTTGTCTTAGTCTGTTTTCTGTTGCTTATAAAAGAATACTTGAAACTGAGTAAATTATAAAGAAAGGAAATTTATTTCTCACAGTTAAGGAGGCTGGGACATTCAAGGTCAAGGACCCCCATCTGATAATGGTCTTCTTGCTGATGCGACTCTGCGGGGTCCTAAGGCAACGCAGGGCATCACACGGCGAGGGGGCTGAGCGTGCTCATGTGCTAGCTTAGGTCTCTCTTCCTCTTCTTATAAAGCTGCCAGTTCCACTCCCATTAATTCTTTATCCCATTGTTAATCCATGAATGGATTAATCCATTCATGAGGGCAGAGTCCTCATGACCCAATCACCTCTTAAAGGCCTCACATCTCCATACTGCCACATTGGGGATTAAGTTTTAATACAAGTTTTGAAGGGAATATTCAAGCCATAGCACTTAAGGACTTAGCACTTAATTAATTAATTAATTAATTTGAGACAGGGTCTCACTCTATCTTCCAGGCTGCAGTGCAGTGTGCGATCATAGCCCACTGCAGCCTCAAATTCTTGGGCTTAAACAATCCTCCCATCTTAGCCTCCCAAGTAGCTGGGGCTACAGGCATGTGCCACCATGCCCAGCTAATTTTTAATTTTTTTTTTTTTTTTTTTTTTTTTTTTGGTAAGAGATGGGTTCTCGTTATGTTGCCCAGGCTGATCTCAAACTCCTGGCCTCAAATGACTCTCTCACCTTAGCCTCCCAAAGTACTGGGAGTGCAGGCATGAGCCACTGCACCCAGCCCCATAGCGATTCTTGAGTAGCTTTTTGATTATCTTGAATTTAATAGTTTCCTAAGTATCAATCACTCATTCTTCTCTAAAGGAATGTATGCATCTCCTCACACCACAACAAAATTATCAGTACTGATATTCATTTATTTATTTAGGAGATGCCTGTCCTGGCTTCTTCCCTTCTGCCTCTGTCTAATCAGGTTCCCTCTGGGTCTGGGGTCCAGCTATCTTTACTACTATTCTGAGGATCCTCTATGCCTCCTGTGGTCCAGCTCCTGTTTCCTAGAGCCCAGGTCCTCTTTCTTGGCTTCTACTCTTTTTTTTTTCTACTTTCCTAAACTTTATTAAAGAAAAAAGTAATGGTGGTAAACCTCTAGAACTTACTCAATTTTCTGGGATTCCTCCCCCGAGAATGTGATATATTGATTTCCAAACATGCCGGAAGTATACATGGTTCCCAATTGTACTAAATAGACTAAATAGGTGAAAAGCTGAAGTCCTAAAGTGTTCATCTTCCAACTTTTCCCAGCCTGTGGTCTGTCCTTGCATCAGCAATAATTGCCTGAACAGCTGCTATGGCTTCATTAATTTTTGTCTGTAGCTGTCTGAGCTCTTCTGTATACAGCAGTCACAGAATTTGAGTAGCTTCATTAAGAACTGCATCTCCTGTGTCAAAACCAAGAATATGTTTGTCTAAAGCAACAGGCAAGCCCTCTTTTGTTTGATTTGCTTTAGCAACTGCATCCTGTGTCAGGTGCTCCTGAACCAAAATTTGAATTGCCTTAAGCATTACCAGGCAATCATCATGACATTGAACCTGAAGCAGGTTAGCCAAAGCCATTACACCAGGCTTAAAATCAGGATTATTTACGTCCAAATTTATCAATGGTTCTGCATTTTTAGTTGCATTGTCAGCAGTTTTTGCATTATCAGGTACTAAGTCCTTGTATTTTTCAGCATTATCTCCATATTCAAATCTAACAGCTAAACCAAGAAGCCAGTCAATAGCTTCTTGTCGATCTTGAATCTTTAAACGACAGTTAACATCTCTGAGATACTTTTGAAAGAACTCGGGCCAGTCACTGCTGTGGATGTTTCTTAAATTACCTCTGTCTTCAGTCTTGTAGTATCTGATTTTCTGGTCTTCAAGCCAAACAGTGAAGTTTCTAAATTCTGTTTCATCTTTGCAGTTGAAACCGGCGGGGTTGTGGTAGTCAAGAGCCGTCAGCTTTCATTGGAACATGCTCCCCGCTTCTCACTCTCTTTGGCTTTTACTCTTTTACTTTGGCAAGGAGCTTATCCGTCACTAACTTCCTGGGACTTGCATGCCTGAAAATGCCATTCTTTTTCCTACCTTCACCTTGAGGTAGTTTGGCTGGGTACAGAGTTCGAAAGGAAAATATTTTTTGTTTTAACTTTGAAGTCACTGATATATTTCCTTTGAGTTCTGGGTTGCTCTAGAGAAGCAGGATGTAATTCTGATTCATTCATAAGTGATCTGCTTCTGTTCTCTCTGGAAGCTTTTGGGATCTTCACCTCATCTTAGAGTTGTAACGTTCCCTGATGAAGCCCCCATGTGGTGGGTCTTTTTTCTCCTACTGTGCTGCCCAGCCGGGGGCCCGGTTAGGAAACACCCATATCTTCAGTGCTGGGGCACTTTCTTGAACTTCCCCCCTTCCGCATCCACTCTCCGCGTTTCCTCTGGAGCTCCTCTTACATGGTGGTTGGGATGCCTAGATTGCTGTTCTGAGCCCGGAGCCTTTCTGGTTGAGCCTCCACAGAGACTGAGCCTCCTGTTTTTCTGGGCAGAGGGAGGAGAGCCAGGGACAGCCCCTCCAGTCTCCAGCCCCACCCCACACCCCACCCTCCCAGTGGGAGCCTTTCCCTTGGATGTCTAGAAAGCGACAAGTATAATGATTTATGGAAAATCTTTGCTGTAATATAGGTGGCATGGGTCAGGCCTTGCTAATTAATGCAGGTGCCTATTTTTACCAGACAACTGCTAAGCCCTTCCTGCCTTGAATGACTAAAGACAAACTTCCGATTGAGTTCTCTTTGCATTCTGCATGCTCCTTTTCTATTTCTGGTGTGTATCCTCCTTGCTGGTTGGCTTAAGGTTCTCCTGGGCATCTTACGCAGTCTGATTTCTACAGTCCAGGGTGAGCTGCCAGACGGTCCTTTGTGCCTCATAGTTTCTCGGCTTCTGGGGGCTCTGCACCTCCGCTTTGTACCTCTGGTCTGGGTGCAGTCCCCTCAGGCTGCCTTCCTGGGGCTGTGCCCCACCTCCCTCCCGGCCTTCACTTTCTCTCTGGTCCCTGTCTCCCTGAGTCCAGCTGCAAGCCTGCTGCCACTCCCGGGTCCCAGACCTTGAGGCAGAGCCGGTCTTCAAAGGCACAAGTGTCCTCAGTCTGTCCGATCTCATGGTTCACTCTGTTGAGCCCCTGGGTCTTGCCTCAAGAAAATGATGCCTCTTCTAAAGTGGATTTGTGAAATATGTAGAAGCACCCCCTCTTCAGTAGCCTTGGTTTCCCTTTGAACTCCAAAGATTAGATCCATCTGTTGTGCAGGATCTTCAGGAACTGCTGAAAGCCAGGGTCACCGCTCAACCACTAGTCATTGCCCACGATGGGCAGGACATCATTCTAGGCACAGAATTCTCCCATCTTTCTTCAGCCCTTCCTGTCACCATGATATCCAGGGGGCTACCAGGAGAGGGTCAGCCAGCTCCTTATTTGGAGATATTTGTCCTGTGTATTCTCTTTTCATCTTCTCCTGGTAACCTCTAAGCATTGTGACATCCAGCCACTGCCCCAAAGCATGAAAGGATCTGGCCTTTCCTTGATCCCTGGGACCTCCCCCATGCCCACCATTCATTCATCAGGTGCATTCCAAAATTATATTGCTCCTACAAAAGAACGAGGGGAAAGGGGAAGACAGAGCATTTCAAGTCAAAGGGAAGCCACTCAGATTTACACATCAGGAAATGCAATGACAGGGGACTGTTAACTCCTGGATCCTGGGAACAGTAAGGAAGTAATGTTAACCTGAGTAGCTCTGACCCCCCGAGTTCTGACTGATGCCATTGTTGAGCTGTGTCTTAGCTGCTCTATTTATCACAGGCCAATGAGGATCTGCAAAATGGTATTGTTGGGAAGAAGTAAATTTAAAATGTTTAGTGTTCAGAAAACTGAATTCAACCTAAGGAAACTCTGTCTCATTCAGACCTGGGGACCTCACTCACTACCACATGTCTGCTCCAGATGCTAACCAGGCTGTGCTATCCTCTGGCAGCTGCCACCCCTGCCTATCAGGCCATGGTTCAGGATGGAGCCCCCTCTACCCTTGACAGCTTCCTGGTTTCTTTTAAGCCTTAAGCCTCAGCCCTTCACAGGTTGAGGGATGAGATTTATTTTGTTTAGAAATAAATAGGTTATACAGGGAAGCAAGCTTCTAGGAAGGAAGGTGGAACTTCCATGTTTTTCTTCTTTTTCTTCGTTCCCCTGGTCATGGTCTTCTTTGCTGTGTTTAAAGAGGAGTGTCTTTGAGCCAATAAAGAAATCCTCTGGAGAGCATCTGAAAGTATTTAAAAATGTTCCCCGGCTGAGAACGGTGGCTCATGGCTGTAATCCTAGCACTTTGGGAGGCTGAGGTGGGAAGATGGCTTGAGCCCAGGAGTTCAAGGCTGCAGTGAGCCATGATGGTGCAACTGCACTCCAGCTTGGGTGACAGAGCGAGACCCCATCTAAAATAAAATAAAATAAAATGTGCATTTCAACATGTAAACACCGGGCATGTCCACCCCAGGAGAGATCATTAAGTACCCAGGGACTTGCACCTTAGGTGCACCTTCAAGCACTTGACCTGTGACTGCTGCAAATACAGTCATGCTGTCAGTGAGAGACCTTACAAAATGATGGCTAGGGCCCCAGAAAGTTCTAAACAGGACAAAGGCTACCAGCTCTCCATTTTTATAGTCATTGCAGTCCTGGTAAATTAGGTGAATATTGAAACCATACAAGTATGTTAAATGGAATTAGGGTCTAGTCTCAGGAGGTCATTTGGGATATGGAACAGTTGCCCTTGGCCCCTAAAAACCCATGGAGCCCCCCTAGTCATTGTGACCACCAAAAACAACTCCACAAATTTCCAAAATGCCTTGAGGGGGCAGTACCCCAATGCAGAGAACCACTGGTGCAGAGTCTACCATAGAAATCAAGACAGGTGGCCGGGCATGGTGGCTCATGCCCATAATCCTAGCACTTTGGGAGGCCAAGGTGGGTGGATCCCCTAAGGTCAGAAGTTCGAGACCAGCCTGGCCAACATGGCAAATCCCTGTCTCTACTAAAAAATGCAAAAATTAATCGGGCATGGTGGCGCATGCCTGTAATCCCAGCTACTCAGGAGGCTGAGGCAGGACAATCACTTGAACCCAGGAGGCAGATGTTGCAGTGAGCTGAGATCATGCCATTGTACTCCAGCCTGGGCTACAGAGTGAGACAGAATCTGTCTCAAAAAAAAAAAAAAAAAAAAAAATCAAGACAAGTGATAGCACATATATTAGTCAGGGTTTTTCCAAGAAACCGAACCTATAGGATCTGTGTCTACAGCTTTATCTAGAAAGAGAGAGAAAGAGGAATTATTTTAAGGAATTTTCCTTAGTTCCTTAAATTAACTCCTAAATTATTTATTAATTCCTAAATTATGAATTCCTTAAAATAATTCCTCTGTTTTAAGGAATTAGCTCACACACAGTGGGGGCTGACAAATATGGAATCAACAGGGTGTTGGGTGGAGACCCATGAAAGACTTGATGTTGCAGTCTTGAGTCCTCAGGCAGTTTGGAAACAGAAGCCCCTCTTTCCCTGGGGACCTCTGTCTTTTTCTTATAAGGCCTTCAACTGTTTGGATGGGGCCTGCCCCCATCATGAAGAGTAATGTGCTTTACTCAAAGGCTGCTGCTTTAAATGCTAGTGACATGTGAAAAGTACCTTCACAGCAACATCTAGGCTAGGGTTTGACCAAACAACTGCGTACAATGGCCTAGCCAAGCTGACATATAAAATTAACTATCACAGCATATGACAAAGAAGTTGAAGAAGTTTCCATCCTATAATAGGAACTCAAAGGGTAGTCACTGTAAATATCTTCATGTGTTTTTCTTTGCAGCATAACCAGTGTGCAGCGTTCAGACAATGGGTCGTATATCTGTAAGATGAAAATAAACAATGAAGAGATCGTGTCTGATCCCATCTACATCGAAGTACAAGGTAAGTCCACAGACCAGAGTCCCATTGCCAGAGAACTGTTTGTTTTAGGGCCTGTGTTAAATGTTTTGTGTATAATACTCTAGAGTTTTGCCTGCCTATTTATAACTCTGTATGCAAACCTTGCAAATCTATCAGCACTGAAATTTTACAAGGTACTCCACTTTGTAGTCTATAAGTAATAATGAAATGAATTCAATTCCTGAAGTTTGAGCTCTATTATAGGCATTACAGGTGAGATAAAAAGAGATTTTGGACTTCCTTGTCCACAGATTATTGACAATAAAAATAAGCTGAAGACTTCTTTTTAAGAAGCAAAATGCTTTCTACTATCCAGTTTCCAGTACTGGTACCAGATACCACTCACCTGGTCAAGTGGCTGTTGGCTTATTATTCAGCATCTTTTCCTGTCTTGCCTATGCAGACAGTGAAACCCTGGAGGGTGAGTGGTTTTCCTCGACTGGCTCAACAGCTCAGCCTGAGACTTCTTTTGGGCACTGGTATCTGTCAGGTGCATGGTTCAGAGAAATTCCATGACATCATATGAAGGTCCATGGGGATGAAGAGTGAGACATCAGGCTAGGAAAAGGCAATCTCTGCCCTCAGGGAACTTGAACTCTAATGGGCAATGTGAGCTGATGCACAGGTGAACCAGGCCAGGTGAGCCCAGGTCCTGGTTTGGTGCCCTGATTTGGGGGTTTGCATGCCTGGTTCTGCAATGGCAGTGCTGCAAGGAGGAAGCATCTTTATTATCACCCTCAGAGGTCACTCCTCACTACCCCTGGGGGCTTCCCTCTGGGGGCCTTGTGCCCCTCCTCTCTGAGGTGCCCCTCTTAGCAGAGCCATTAGGTCACCTCCCTTTTCTACTTTATCCTGACCTTCCTTGTCACAGGCTTTAGAGCAGGTGATTAGCTTTTCAGTCAGAAACATCTCCCACTGAAAGTCTGCTATGCTACCCATTCTTTTGTGAACCTGAAATTGATGCCCACCAATGTGGAGGGAAGCCTCAGGGAGCACAGATGGAAGGAGGAGGAGTGAGTGGGGAAGACAGAGGGGAGGGGGAAGAGACTCCCTCAGAGGAGTCTCTTCATGACCTTTGCTCTAGGCCCATCCCAGGCTGGACAGCTCTTTCTCAGGGTTACGTCAACATCAGCCAAAGAGGGGGTTTCCTACATTTGCAGCTAATTTGGGAAAAAAATATTTACAGGAGATTTTATTTGTCAGAATCCCAGAAAAATGCCCAGAGCAGGAACATATTAAGTCCAAACAGAGTTTCAAAAAAACCTTGAAACAGGATAAAAGAATTCCATTTCACATAACTGCCACGTCATTCCTGCTGGAACCAGATCTGTGAGTTCCCAATCCCCAAAAGAACACAATTAGCTGGACTCGTTATATTTTTGAACACCTGCCCCAAATGAGTACTGACTGGCTTTCTCTGAGCTTCCTTGGGACCTTGATTTTGGAAAGTACGGTAGATTTAAGGATTGTAACTGCAACTGTGTTTATACAGTTTTCATGAGAATTTGCTTTGAAAAGCACTCAGCCTTATACAAGGCTGTGGATTTTAAAATTCCTTATGACCCATCTGAAAGTCACACACATAATAGAATGTCTTCGTACCATGGACAGATCTATTACATAGCTTTGTTTTACTCTGCGTTTATTTTGGTAAGAAATACTGAAAACCTGCCAACTAGTCAGTCCCAGGAGTTTGAGCAACACCTGATGTAAGAACTGCCTGTGGCCTGCCTTCTGGTAAAACCAGTTCTGAGTCACTATTTATAGCCCCTTTGGCAAAGCATCCTAGAAAGCTGGCTTAAAGTAGACTGGCAGGAATTAGCCTCTGTGCTCCTTCTTATCCAACTTAAGGAGGTGAAAACTGATTAATACAGACCTGCCTGAGGCTGTAGATAAAGAACTCTTGTTTGCCAAGGCTGGGCGCGGTGGCACGCCTGTAATCCCAGCACTTTGGGAGGCCAAGGGGCAAGGATCACTTGAGGTCAGGAGTTCGAGGCCAGCCTGGCCAACATGGTGAAACCCCATTTCTACTAAAAATACAAAAATTAGCCAGACCTGGTGGTGTGCGCCTGTAATCCCAGCTACTTAGGAGGCTGAGGCAGGAGAATCACTTGAACCCAGGAGGTAGAGATTGCAGTGAGCCGACATCAGGCCACTGCACTCCAGCCTGGGTGACAGAGCAAGACTCCATCCCCACCCGCCCCCCACAAAAAAAGAAATCTATTGCCAAGTTCTAGTCCAGTTTCCATTCCCCTTTGGGCTCTGTCTCTGTTTTCAGATCTGAAACATTCTTTTGTGTAACGTTTTCTCCGCAGGACTTCCTCACTTTACTAAGCAGCCTGAGAGCATGAATGTCACCAGAAACACAGCCTTCAACCTCACCTGTCAGGCTGTGGGCCCGCCTGAGCCCGTCAACATTTTCTGGGTTCAAAACAGTAGCCGTGTTAACGAACAGCCTGAAAAATCCCCCTCCGTGCTAACTGTTCCAGGTAAGTCCGAGCTGTGGGCTTATTGATTTATTCTCTAATAGCGGACAGGATCAAAAGTTTGGCGACCCTTGCTGTGCACCACTAGCAGGCAGTGGAGACAGATGAAAATACAGGTGTGGCAGCAAAGTTATGGGACCAGGTAGACGGGAAGGCAGGTGGGAATCACAGGTGTGAGAATTCACAGGCCAAGGTGGGGAAACAGGTGAGGGCCTCTGGGGGTACATAGGGTTAAGTTGTTGAAGTGGCCAGAATCCCTGAGCCCAGGCAGCAGGAGCCCTGCTCGCATCTCCCATTGTAGCTGTGGCCTTGCTGGTCTGTCAGGTCTTGCGTTTATGGAACCACTGACGTGAAGACCTCAGTGGATTTGACACCGAGAGAGTGGATTCATCATGGGGAGCTATTGCAGGAAGTGTGAGCCCTTGGGGGATTGTGGCTGAATGGACATTCCATGGTCGTCTTGATTTCCATCCAAATGAAAGTGGCCCAGTTTTAGTCCCGCACATCACTGATGATGCTCTTGTCAATACCACTGACGTTTCCCATGCACTGAAGTCAGTGGGCTCTTCTGTGGCTCCTCTCATTGCATCTTTCAGCAACATCAGGCAAGGTTACCACACTCCCTCCCTCCTTCCTTTCTCCAGGGACTGCTGTATGCCTGAGGCTGTTCTAGGCCTTCAGGACACAGCGTGGACTTTTGGAAACACTGTCCTGGCTTCCATTTCATTGAGTGACACCAATTCATTGCTCCTCCTTTGTCATTGACTGGAGTTTTGAATGGCAGGGCTCAATCCTGGGTCCCCTTCTTTTACTCTGAGATGCTTCCCCTTGGGAGAGTTTCTTTGGGCCCATGGTTTAACACCATCTATAAGAAATGACCTTGAACTCCAGCCCAGACCCCTCTCCTGAGTTGCAGGCTCATGTATCCAACCGCCTCCTTGGCATTGCCACTTGCTGGGTACATAGGCATCTCAGAATGAAACTCTTAACCCCAGACTTGTTCCACTCCAGAATTCTCCATCTTAGTGAATGATATCACCATTTTCCCATCCTTCCTTTTTCTCATTTTTCATGTTGGCATCAGCAGTTCTGTCAGTTCTGCTCCTACAATACATCTGAAATCTGTCTTTTCTCCACCCTGCTGCCAGCACCCTGGTCCGTGTCACTGCCAGCTCTTGCTGTCGCCTCTGCAGTAGCTTCCTAACTGGGCCTTTTTGCTCCCAGCCTTGTCCCCACTCCCAACTACCCTCCTGGGTGGCAGATGACATCACCTGCCTGCTGAAAACCCTGCAGTATCTCCCTTCTGTCTTAGACTGTCACCCAGTCCTTCCTGCCCTTTCCCTAGGGGCTGCGTGTCCTAGCTCCTTCCTATCTATCCAACCCAGCCCCATCCCATGCTCTCCATCCTGCTTGTTAGGCACGAGTCACATTGATTGTCTTTCACTTCTCTAGGCACATCCTGTTCCTTCCTGCCTCAGGACCTTTGCACTGTCTCTTCTATCTGCTTGCAGTGTTCTTCCATCGGCCCTTTGTCCCATGACCCAACTCATCACTTCTTCAGAGAGGCCATCCCTGATCACTCTTAACTGTTTTAGGTCCCCTCAATCCCATATTCCTGTGTACTCCTCCATTGCACTTGTCACCGTCTATAATTACCCAGTTTATTCATTGGGTCTCCTTGTCTAGCTTCTTAGAGAACATATGCTCAGTAAGGACAAGAGCTTTGTCTCTCCCATTCACCTCTGCACTGCCAGTGGCTGAAAAGGTACCTGCCTCCTAGTAGTACTCAGTAAATATTTATGGCTAGGATGGATCAGTAAGTGAATGCCAGCCCCTACCTATTAACTCTGAATCACTTTTCTAACCCGTGACTTCAGGAGGAATGTTATGGTTTTCTCTCCTTCATCTGAGTTTTCTTTGAGTTTTTTTAGGGAATTAAGTAACTTTTTATTCAAAATCAATTTTAAAAAATAGACTCTACCCTTTATAGGATGATCACTCTGAAATCCCATAAAGACTTATTTTCATTGAGGTAAAATTGACATACAATTAAGTGCATAGAATTCAGTTGTACAACTCAGTGAGTTTTCCTAAGTGTAGACACCCATGTAGCTACCACCTCGGTCAAGATATAGAATATTGCCATCACTTCAGAAAGTCCTTCATGATCCCTTCCAGTGGGTCACCATCTCCCATAGGCAATTCTGTTCTTATATCTGTCATCATAGAATAATTTTGCCTGTTCTTGAACTTCAAAAAATGGAATATAAAGTATGTACTTTTTTGTGTCATACATACTTTCCGTGGCTTCTTCCACTCAACATGATATCTTTGAGATTCATCCATGATGTTTTATCACTAGTACATCATCTTTATTTTTATTTTTATTTTCAGAAGGAGTCTTGCTCTGTTGCCCAGGCTGGAGTGCAGTGGCTCAATCTTGGCTTACTGCAAGCTCCACCTCCTGGGTTCAAGCGATTCTCCTGCCTCAGCCTCCTGAGTAGCCGAATTACAGGCACCTGCCACTACGCCTGGCTACTTTTTGTATTTAAGTAGAGACAGGGTTTCAGCATGTTGGTCAGGCTGGTCTCGAATTCCTGACCTTAAATGATCCGACCGCCTCCACCTCCTAAATTGCTGGGATTACAGGCATAAGCCACCGTGCCTGGCCAGTACATCATTTTTTATTGCTGATATAGTACTCTGTTGTATTAATGTGTTAATTTGGTTTATCCATTTGTTTGGTAAACATTTTGGATATTTGTGGCAGTTGGCTATTATGAATAAAGCAGCTATGAATATTTGAGTGCAAGTCTTTTGGAGGACATATGTTTTTATTTTGTCTTGGATAAATGCCTAGGAGAGGAATTGCTGCTTCATATGTTTAACTTTTAAAGAAACTACCAAATGGTTTTCCAAAGTGATTGTGCCATCTTTCATTCCAGCAACAGTGGATGAGAGAGTTCCAGTTGCTCATCGATATGTTTACCAACATTTGATTTGGTCAGTCTTCTTAAGTGTAGACATTTAGTGGATTTGAAATCTAGTAGATTATTGTGGTTTTAGTTTGCATTTCATTTCCCTGATGTCTAATTTTAGACAAGACTTAGAGAAGATTTTAGTGTCTCTTCTTGTGCTTATTAATCAGTCATGTCTCTTTTTTGGTGAAGCGTCACTTCAGGTCTTTTGCCCAATTCTATAAAAATCCTAGAATCCACTTGACAATGTTTACACAAAAATACCTGCTGTGATTTTGTCTGCAATCGTATTGTTTTTATAGATAAGTTTAGAAGAAAAAGACATCTTGACAATATTGAGCCTTCCAATCAATGAATACATTATATCTCTTCATTTATTTAGGTCTTCTTTAATTTCTCTCAGCAATTTTTGTAGTTTTTGTTGTAGAGGTCTTACAAGTCATTTGTTAAATTTTTTTTTATTTTAAAATTGGAATTGTATGTACTTAAGGTATACAATGTAATGTTTTGAAATACATAGTGAACTGATTATTCCAGCCAAGCTCATTAATATAGCTATCTTTTCACATAGTTACCATTTGTGGCGGAGTTCGGGGGGCGGGGAGGGAGGGAGGCGACAGGGGAGGGCATGTAGGAGGATGAGAACACTTAAGATCTACCCTCTTAGCAAATTTCCAGTATACTGTGCAATTTTGTTAACTGTGCTGTACATTAGATCTCTAGAACTTATTCATCCTGTGGACTAAAACTTTCTACCTTTTGACCAAGTCCTCACCCACCTCCACCCACCCTTTTAAACCACGGTTCTATTCTTTGTTTCTGTGAGTTTAACTTTTTTAGATTGCACATGTAAGTGAGACCATGCAGTAGTTTTTCTTTTCTTTGTCTGGTTTATTCACTTAGCATAATGTCTTCCAGTTTCATCCATGTTGTCATAAATGCCAGGATTTTCTTTTTTGTACACGCTGAATAATATTCCCATATATATATATATATATATATATATACCATAATTTTTTAATCCATTTATCTGTTTATGGACACTTACATTGTTTCCGTGTCTAAGCTATTATGAATAATGCTGCAATGAATATGGGACCACAGATACCTCTTTGAGATCCTCATACCATTTCCTTTGGATATATATACCCAGTATGGGAATTGATGAATCATATGGTAGTTCTATTTTTAATTTTCTGAGGAACCTCCAAACTATTTTCCTTAATGGCTATGCCAATTTACATTTTCATCAACAGTGTACAGCCAATCAGAATGCATTAATTTAGTACTTATGTACTAATAAATAGCATATTTGATTTTATTTCCCAATTATTTACTATTAGTAAATAGAAAATAGATTTTTGTATGTTTTATAAAAATAGGGACAAAATCTGTCCATCTCTGTTTGTCTAGAACTTTTCTGTATGTTTTCTCAAAATTAGAAGTGTGTTTTTGTGACAAGATGTGCAAACTATTTTAATACCCAAGGCTGTAGTTTGTCTTAGCTTGGAGATCTGATTTATTTCTAAAAGGTCAGTTACACCCTTACAACGACCACCTATTTTGCATTTCAAGTTCTTTACAATTTAATTTTACTTTTTAAAATTTGAAGCTTTTTTTTTTCTTTGGTAGAGAAGACTTGGGCTCACGTTTTTTTCCAGGGTGTTACGTGAAAATTCTCAAGGTGGACTACTAGGTTTAGCTGGAATCAATCTGACAGTGTTCATATCATCAGTACCCTTTAAAAGAGTCATTGGAATTACATGATGATCTGAAAAGTTTAGGAGACAGACCCAGACAGCAGGGCAGCCTAATCCAATCATCCTTAAAAATCTGAACAGTCAGAATAGAACTGTAGCATACAGCCTGTTGGTCACAGGAACAAGAACTATTTGTTCATTTGCATCTCACCAAATTCTTACATGCACTGATCCAACAAATGAGCCAAAACTTAGGCTCCAAAAATGTTCATTTTCGTCTTCTAAAACTCTGTAAAGTCTATCCAGGGTAGATACCTGTCTGAGTTTGTCCAGCTGACCAGTGCACGGGGTGGTGGAACCGAGTGTTGTTGCTTTCCCACTGTACACACTCATGGAATCCACAGTACCACATGCTGTCAGGGCAATGGCTCCACACTAATCTTCCCTGTTATTGTTCCAGTTTTAGTGTATGTGCTACCAAAGCGAGCACCACCAGTATTTCTTTAGGAGGGATATCTAAATGGGAGTTGAAGGGAAAAGTGAACATATTTTAAATTTTAATACATTCTAATCTCCCTCCAAAAAGGCCTTGCAAGTTGGCAATCTTTTTAGTGGAATATGGTAATATGTGCCCTATATCACATACACACAGTATTCAGTCTTGACTTTTTGCCAGTCTGATGGCAAATACTCTCATCTGTCAGAATATCTGATTTACGCCTCTGCCTGTTTCCATGAGACCAGGGGGGCTCTTGAAGGCAGGAACTGAAGGATTTTTTGGCCACATATTCAGGGGTCTGGTTCAGTGCCTGGAACATGGTAGTTGTAGAAATGACCAGTAGGAGAGCACTTGCGGCAGCATTCACCAGAAGGTGCTTCTGAATGTGGGTGTGCATGATGAATTCACTCTCCATCAGGGGCCATCGGGTACCAAAAACCAAAAACTGAACCATGATGATGGAAATCCTCACTAACATTTCACCAGCTGTTCTAGAGTTTTTAGAGTAGTGACAAATGTGTCTGTAAATGAAGAACTCTTACTTAAACTGCTGAGTCGAAATTCTAGTTTCTAAATCAATACGCAGTATACCGCACTGCTCAGGCAGTTTTCCTATTTGTGAAGGGTTTGGAAAGTGGGGCTGCTGACTTTATTTTTCTTAGTGACAGTATTTATTAAATGCCTGTTTCATAGTGAAGATGGTCTAGCTCATGCTATACAGTGAAGTGAAGGCCTGGAGGAGTAATCATATATTCAAGCCAGAAACCTGAAACTTACCCAGATTCTTCTCTCTCGCCCATCCAACAGTCATCACCAAGATCTGTACATTGTTCTCTCTTTTTTTTTTGTTTTGAGATGCAGTTTTGCTCTGTCGCCCAGGCTGGAGTGCAATGGCGTGATCTCTGCTTATCGCAACCTCTGCCTCCAGGGTTCAAGTGATTCTCCCGCCTCAGCCTCCCAAGCAGCTGGGATTACAGGCACCCACTATCATGCCCGGCTCATTTTTGTATTTTTGTAGAGATGGGGTTTCACCATGTTGGCCAGGCTAGTCTTGAACTCCTGATCTCAGGTGATCCACCCACCTTGGCCTCCCAAAGTGCTGGGACTACAGGCGTGAGCCACTGTGCCCAGGCCCTGTACATTGTTCTCAAATGTCAATTGTGCTCATTTCTTCCTCTGCCCTTCCACCACCATGGCCTTAATTCAGGCTTTCCTGGTTCATCGCCAGGACTGTTGCTGTCACCTCTTACCTGTGGTCCAATCTTTCTCGTTCTCATCCCCCTACCCCACCACCATAGTGAGTGATGCTCCACCTTGTGATTAAAGAGGTTCTCCTAAAATACAGAGCTTCTCATTCCTGGCATGACTCCCCACTACATGCAGGTTAAAATCTACCATTTTACCCTGAAGTCTGAGACCCATTGGGGCTTCAGCCTAACTTTCCCACGGTCTCCGCCTGCCTCACCTGCAAAGGCACCTGCTTGTGAGACCTGATGAACTTTTCGCAGGCCCATGAGCGACTGTGCCTTCTTGCCAAGCTGCCTTCTCATTGTCTGGCAAACCCCTGTTCACTTGACACACAGATCACGGCTCTCCTCTGAAAACCTTCCTGGTCACCCCCTTGTCTGTATATTCACAAGGCCTCTTCCCCATTGCATTGAAGAACAAACCCTCTATCTATTTGTCAGGCCTCCAAGAAGACTTACTAATCAAGTGATTATTATGTATGATTTATTAGTTAGGTTAGCCCCATCACCCAGCACAGTGCCTGGCACATAAGAACTATGTGAATGAATGAATGAACTAATGAGCAAACAAATGAATTACAAATAGTCCCCGAGTTTTAGGTCCTTTCACTGGGACAAAGGGACATCATGATAATGAAGTAACTTGTATTTATAAAATTATTTTTACATTTAAACTCTTATCTCTTTTCTCATTTATATCTCCAGCTGGTCCTGTAAAATTAATAGAACAGGATCTTTAATGTCCATTCTGTAGACCCAAAGGGCTAAAACAAGTCCAGGGAGGAAGGGCGTGGGGCCCAGGCTGCTGACTGTGGGGATTGTGCTGGGCTCACAGGGGTTACTCTCAAAAGTCAGCTAGTTGCTGACTGTTCCCTTGTGTCTGCGTTTTGTAACATTATAAAAGAACTACGTAAAAACTTATTTTTAATTAATTTTTTTTTAATTTTGAGGAAGCTTTAGTTTGATACCTGAGTCCCTTCCAGTAATTCATGTATGAGGAACTAGGTGCTGAGGTCAGCTTTGGGGGGCCTTGTGCAGAGTAGCTGCCCCTGACATGCTGATGTAAATAAAGCAGTGAGTGTTCCCAGGGGACGCCATTCTATCTGAAATTGACCCCTAAGTAAACTTTGCCGACCCCTTCTACTGAGGGAATGCTAAGTGGTTTAAATAGCCGATTGTTTGGACTGCTTTGAGCAAGCATTGTTTATGGAACAGGAAGGTCATATGCCTTTTCCCTCTTGATACAAGTTTTTATTTTTCCTCTGTGTTGTATGAGCTTTCTTTAAGGGACATGAAAAGAAGTACTTTGTCTAAAGGACATTATTCTGAGTGAACAAAGCCAATCTCAAAGGTTACGTGCTGTACAATTCCATTTAGATAACATTCTCAAAAGGACAAAATTTTGCTAATGGAGAACATATCAGAACAATTTCAGGGGTTAGGTTTGGGGGTAGGATGTTCTATAAGGGGGTAGAAGAGGGAGCTTCTTTTTGGCAATGGAACAGTTCTGTAGCCACAAATCTGTACCTGTCATAAAATTGCATAAACCTATACACTCATTCTTCCCCCCAAAATAAAACAAAGCAGAAACTGGTAAAATCTTAATAAGGCCTGTGTTTTAGTTAATAATATTGTACCAAAGTCACTTTCCTGGTTTTGATCATTATACCATGGTTATGTAAGATCTTATCATTGGGTAAAGCTGGGTGAAGGATGTACAGTAACTCTGCTATTTTTGCAACTTCTTGTAAGTCTAAAGTTATTTCAAAATAAAAAGTTTCTTTTTTAAAGAATTTTATCATGGGCAAAACCAAATCCCAAAATAAAGAGCAGAACTGCAAAGAGCTTTAGCTTCATGGTGTTCAATGGTGGAGTGCTTTATAAGTTAGTGGGTAAGCATGTTCTCACTCATAGGTGGGAATTGAACAATGAGAACACTTGGACACAGAAAGGGGAACATCACACACCGGGGCCTGTCATAGGGTGAGGGGAGGGGGGAGGGATAGCATTAGGAGATATACCTAATGTAAATGACGAGTTGATGGATGCAGCAAACCAACATGGCACATGTATACATATGTAACAAACCTGCACATTGTGCACATGTACCCTAGAACTTAAAGTATTAAAAAAAAAAAGTTAGTGGGTAAGAGCTCTAGCTTTGGCATGTAGACTGATGCCACTTTGCTGTCATGTATCCCTGGGCAAGTTACTCAACTTCTGTATATAAAATAGGGATAATAGCAGTGTCTACTACATAAAACATTTATGAGGTTTCAGTGAAATAATGAATGTAAAGCCCTTGGTACCAGGATTGCCTATAGGAATGATTGAAATGCTACCTATTATATTTTTTGTGTTGTTATTTTTATATGCAATAGTTACTAACTCATTGTCAATTTTGACCTGCCTTTCTGTTAACAGTGGTGGGCTTGCGTTGATCTTTCAGGCTTTTCTTTTTTAAAAAATACACATTTTATATTTAAATCCACATCTAGGAAACAGCTAAGCTAGCTTTTGTTTTAGTTAGCTGGATATAATTATTAATATCCTTGTAATAACAGAAACAACAGTAATAACTAGAATTTATACAAATTAGTTCATAATGCCCACAGTACTTTCTGTAAAGAATTACTTTGAATCACATAGCAAGCTGTGATAATTAGGCAGTTTTGTTGTTGTTGTGTTTAGAGACAAGGTCTTCTCTGTCACCCAGGCTGATGTGCAGTGGCGTGATCTCTACTCAATGTAACCTCAAAACTCCTGCACTCAAGCAAATCCCCCTACCTCAGCGCCCCAAGTAGCTAGGACTACAGGGATAAGAAGCTTTTTTCAAATTTTTTGTAGGACGGGATCTCACTATGTTGTCCAGGCTAGTTAGGCATTTTTAATACCCATTTTACATATTAGAAAAACATTTGGAGCTATTAAGAGACCTGCCTTCTTTTTTTCTTTTTTCTTTTTTTTTTTTTTATGTCACCCAGGCTGGAGTGCAGTGGCGTGATCTCAGCTCACTGCAAGCTCCACCTCCCGGGTTCACGCCATTGTCCTGCCTCAGCCTCCCAAATAGCTGGGACTACAGGGGCCAGCCACCTAGCCCGGCTAATTTTTTGTATTTTTAATAGAGGTGGGGTTTCACCGTGTTAGCCAGGATGGTCTCGATCTCCTGACCTCGTGATCCGCCCGCCTTGGCCAGTGCTGGGATTACAGGTGTGAGCCACTGCGCCCGGCGAGACCTGCCTTCTTAAGGTCTATTCTCCATGTGGCCGCTGGAGCAATCCTGATACAAGTCAGATCATATCAGCCCTCTGCTCAGAGCTCTGGGTTTTCTACCCAACTCAGAGAAAAAGGCAAAAGGCCTCTCCCACATGTTGCCTCTGCCTAGAACCTCCCCAGGCCCCCGAGTATCAACTTGGCCCATTTCCTCACTCCTACTCTTTCCTCAGAGGCCATTTCTCAAGGAACCACCTCTGATACCCCCCCGCCCATCATTTAAAATTACAGCTTGCTTCCCCACCCATCCTGACCCTCTGATCGTCTTCTGTTTTTCCATAGTACTTATCACCTTCTAATATATCATACATCTTACTTATCAAGGTTATTATTTATTGCCCATTTCTCCCCCTGAAAATGTGAGCTCTATAAGGGTGGGGATCTTGGTTTTATTCATGGATATATCCCAAGTTTCTGGAAAAAATGTCTGGCTTGTAGTACATACTCAGTAAATATTTGTCAAGTCGATGAAAGCAGAGCAGATAGAGAGGTCCAAGTTAAGAAGCTACCTCACTTATGCAGCATGATCTTCCATTTGTTGCTTCCTTTGGTAGAAAGATGGACACTAGGGAAAAAAGAAAAAGAAGGGACAGAATTGTTTATCTAGTTAATTTGCGGGATTGCTTAATCCAGAACTCAAAGAACTGGCTCAACTGTGCTCTTAGGAGTTGCTCCCTCAGCAATTCGGATTGTCCTTCTCTCAAGGGAACATCCTGTTACTGAATGTTCCTTAAAAATATCTGTCAGAGCTGTGTCATAAATATCTTTTCTCAAACCAGCAGAGGACCAAGCAAGAGGGGCGTGAACCATCATAATGGAGTTGGGTGAAAAGGAGAAATTGCTCTAAGAGGGACGACCTACCCACTAGAAGAGGAGTTGGCTCAGGAGATTGTGGGGGTTCCAGTGCCCGGGGCCATTCAGGATAGAGTGGGTGGGAGGGTGGAGACTTAGGGAGTTGGATGCTTTTTCTCCCTGGAAAGTCACAAGGGTTTGGGGCTGTAAATGTCAAGGTCTATTCCAGTCTGGTAGTTACTGTTCATCCACACAGAGAGAACTGGCGAGTGAGAGGGAGCTGTCTTCTCCTAGTGTACACTCATTGCTATGGTCAATCCAGGCTTATAAACGAGTGTCTAGTTGGGAAGCCAGTGCCATTAAGCCATTAAAGTTTAGCTGAAAAATTAAGCAAAGAAGACTATATTTGGCCCTAAGTGCTGTCTGGTTTTGGAGAAATTTACCTTTGGTTTGAACTAGTTTCCTCTTCTCTCTACTGGTATCTCTTTGGCCTATGGGCACCAACCACCTGACCTTGTACACTGTTTTAATACATTGTGTGGTTACTGCCAGGCAATTCAGACTTGGTGTAGGTGTCTTGTGCTAGGACATTTGCTATAGATTGTTTTTTTGACCTTGGGTGCACTATGAAAAGAAACACACAGGAGAAATGACTGTCCATTTGACCTGAAGTCATGTTCTGTGATAATGTTTCCCTTTCAGCATTAATAAACCTGTTAGGACTAAAGATCACTGGGCCTGAAATCTGCTACTATAGGATCCTACTATAGGTTCTATAACTGGATAATGGATCTCAGTGAAATAAACCTCCGGTTTTACCACAGGGCTGGCTCTTCCCCTTATGACAAGTTTGGAATGTAATTTTGTAGTTTGTATTCAAGGGTTTCCTAAGAGTTTTGATAATAATTGAAGTCAAATGACTAATTTTAAACTGCCAATGTCTCCTCCAATATATAAAAAAGGTAAGTTAGTAACTCCCTGTATCTTCTGATTGAGCCAAGGCCAATTTTTCTAAATATAAGCCAGGTTTTGCAAGTTCATGCAGCCTGGTGGTTGAAATGGGCATATCACTTGGGAGCTTAGGATCTGGAAGGTTAAAAGTGATGCCAAGGCATGAAAATCAAAGTGTTAAAGGCCTCACTGTGAAACAGTGATCAGCAGAGCATGGACCCCTTAGTGGGATCAGTGTCTCCATCCTCATCCTATATGTATCTTCTTTCTTAAAATCAATGCTTGACAACGTGCCCAAAGTCCAGTTACTTCGCCAGTTCTCCCTTTCCACCTCCCTATTTTCCTTTCATCTCTTCCTTGCATTACAAAAGAAAAAAGACCTCTCTTGCTTGTCTGGAATCACCACTATGAAGCATCAGTTCTCAATGCTTTGGTCTCAAGATCCTTCGTTTGTTTGTTTGTTTGTTTCTTTTTGGTTTTTTGTTTGTTTGTTTTTGTGTGTGTGTGACAGAGCCTGACTCTGTCGCCCAGCCTGGAGTGCTCACTGTAGCCTCAACCTCCTAGGCTCAGGTGATTCAGCCATCTCAACCTGCCAAGTAGCTGGGAATACAGGTGCATGTCACCATGCTCAGCTAATTTTTGTGTTTTTTGTAGAGATGGGGTTTCACCATGTTGCCCCAGGGTGGGGCAACTTCTGGACTTGAACTCTCGAACTTCTGGACTCAAGCAATCCTCCTGCCTCAGCCTCCTGTAGTGCTGGGATTACAGGAGTGAGCCCACTGTGCTTGGCCTCAAGATCCTTTTACAGTCATAAGTTATCAAGAACCAGAGTTCTTGTTTATGTGGGTCATATCTATCTATATTTACTGAATTAGAAATTAAAACTGAAAACTTTTAAAACACAAAAATACACAAGCATACACTTCATTGGCTAATACATCTATGCTATGGCATCATCATATATCATATAGCCTCTGGGAAATTCTTTTGGAAAATTCCATCATATATTCCTGAGATAATGAGAATTAAAAGAGCAAACAATATATTATTATTATGAAAATAGTTTTGACTCTGAGGACTACAGAAGGGGTCTCTGGAATCCCCAGAAGTCTCTTGACCATATTTTGAGAATGGTTGCTGTGGTGCATTGTCTTGGGGTTAAGAAATTTCCAGAGACAGAAAATTCCAAATTTTGGCTGGACGTGGTGGCTCACGCCTGTAATCCCAGCACTTTGGGAGGCTGAGGCAGGTGGATCACCTGAGGTCAGGAGTTCAAGACCAGCCTGGCCAACATGGTAAAACCCTGTCTCCATTAAAAATACAAAAATTAACCGGGCGTGGTGGTGCATGCCTGTAATCCCAGCTACTTGGGAGACTGAGGCAGGAGAATCGCTTGAACCTGGGAGGCGGAGGTTGCAGTGAGCCAAGATCATGCCATTGCCCTCCAGCCTGAGTGACAGAGCGAGTCTCAGTCTCAAAAAAAAAAAAAAAAAAAAAGAAAAGAAAATTCCAAATTTTGTCCAGCAAAGAAATTGCTCTTCCAATAAAGTTGTACTTATGTTTAAGAATCACTTACATTGTTTTGATTAATTGCATCCTAATAATGAGTATAATCAATTCAGAAGAAAATATTTTTGCAATTTCAAGGTATATATATGTTTTTGTTGCCAATAAGTTCCCATGGTTTAAGCAAAAACTTTCAAATGTGTACCATTAAGATGAAATTCTTGGGGCTGGTAGAAGAGTCATGGTGGAAAACTTGCTGCTGGGGAAGAGTCGTTACAGTGGGTGTTGGTGTCAAGATATTCAAGGTACCTCAAATTACATTTTTTGAAGATGTTTAAATTACGAAAAATTTAAGGATGCAAACTTCAAAATGTGTCAGAGTCCACGTATATTTTTCAAAATTCTCTAGGAGTAATACAAGCAGAAGATATAAAGACCCCGAGGCAGAGTATCACAGGGATCCTTTTATAGATGTGTGTGTAATGGGTGTGAGAGAAATATTCCTCCTCAGTGCAATAAATATTTTCTAATTCACTACACAAACTAGTAGCAGTTTCATGCCTCACTTGAGAAGAAGTGACCAAAATATGAAAGTAGATGGCTTCTACCAGGAGTTTTTGTTTCTTAGCACTTTAAATTTTCTTTCTTTTTTTTTTTTTTTTTTTTTTTGAGATGGAGTCTTGCTCTGTCGCCCAGGCTGGAGTGCAGTGGTGTGATCTCGGCTCACTGCAAGCTCCGCCTCCCAGGTTCAGCCATTCTCCTGCCTCAGCTTCCCGAGTAGCTGGGACTACAGGCGCCCGCCACAACGCCCGGCTAATTTTTTTGTATTTTTAGTAGAGACAGCGTTTCACAGTGTTATCCAGGATGGCCTCAATCTCCTGACCTCCGCCCGCCTCAGCCTCCCAAAGTGCTGGGATTACAGGCATGAGCCACCGCACCCGGCCGGCGTTTTAAATTTTCAAGAGAATTTAATTAAGCAATCCAGCTTAGGGTTTCCTCCCATCTGAGGGAAGTATTCCTCGTCTTTGAAAATTAAGATACTGTGAAGTAGCAGTCAAATCCTCTCCATAATACCATGTTATTTTTGAAGAAATGAAAGGTTACCACCGAATCATAGGACAGAGATGTATGGGTTTGCTTTTCCCTGAGGGACCCGTGTGTAGTCAGGGAAACGCAGACACTGGTGACAACCTTCCATCTAGATGGAAAATAACAAAAACCCACCAGCACTGATTTTCTTTTTTATGCACATTTAACCCCTCAGGAGAAGCACTAATATAAAAAGGATCAGACATGCATTTTTTCTACAGCGTCTCTCAGTCACAGCTCTCTGCCATGTAGTGACCACTTGGCTGCAGCCGGGGCGCAGTCGTGGCCATGCAGACATCCGACCAGGAACAGCTTTTCTAGGCTGATGCCTGCTGTGCTTCCCTCAGCAAGTTTTTTTCCCTTTCATTCTTCAAATATTTTATTACTGTTATTAGTGATAAGCTTTGAGTTTAAAAATATCTGATGGAAAATTTCCTACACATGTAGACAGAAGACACAAAATAAGCTTTTCTGCCAAGAAGCAAATGGTGGCATATTTTCAACAATTTTATGAAGATACTACTGTATGTCAGATGATGTTTCTGTGTGCCACAGATATAGAAGTTTCCAGATTCAACTACATAGTAAATACTTGTATAGTTGTAATTCTAAAAAATAACCATTCAGGTCGGGTGTGGTGGCTCACACCTGTAATCCTAGCGTTTTAGGAGGCCAAGGCAGGTGGATCACCTGAGGTCGGGAGTTCAGGACCAGCCTGGACAACATGGTGATACCCCGTCTCTACTAAAAATACAGAATTAGCCGGGCATGGTGGCAGGTGCCTGTAATCCCAACTACTTGGAAGGCCGAGGCAGGAGAATCACTTGAACCTGGGAGGTGGAGGTTGTAGTGAGCCGGGATTGCACCATTGCCTGGGTGATGACAGAGTGAGTCTCGACCTCAAGAAAAAAAAATTTCAAATTTTAGGATTGTTTTAGACTTATAGAAAAACACTGGGGATAATACAGTGATTTCCCATAAACCCCACCCCCACTTTCCCCTATCGTTAGCATTTTACATTGGTGTGGTGCATTTGCTACAATTGATGAACCAATACGGATACATCATCATTAACTAAGGTCCATACTTTAGTGATATTTCCTTAGCTTTTTACCTCCTGTCCTTTTTCTGTCCCAGGATCTCATCCAGGACACCACATTGCATTTAGTCATCTATGTCTTATTAGGCTCCTCTTGGCTGTGACAATTTCTCAAACTTTCCTTGTTTTGAATGACCTTGACAGTGAAGGGGTGGGTTGCTCCTCCACACCTGTGGGTGTTTCTTTTTAGGTGGAACGAGAGACTTGGAAAAGAAAAAGACACAGAGATAAAGTATAGAGAAAGAAATAAGGTGGCCCAGGGGACCAGTGTTCAGCATATGGAGGATCCTGCCGGCCTCTGAGTTCCCTTAGTATTTATTGATCATTCTTGGGTGTTTCTCGGAGAGGGGGATGTGGCAGGGTCATAGGATAATAGTGGAGAGAAGGTCAGCAGATAAACACGTGAACAAAGGTCTCTGCAACATAGACAAGGTAAAGAATTAAGTGCTGTGCTTTAGATATGCATACACATAAACATCTCAATGTCTTAAAGAGCAGTATTGCTGCCGCATGTCCTACCTCCAGCCCTAAGGCGGTTTTCCCCTATCTCAGTAGATGGAACATACAATGGGGTTTTATACGGAGACATTCCATTGCCCAGGGATGGGCAGGAGAGCAATGCCTTCCTCTTGTCTCAACTGCCAAGAGGCGTTCCTTCCTCTTATACTAATCCTCCTCAGCACAGATCCTTTACGGGTGTCGGGCTGGGGGACGGTCAGGTCTTTCCCTTCCCACGAGGCCATATTTCAGACTATCACATGGGGAGAAACCTTGGACAATACCTGGCTTTCCTAGGCAGAGGTCCCTGCGGCCTTCCGCAGTGTTTGTGTCCCTGGGTACTTGAGATTAGGGAGTGGTGATGACTCTTAACGAGCATGCTGCCTTCAAGCATCTGTGTAACAAAGCACATCTTGCACAGCCCTTAATCCATTTAACCCTGAGTTGACACAGCACATGTTTCAGGGAGCACGGGGTTGGGGGTAAGGTTACAGATTAACAGCATCTCAAGGCCGAAGAATTTCTCTTAGTACAGAACAAAATGGAGTCTCCTATGTCTACTTCTTTCTACACAGACACAGTAACAATCTGATCTCTCTTTCTTTTCCCCACAGACAGGTTTTAGGTATCACTGGTCAGGTGTTTTGTAGAATGTCCCACAATTTAGAACTGACTGGTATTTTTTTCATCATTAGCCTGGGGTTTTTTTGTTCTCGGGAGGAAGGCCATAGAGGTGAAGTGACATTTTCATCACCTGTTTCCAAGGGTACATTCTGTCAACATGATATAGCACTTGATCATCTGGCTCAGGTAGTTTGTCAGTTTCTCCACTCAAAAATTTTCTTTCTTTTTTTTTTTTGCTCTTTCCATAATGTACTTGTTGGAAGGAGTCACTGTATGCAGCCCATTAAGGAGTGGGGAGTTATGCTCCACCTCTTTGAGGGCAGAATATCCAATAAACTATTTGGAATTATTCTGCAAGAAGGTTTGTCTATTCTCTCCAATTTATCTAATTATTTGTTGATATCAGTAGAGACTCCTGGATATTTTTTTCTTCTTTGGGTTATAATCCAAAGCTACTTTATTTTCCTGCTCAAATTGTTCCAGCTTTGGCCATTGGGAACTCTTTGAGTTAGCTGCTGTGTCTCTTTGACATGCCCCATCATTGTCTCGTGTGTGTGTGTGTGTGTGTGTGTGTGTGTGCGCGCGCGCACGCGCATGTGTGTGTGTGTACGTTGTGTGTTGTGTTTGTTTTATATTTTACTCCAGACTTATATATTTCCTGCTCCAATCTGAGAATCAGCCATTTCTCCAAGGAGCCCTGGTTCCATTTATTGGAGAATGGCATTAGAAAACAAGATCTGGCTAACTTGTCTTCCTATTTAAAATTAATAAATCAATTTTTTAAAGATGTCTTCAAACCTCTGAAATGATAGAATTTTTCATTTAGCACTAGTGTCTTCTCTTCGATTAGTTATAACGCCTTGCATTTATATGATGCATCCTTGTGAATTGACCAGTTTTTACTATTAAAAAAGGATTCATTACAACACATCATCTGAGATTTTTAAACTGTGGCTTTTATTTTGCTATTTCTGGTATTCTGAAATATGCATAGCATAGTGGCCCTGTATGTACTGGGGGGTTAGGCAGCAGGATCAGGTGAGCCTCAGAACCCACTTTCCTTGATATTGGGGCTAGCGATTTGCAGTAAAAATCTAAATGATCCTGCTTTATTACCTAATGTCTCACCATTCAGGATCTGAATAAATGAAAGCAGCTGCCTTTTGGGCCCATGGCTACCTTGCTCTTGGTGCCTTGGGTTTAATCCCAGGTTTGTTTCTCCATAGCTAGCACACCTTTTAAATTAACTTTGCACTAATGCCCAAAAGCCATGAACCAAGAAATAAAATAATACAAAGACAACCATAGAATTGTAGTGAACAGCAGCCTGTTTCTCTGCTGCTGGTCTCATGAGTCTCCTTCCATTCCAGGCCTGACGGAGATGGCGGTCTTCAGTTGTGAGGCCCACAATGACAAAGGGCTGACCGTGTCCAAGGGAGTGCAGATCAACATCAAAGGTAAGCAGCAAGGCTAGGCTCCCCATGCATGTTCTGGGAGCTGGTGAGGGTACAGCATGAGCTTGCAGCTGGCTGCCTGGGTGTGGATCCTGGCTTTCTCACTGTCTCAAGGTTCTTTGTGACCTTGGACAACTCACTTCTCCTCTTTGGTGTCAGGGTTCCCCTCTGAAAAGTGGAGATAATTACAGAACCTACCTATTGTTGAGGCTTATTGATTTAATACAAGTAAATTACTCAGAAGTGCCTGGCATATAGGTCTTTGATAAACATTCACTCGTTTAGCTCTGCTTACTCCAAGAAGAAAACAAGCTAAAATGTTTTCTCTTTCTTAGTTCCTATTTTCACTTTTCCCTCTTCCACCGTGAACTACTCATTAACCCTTGAAGAGCCCTGGGGATGGGGCTTTCTTGGGGCATGATCTAGGAAATGGACCCTGTCCTTCCCAGGTCAGCGGGGCCTGCTGACTGACTCCCTGCCACCTACTGACTCAGGGAGACAGAGGAAAAGCAAGAAGCAGATCACTCTTTGGAGCCCAATGCTCCTATCCCTCTTCCTCCTAAACTCCCTCTTCCTCTTGTTTCCTCTGAGCTAGGATTTCACTAGGCTGAGCTTGCTTGGCCGTGAGTTATGATAATAGAATTAAAGGCACACATTTGAAGGCCTCCAAGCTAGTGGAGACATTTCAATCCAATCTACCTTATTCTCCTTCTGTGTGATCAAAGGTGTTAAACTTGAAATTTGAAAGAAAAGAAAAACCTACAATTAGGTAGTATCTTTTTATTTCATTTTAAATCATCCTCCTTAGTGTGTCATAGAAATTCAAGCAAATTTTATGTTTTACTATTTAATCATAGTTTAAATATTGAGAAGTAATTATTTGGCTCATGTTCTTTTCCTCTTGTCCTTAGGGAAACAGTGCAAGGAAAAAGGAGAACTTGTTTAATAATGAATTAAAGGTTGGGTACATACAGAAGGAGACTCAAAATTACAAAAGAAGTTATACTCAAAAAAGATGCTAATTTTAGTTTCAGCAAATCAACTGGACAAACGCTATGAAAGGGAATATTCTAAAAGTTCACTGGGATAAAAAAATAACCAAACTAAAAGTTATTACTGGAGGAAGTGTATAACTTCCTTCCTTCATCACAATTCCCATTATTACAATTTCCAAAAGACATGTTGGGAATGTCAAAAATTCATGAGTGTGTGTGAGTTTGTAAAGACATTTTCATGAAGTATAAACCTCTTAAAATTTAAAAATGTATAAAATGAAAAGCACTTCTCCAATTTTATGCTTCAGAATCTCAGCTAAGGTTTTATTCTATTAGATCATTCCCCAAACTTCTGTTTTTGGCTTTCATTTATTATAAAATTTATGTCAAAGCTACCAAGCCTCCCTTCTTCTAATGTGTAATTACTATGGTATATGTGGTCAAATTTTGGTCTGGAAAGGCAGATGCTTTAGGGCAGTTCCACAAATAATCTGTGGAGGAAAGTGAGTCAAACCTTATTCTTCCCCATTCCCAAGGCTTTGTGTGTACTAATCAAACCCAAACTCCTAAATGTGGCCCCCAGGGCACGCTTGATATGGTCTTGACACACCTTCCTCCTTCTCTCCTGCTCATTCCATCATCACCTTCATCCTCACCACACCCTCCCTGGGCCTCATCCACAGTTCCCCACATTTATTCCTCACCACAGCTCCATGGAGCAGTGCTGGTACTATCCCCATTTATAGAGGAGACAACTGTGTGTAGTTGTAGATAGGGCGTGTGTAGCTGTGCCTGGGGCCATACAGCAGGTCAGGTGGTAAACCAGACTCACAGTCCCTGCTGGTGTTCCCACTGTCTGCTTGCTGCCCTTGGCAATAGGCCTCCAGTGTCCTGTTGAGGGACACAAGCTCCAGGGTCAGGCAGACCAGAGTTCAAGTCCCTGTTGTACTGCTTACAACCTCTCTGTGACTTTTGCCAAGCTTTTAACTTCTCTGATCCTGTTTCCTTATCTATGAATGTGGATTGTAAGACTACTTCTCTAATTGGATTCTAGGAATGATTAAAGAAAGCCCTCAAAGTGTCTGGCACATAGCAAGCACAGGAAGTGTTAGCCTTCATTTTTAATTATGAGTGTAATTATTATTATGAATTAAATTCAGCACAAAGAAATAAGATTCCCCAAATTTAAGATCCTTCTTGGATTCTAATTGAAATAGCTACCCTTCACCCATCTGTTTCCAAGGTCATAGCCCACCCATTCGAGGACACACACCCCTTCCCCTCCCCCAGCAGATGCAGCTGGCTCTTTTGCTTGAACTGACTCTTAGTGTTTCCTCGGCCTGGAAAGCTCCCCCTACACATGCACACATACACATGCACACTCATGCGTGCACACACTCTCCTGTGGCACCCCTCTCTTCTGGTGACAGGGCGCTCTTATTCTTGGTTAACGTGGGTCTCCTATACCAGGCCATGTGCTCCACGAGGGCAGGGCTATGACTCTGTCTCTGTTTAGTAAGCTAGTGCCCAGCCAGGTGCACACAGTAGGGTCCATGAACATGTACTCAGTAAAGGACATGAGTATTTCCACATCTTTTCCAGTTCAAAGGTCTCCTCATTTCATTAGTGAATAGGAAAGTGGGTCTGCGTTCACTTCTTTGGCCCTTCACTGGAAGACTTCTTTGGCCCATCCATAGGCTAACACAATTACCCTCAGGCATAGGGAGGCTCCTCTTGAAAACATGTTTCCCTTTACTAATCTCAAGGAACGAAAACAGGTATTAATGCATTTGTTTGGTAGCTGTAGCCTGTCATCTATAATTGTGTTTGTGTGTGTATGTGTGTGTGTGTGTTTTGTTTTATGCAGCAATTCCCTCCCCACCAACTGAAGTCAGCATCCGTAACAGCACTGCACACAGCATTCTGATCTCCTGGGTTCCTGGTTTTGATGGATACTCCCCGTTCAGGAATTGCAGCATTCAGGTAAAGTTCCAGGGTGAAGAGGGAAGTAGCTGTTTGGTGCTCTCTGTGGGTTTAAGGATTTTTCTTCCTTCCAAGGATGGGCATGGAGGGCATTTCTCCATCTCTGTACAGAGTCCCCTGACCTCCCTGCTTCAGTGTCCAGCATGCATGCACTATTCCATGTCCATGCTCTGCCCATGATACTGTGTCCTTCCTGTGCAGGATTCAGGGCTCAGTCAGAAGCAAAACGTGTTTCCAAGGGAGAACATCATGAGACCAGGGAGAGTTCTTCTTCTTTTTTTTTTTGAGACAAAGTTTTACTCTTGTTGCCCAGGCTGGATGCCCAGGCTGGAGTACAATGGTGTGATCCCGGCTCACCGCAAACTCCACCTGGTTCAAGCAATTCTCCTGCCTCAGCCCCCTGAGTAGCTGAGATTACAGGCGTGCATCACCATGCCCGGCTAAGTTTGCATTTTTAGTAGAGATGGGGTTTCTCCATGTTGGTCAGGCTGGTCTCAAACTCCCAACCTCAAGTGATCCGCCCGCCTCGGCCTCCCAAAGTACTGGGATTACAGGCGTGAGCCACCACGCCCAGCCAAGACCAGGGAGAGTTCATTTTTAAGGTCCCGAAACACATGCTTGTGACCAAGAGTTGAGGAACCCAGGCACTCCCCAGTGTGGCTCCTTCTGGGCTGGTGGCCATGAAGGACAGAAGGGCCAGGACAAGATAGGTCGTCTGTGCTACTGAGCGTAGCACCTTACCCAGTGTCACCGGGGGATCCTGGTCATTGCAGGCCTTGTGGAATCTTCAGCCATTTTTCACTGCTGCCTTGAATGGGTATGAAACGGTGCTATTAGCCATCCTAAAATGATAACTTGCCCATGATGTAAGCTGTGCTCTTGAGTTTTCACTTCATAAAAATGAAAATGGTGGCAGTAACAACTGTTTACTAAGGGACCACAGGGGCTTTGCAAACATTATCTTACTTAACACACGCTGCACTGCAGGCTCAGAGTACTCACACAGCCTGTGAGTGGTAGAACCAGAACTCAAGTCCAGGAAGCTCCAGTGCCTAAAGCAGCGGTCAGAACCATCAGCTCTTCCGTCTCAGGAGGGACATCGCATCTGGGAGCAGGTTACCGAACATGCAGGAATTATCCACTAAAAGTATTAATGCATCCTGCCTGGTACTTAATCATACAGTAGGGTCAGGAATTAGTTTACTAAATATCTGGTCTCATTAGTTAAAAATATGTTAACCTGACACAGGCCAGTCATGCCAACACAGCTCAAAGAATTTTGTGTTGACAACTAGATGTTTTTACTCGCTAGTCAAATTAATTTCTCTGTTCTTAACGCCTCCCACTTTTATCTAACAGGTGTTCCTTCCCTGAAGAGTAAAAGCCTGTATTATCCGTAAAATAGCCTCCGCCCTCACCCACCACCTCCAGCCTTTCTTTTTTTTTTTTTTTTTTTTGAGACAGAGTCTCGCTCTGTTGCCCAGGCTGGAGTGCAGTGGCGCGATCTCAGCTCACTGCAAGCTCCACCTCCCGGGTTCACGCCATTCTCCTGCCTCAGCCTCCTGAGTAGCTGGGACTACAGGCCCCCGCCACCGCGCCCAGCTAATTTTTTGTATTTTTAGTAGAGACGGGGTTTCACCGTGTTAGCCAGGATGGTCTCCATCTCCTGACCTCATGATCCGCCTGTCCCGGCCTCCCAAAGTGCTGGGATTACAGGCGTGAGCCACCGCGCCCTGCCCAGCCTTTCTTAATTCTTGCTCAGTTTTGTTTTTTGTTTTTTTTCCTGTAAGCCTCCCAAGCACTGGTAAGTGTTAGGAATTCTTACTGCATCTACAATTCCTCACCAGGAATGGTCTTTTTTGTGATTGATTTTTTTTAACACCTTTTTTTGAGATATAGTTTACTTTTTTTTTTTTTAATTTGAGACGTAGTCTCGCTCTGTTACCTAGGCTGGAGTGCAGTGGTGTGATCTCGGCTCACTGCAACCTCTGCCTCCTGGGTGCAAGCAATTCTCCTGCCTCACCCACCCGAGTAGCTGGGACTACAGGCGGGTGCCACCACGCCCACCTAATTTTTGTATATTTACTAGACATGGGGTTTCACCATGTTGACCAGGCTGTTCTCAAACTCCTGACCTCAAGTGATCCACCAGCCTCAGCCTCCCAAAGTGCTGGGATTACTGGTGTGAGCCACCACGCCCAGCTGAGATATATTTTATATACCATTATATTCACCCATTATTTAAAATGTACAGTTCAACGGTGTTTAGTATATTCAAGAATTGTGCAGCCATTACCACTATCTAATTGTGTCTATATTCATAAGAGATATTTGTCTGTAGTTTTCTTGTGGTAGCTTTTTCTGGTTTTGGCATCAGTGTAATATTGACCTTCTAGAATAAGTATGAAAGTCCTCCTCCTCCTTCTCCTCCTCCTCCCTCCTCCTCCTTCCACCTCCCTCCTCCTCCCTTGTCCTTCCTCCCCCTACTCCTCCCTCCTCCCTTCTCCTCCTCCTCCTCCCTCCTCCTCCTCCTCCCTCCTCCTCCTCCCCCCTCCTCCTCCTCCTCCCTCCTCCTCCCTCCTCCTTCTCCTCCTTCTCCTCCTCCTTCTCCTCCTTCTTCTCCTTCTTCTTGTTCTTTTCTTGGAAGAATTTGTGAAAGATTGATGTTAAATCTTCTTTAAATATTTAATAAAATTTGTTCTCTTTGTGGAAAGTTTTTTCAATATTAGCTCAATCTTTTTACTTGGTATGAGTCTATTCAGATTTTCTATTACTTCTTGAGTCAGCTTTGGTAGTTTCTATGTTATAGGAACTTGAACATTTCGTCTCAGTTATCTAATTTATTGGTATACAACATAGTACATAGTATTCCATTATAACCTTTTTTATTCTTTGAGGTTAGTAATAAGATCCCCTGTTTCATTCCAGGTTTTAGTAATTTGTCTTCTCTCTTATTTTTCTTAGTCAGTCCAGCTAAAAATCTGTCAATCTTATTTATCTTTTTGAATAACCAACCTTTGATTTTGTGAATTTTTTTCTATTGTTTTTGTATTCTATATTTTCTTTATTTCTGCCTTAATTTTTGTTTCTTTTTTTTCTGTTTGCTTTGGTTTAGTTTGCTCTTTTTCTAGTTTTGTAAGGTAGAGGTTAGGTTATTGATTGTGTTCTTTTATATATAAAAAAAAATAGGCATTTACACTCTACATTTCCCTGTAAGCACTGCTTTAGCTGCATCCCATAAGGTTTTCGTTGTTGTTGTTGTTGTTCATCTCAAGTTTTCTGTCATTTTCCTTGTGAATTTTTTTTGTCCTCTTGATTATTTAGAAGTGTGTATTTAAATTGTCACATAATTATGAATTTCCCAAATTTTCTTCCTTTACTGATTTCTAATGTTATTTTACTGTGTTTGGAGAATATACTTCACATGACTGTGATCCTTTTAAATTTATTAAGGCTTGTTTTATGACCTAAGTCCTATCCTGGAGAAAGTTTTGTGTGCACCTGAGAAGAATGTACATTCAGCTGTTGTTGGATGAAGTGTTTTGTGCATGTGGTTTAGGTCTTGTTGGTTTAGAGTCTTCAGTCTTCTGTTGCCTTGCTGATACTCTGTCTCATGGTTCCATCTGTTATTGAAAATGGGGAATTGAGATCTCAGCTCTTATTTTTGAATTGTCTGTTTCTCCCTTCCGTTCTATCAGTTTTTGCTTCATGTTCTTTTGGGGCTCTGTTGTTAGAAATATCCAGGGCCTCTTTCCCTAGAGGTAGACATTTATTTATTTGTTTGTTTGTTTGTTTGAGACAGAGTTTCGCGCTTATTGCCCAGGCTGGAATGCAATGGCACAGTCTCAACTCACTGCCACCTCTGCCTCCCGGGTTCAGGCAATTCTCCTGCCTCAGCCTCCTGAGTAGCTGGGACTACAGGCACCTGCCACTGCGCCTGGCTCATTTTTGTGTTTTTAGTAGAGATGTAGTTTCACCATGTCACCCAGGCTGAGGTAGACATTTATATACATGGACATAACTGAAGCATGGGCCAGCCCTTTTTAAAACTGTTACCAAAGTGCTGAGTTGTTTGAAGAGCCTGAGAGGACATGAAACATGAGGATGGTGAGCTTCAGGGAGACTCTCAGGAAGAGTACCACCCCACCTTGAGACGGCAGGTCTCAGTGACGTGAGGTGGGTAGGATGGTTGAAAAGTCTGAAAACACCAGGTCACCCCTGATGATGGAAGATGATCACACACAAGATTTACCTGCTCTCTTTCTGCCATGGTTTTGGGTGTTCATGGTACACATGAAGAAGCATCCTGAGACAGCCAAAGTCCAGTGTTTTCTTGCCCACCTTGGATTCTGTGGTGCTGGATATGATGATTCTGTTCTTGTCCCCCTTGGCTAGCTCAGCCTCCATTCATCCTTTCTCCTTTCCATCTCTGGTAGGCTTTCCAGATTTGGCAAATAAGAATACAGGACACCCAGTTAAACTGCATGAATAATGTCGTGACATACCTATACTGAAAAGTTACTTGTTGTTTCTTTGAAATTCAAGTTTAACTAGGTGTCCTTTATATTCTCTTGCAGTCCCACTGGGGTTAATCAGCACAAGCTCTAAAAGTTATCTTTTCTATTCTGTCATTAACAGTGTATTCCCAGTTTTTGAAGGGACCAAGTATGGCTTTGTAAAATTATAATTTTAAACTCTGACTCGGGACCAAATGAATGTTTTGGATGAGATTCAGATCCATGCACTAGCAGGACACACCCTCTCACTTCCTTTGGTCCTGATCTTAGCTCTTTTCTTCACCCATTTTTGGGCCACACACTCCATTTCTAATTTTAGCTCTCCCATGTACTTCTTGCCACTTCATGCCTGTTTTCCCTGAGGACCCACTGACTGAGAAGGACTGTTATAGAAACTCTGTTTTCCTCTAGGAACGTGCTCTCAGACAGTGTCCCTGAGCCTGGAAGTGCTCCCCACATGTCTCTGGAAGTGGGGCGGGGAGGAGAGCCAAAGGTTTCCTCCACCTTCGCTTTGGTGGTTGGTCACCAGGAAGTAGGTGCACACTCTAAAGTGAAACAAACAAAAAGTGATGTCTGCCAACAGCCACCACCAAGACAAGCGTCTGGGTTCTCGTTTCTCCTCTGGTGGCTCCTCAGGCCAAATGATACCTTCTTGTCACCCACGGGGTCTGAGTCAGAGGTGAAACTCAACCCCCACACCGTACTCCTGGTATCTGCCAGGGGATTTGGAATTCCAGAATGTTTATTTCTGGTTCATTGACCTAAGATTCAAGCACACATAGCCTGAAATTACAGTACTGTATATCCAGAGCCCAGAACTGCAAGCCCATTATTAACAGTAATACATTTTGTGGCCTGAGGATTTTTCCCAAATTGCTCTCAGTTGCATGTTTTACCCGATATCATTTTGTCTGTTCTGATTTTATAAGTGCCACATATTACAGAAATTTTGAAAAAGCATGTAATGGAGAACAAAATCCCATACTCTCCCTTATCCCCATACCCAGACAGGAGGTATGCGAGGAAAGAGATGGAAGTTTCGCCCAGGACTAGACTTGTGCTGGGAATCGCCCTCTCTTGCCTATGTATACAGAGATTTGGAGGGGGATGTGGAGAGACTGGTGGAGTTATGGAGGGAAAGATAAGGCAGTATGTTTAAAGGAGATTTGGAGAAAAGTTTTCTGAAGGAGGGGCAAATGACCCTTTGCTATATCTCCTCATCAAAAAAAAAAAAAAAAAAAAGCCAAGAATCTACATTTCCTGTGTGTGCCTCTGGAATTCAATTTCTGTTGGGGTCGAAGGGGTTAAGAATAAAGGACACACTAAAATTAGCCTCAGGATGAGTGCATTGGCTCACGCCTGTAATCCTAGCACTTTGGGAGGCCAAGGCAGGCAGAACCCTTAAGATCAGGAGTTCAAGACCAGCCTGGCCAACATGGTGAAACCCCACCTCTACTAAAAAAAAAAAAAAAAAAAAAAAAAAGTTAGCCAGGCGTGGTGGCAGGCACCTGTGATCCCAGCTACTCTGAAGGCTGAGGTGGGAGAATCACTTGAACCTGGGAGACGGAGGTCAAACCATTGCACTCCAGCCTGGGCAACAGAGTCAGACTCCATCTCAAAAAAAGTAGTAATAATAATAACAATAAAATAAAATAAAGTTAGCCTCAAGGCAAGAGCAGTGTTCCTTAGGTTACATAATAAAAAGAAAGATTAAGAAACGCTGGGTGTGGTGGCTCACGCCTGTAATCCCAGCGCTTTGGAAGTCCAAGGCAGGTGGATCACCTGAGGTCAGGAGTTCGAGGCCAGCATGGCCGACATAGTGAAACCCCATCTCTACTAAAAATACAAAATTAGCTGTGCGTGGTGGCACATGCCTGTAATCCCAGCTACTCAGGAGACTGAGGCAGGAGAATTGCTTGAATCCGGGAGGCGGAGGTTGCAGTGAGTTGAGATAACACCACTGCACTCCAGCCTGGGCAAAGAGAGCGAAGGTCCATCTCAAAAAAAAAAAAAAAAAAAAAAAGAAAGAAAAGAAAAGAAAAGAAAAAGAAAGCAAGAAACCCATCCTCTAAAAGCAGAATTTGGGAAATATTTCCTTTAAAAGGCAAAATAGTAAATATTTCAGGGTTTGCCAGCACATATTATATCTGTTTCCTCTGTTGCATACTCCATGAAGCAGCTGAAAGAGGTCAAGAATCGAAGAGGTTCTAAGAGAGGAGAGGCTTTATTTTATAGTATAATATGAATTCTAATCATCATAATTATTTGCTCCGTTACCTGCCACAGTGAGAATTGTTAATTGTTATTTTAGGCGTTTTCCTCAGGTGTTCAGTTATTGTCCGAGGGCATGAGTAACACACAGTGATGCTAGCGGTAAAATGTGTGTGTGCCCAGAAAGGAAGCAGGTCCTTCCCCTTAGCGTAGAGGAAGGGCCACGTGCACCGAATGCACACAGGCCCCGTGCCTGACATTCCCACCACCTTACTAATGCCCGGTCCTCATGTTTACTCTTCGTTTAGGTCAAGGAAGCTGATCCGCTGAGTAATGGCTCAGTCATGATTTTTAACACCTCTGCCTTACCACATCTGTACCAAATCAAGCAGCTGCAAGCCCTGGCTAATTACAGCATTGGTGTTTCCTGCATGAATGAAATAGGCTGGTCTGCAGTGAGCCCTTGGATTCTAGCCAGCACGACTGAAGGAGGTAATTCCTGGGGTTCAGAATGTATATTGCCCCCAATGACATGTGATTCAACAAACCCTTCCCAGTGGCCTGACTGAGAGTTGAAACTTTGCTTTGTTTGGACTTTGTCTCTGGAGGAGAAAATTATTGAGGCGACTGATGAAAATGGGAAAGATATTTCCTCCATACTGTAAAAGCATTCAGTGACAAAACTTAGCCGTGTTATGTATAGGTAATCTTTTCTTTTACATAGGAGATAATAGCAGCACACTTTAAAACATGCTCTCTCACAACACAACAATCAATACATGTTACCAACACAGTGGTCAATACAGAAGCCTTCGGCCACTCCAATATATGTGGGGATTTCTCTCCACCAGCAAGCAGTCGGCTCTGCAGCGGAGACCAGCTGAGTGTCCTCCATTCAAGTCTGACACTACATGGAGATAGCTTCAGATCCCATAGGTTGAGGACTCAATCCCCAGGCCTCCCCTCCCTCCCAACCCCGTCCCCAGCCTTTAGATGCCAATCACAAGTCTGGGCCTCTGGAACTTCTGACTAAGTGTTTCCCATGACCTCAGCTTTGTGTCCAATTAATTTGCTAGAACGGTTCACAGACCTCAGGGAAATACTTATATTTACCAGTTTATCATAAAGGATATTACAAAGGATACAAATGAAGAGATGCGGAGGATGAGATATAGAAGGAAAGGGTGTGGAGCTTCCATGCCCTCCCTGGGCGCACCACCCTCCAGGAACCTGCACATGTTCAGCTATCTGGAAGCTCTCTGAACCCTGTTCTCTTGTTTTTTTGTGGAAGCTTCATGATGTCAGCATTCCTTCCTCCAGGTTATGGGTCAGGACCCCCTTTGTAATAAGGGTCTTATGACCCACAGTCAGAAAGATGGGGAAGATTAGAGTCCTGCATTGAGGCAGGTGAAAGGAGGGCGGGAAGAGGTCAGAGAGATTGTTTTCTGAGGCCTGCCCCTGAGGCGTAAAGCACCCAACATCATAGCAAAAGATTGTAACCAGGGCTATGGGAGTTGTAAGCCAGAAATCATGACAAAAACCTGTGTGTGTGTGTGTGTGTGTGTGTGTGTGTGTGTGTGTGTGTGTGTGTAGGTTATTATATATATGTACATATACACACATATATACACATAAAATAACCCACAAGTCCATTAAAATGTAATCGAATCATTCAAATGGATAGGTTTAATTGCATCGTATTTTCTATTTGTTCTATCTGTAATTTGTTCTCCTTTTCTTCTTTTTCTTCATTTAAAAATATTATTTTTATATTTTTAATATTAATATTTTTATGATTCTATGTTTAATATTTTTATGATTCTTATTTTTTATTCTTTGTTTGGCTTATTAGCCATAGCTCTTTTTCTGTTCTTTTAGTGGTTGCTTTAGGATTCACAGTGTACATATTTAACTTATCACAGTGTACCTTCAAGTGATTTATACCATTTCACATATATTCCATTTTCTCCTTCAGATATTTTTGGCTACTGTTGTCAAATATTTTACTTTAATGTATCTTAAAATACCATTGCTACACTGTTGTTATTTTTGTTCAGTCAGTAATCTTTTACAAAGAGATTTATATAACCAGGAAAAACACATGTTTATGCATTATAGTTACCATTTCTAGTGGTCTTCATTTTTTGGTCTTTATATTTTATCTGACATCATTCTCCTTCTTCCTGAAGAACTTTTTTAAAAATCATTTCTTCTAGTGTGGATCTGCTGGTATGGTATTCAGCTCCTGTAGTCTGGGGAAAAATATTTATTTTACTTTTGAAGTGTTCTTATTTTTATTTTTAGCCTTCATTTTTGAAAGGTATTTTTATGAGGTATAGAACTGTAGGTTCACAATTTTAGCTTTTGTTTGTTTGTTTTTACTTTCAGTACATTAAAAGAAGTTGCTCCCCTATCTTCTCGCTTGCATTGTTTCCCACATGAAATCTGTGATCATCCTAACTTTGTTCCTCTGTATGTAATGTGTCTTTTGTTCCTATTTTTACCCTTATCACTGATTTTGAGCAATTGAATTGTGACAGGCTTTGGTGTAATTTTATTTATATGCCTTGTGTTTGGAGTTTATTGAACTTCTGGGGTCTCTGTATTTGTTGTTTACATCAAATTTGGAAAAAGTTTGGCCATTATTTCTTCACATTTTTTTTCTGTTTCCACCTATCCTCTTTTTTAAGGACTCCAGTTACATATATATTAGACCATTTGAAGTTGTCCCATAACTCACTGATGATCTGTTATTATTTTCCCCTTCTTTTATCTCTACATTTTATTTTGGATAGTTTCTGTTGCTATGTCTTCAATTTCACTCATCTTTTTTGGTGTAGTATCTCATCTGACATTAGTCCTATCCAGTTTATATTTCATCTCATACACCGTAATTTTTATCTCTTTTTTGCATTTTTATGTCTCTAAGTTTTGGACCATCCAGAATGCAGTTATAATTACTTTCCTTTTTTCTTTCTTTCTTATTTTCCTTTTTCTGTCACACAGGCTGGAGTGCAGCGCCAATCATAGCTCACTGCAGTCTTGAACTCCTGGCTTAAGCAATTCTCCCACCTTCACCTTCGCCTTCTGTGTAGCTGGTACTACAGGTGCATGCCACCACACCCAGCTAATTTTTGGTTTTTTTTTTTATGTTTTGTTTTTTGGTTGTTTTTTGTTTTTTTTTTTGAGATGGAGTTTCACTCTCGTTGCCCAGGCTGGAGTGCAATGGTGTAATCTCAGCTCACCGCAACATCTGCCTCCTGAGTTCAAGCAATTCTCCTGCCTCAGCCTCCTGAGTAGCTGGGATTACAGGCATGCACCATCACGCCCAGCTAATTTTGTATTTTTAGTAGAGATGGGGTTTCTCCATGTTAGGCTGGTCTTGAACTCCTGACTTAAGGTGATCTGCCTGCCTTGGCCTCCCAAAGTGCTGGGATAACAGGCATGAGCCACCACACCCAGCATGTTTTTTGTTTGTTTGTTTGTTTGTTTGTTTATAGAAACAGGGTCTCACTATTTTGCCCAGGCTGCTCTCAAACTCCTGACCTCAAATGATCTTCCCACCTCAGCCTCCCAAAATGTTTATAGGCATGAGCCTATAATAGGGGATTATAGGCATGAGCCACCGTGCCCAGCCTTTTCATAACTGTTTCAATGTCTTTGTTTGCTATCCTAACATCTATGTTATCTGTGGGTGGTTTCAACTGATTCATTTATGTTTCCACTCTAGGTAGTATTTTTCAGGTTCTTTGCACGCCTGATAATGTTTGATTGGATTACAGACATTGAGAATTTTACAGTGTTGGATGCTAGATATTCTTCTATTTCTGTAAATAGTGAGCTTTGTTTTGAGACACAGTTAAGCTAGTGGGAAACCGTTTAATCCTGTAGGGTCTTGCTTTTAAGATTTATTAGGCAGAACCTGATAAGGGCTCAGTCTCAGGTCGGTTATTACCCACTGCTGACACAAGACCATTCTGTGTGCCCTACTCAGTGCTTCTTGAATCATTAGATTTTCCAGTCTGATTGATGGGAACAGGCACTATTCTTCCCCCGTGTGAAGCCTGGATACCATTACCTTTAACTGTTTCGTGTGGTTCTTTTTCTATTTTCCTTTAGAGGCATCCTAAGGATTCTGGTGCCTTCTCCTGGGTATTTGCCTTTCTTAGTTTATGCCCTCGTTTTTATGGAGCCCATTCTCAATTAGCTTCCACAAAATGTATACATAAAAAGTAAAGATTGTGGGAACTTGCATATCCTTATGTAATACTGGCTTAGTAATTTTTCCAAATATAGAAATTTAGGTTGAAATTATTTTCCCTCAGAAGTTTAAAGGCGTTTTTGTATCATTTTTTAGCTTCATGGGTTGCTGTGGAAAATTCTGATACTTAAGTTTTCTATGTGAACTGTTTTTCAGTTTTAGTTTTTAAAATATCTTTTCTCTTTAATCCTGGTTCTGTGATAAGCTGTGATGTGCAATTTGTTTTGGTCATCAAGGGCATTCAGTGGCCCCTTTGATCTGGAAATGCAAGTCTTTTGGTCCTTAAACTTTTTTTTTTCCTTTGGAAATGTTCCACTCTCTGTTTTTTCCAGGAATTGTGTTAGACGATTGTTAATTAGACCTCTTCGATTGCTTCCTCAATTTTCTTTTTTCAAATTGGCCTATTTTCTTTGCCTTTTTATTCTACCTTCTTGGAGATTTACTTGATTTATCTTCCAATTCTTCTATTAAATGTTTTATTTTACTTATCATGTTGCTAATTTCAAGTTTTTTTCATTGAAAATTTTTTTCTGGTTCTCAATCATAAGAGTCTTTTCTGGATATCTCAATTATTTTTTGTTTGTTTGTCTTTAGTCTCCCTAGTTCCCTACACTAGCTTTGTCTCCTCTAAGCCCTCTGTTCTGTGTGGTTTTTTTTGGTCCCTGATATTCAGTGGGGAGGCTTCGCCAGACCTCTGCTAATTTCTGCTGTCTGCTCCTATGGAAGAGTGAAGAATCATTGATTTGATTGGAACTCTGTGGGTATGGGCAGAGCTTGTAGGCTTCACTATAGGTGATTGGACAGTGACCTAAGTGTTTTGATCTAGATACGATACCCCCCAACTGTCAAAATTGGTTTCTTTCCTCTGTAGCCGCTCACTTCCTCTAGAAAAGAAGTGTCCTGCTCCAGGAATTAAACGTGGCTGCTGATATTCTAGTAGCCAAGTGGGGGAGGAGGGGAAGGTAGAGTCCTTGTTATTTAGTATATAAACTTTCACTTATTTTCCCAGTTTTCAGCCTGGCTCCTTATCATGCCTCCATTCTACAGGTGCCCTAAGTTTAGTGGCTTTCTGCTTCAGAGAATAAATCACCCTGTGTCCTATGGATATTTGAGGGCATACTTGCCAGGTGTGTAGGCATGGAGAAGACAGACTTTGAGACGCAACTATTTCTTTTTTTTTTTTTTTTTTTTTTTTGAGACGGAGTCTCGCTCTTTCGCCCAGGCCGGACTGCAGTGGCACAATCTCGGCTCACTGCAAGCTCTGCCTCCCGGGTTCATGCCATTCTCCTGCCTCAGCCTCCTGAGTAGCTGGGACTACAGGCGCCCGCCACCACGCCCGGCTAATTTTTTGTATTTTTAGTAGAGACGGGGTTTCACCGTGTTGGCCAGGATGGTCTCGATCTCCTGACCTCGTGACCCACCCGCCTCGGCCTCCCAAAATGCTGGGATTACAGGCGTGACCCACTGCGCCCGGCAGAGACACAACTATTTGTTAATCAGACTTCCAATCATTCTTTCCAGTTTTAGTCCCCATTTTACTACCTGGGCCCACAGCTTCTGAGCTGCTCTGTGATTCTTTGGGAGAATATTGGCTTGCTGAGTTAATTATACCTTCTTCATCTCTTTTTCAGCTTTCAAATATGTGTTGAAATCTCTCTTCTACTGTTGACTCCTCTTTGCCTTGTGAGTTTATATCTTTTTAAATTCTTTATTGCCATCATAGAGGGGTTTTGGGAGGAGGCAGACATACAGACATGTTGTGTTGGCCATATTTATCCACAAATTCTACAACAGGTTTGAAAGTGTGCGACTGATTTCATAGGCAGCTTTAGTTGTGTGATGTTTTCTAAGCTGAAATTCATTTTAACTTCATGATTACTGTTTCTGGAATCAGCAGAGAAAAAGAGGGTTATAGTATCCTTTCACACATATCTGAAATATAGAATTTAACCTCCCCTCATTCAACTACAGGCAACAGTTTGGTGTATATTATTCTAATTGTTATTATTCTTTCTAGATATAGAAGGTTTATTGTTTTAATTTCTAAAATGGATCTATATACTTTTTACAATCTGATTTTTCCCCCATTGGATTTTTTTATATCAATACACATGACCTAATTCTTTCCAGTGACGAGGTAGTAAGTATTCCATTGGAAAATGTATCAAAATTTGTATTATTATTATTATTTGAGACAGAGTCTCACTCTGTTGCCCAGGCTGAAGTGCAGTGGCATGATCTTGACTCACTGCAACCTCCATCTCCCAGATTATATCATAATTATTGACCAAGCATTGCATTTATTTCTATTTGTCACTATTATGCTGCAATGAATATAACATCACCTACAGATTAAATTCCTGGAAATAAAATATTTGGTCAGAGAGCATATTATTTTCAATTTTAATAGATATAGTTAAGTTATTCTCTCCCAAAAAAGACTGTAGTAATGATCTTGACTTGTTTCCCAAATTATTTTATACACGTACACTCGTGTACACACACACACACACACACACACACACTTTTTAAATGTGTTGACAGATTAGCTCTGTTCAGACTGTCAGTAACTTGCCTCTGGACTTTAAAATGGTGGCTGCATTCTGAGCTCAGCAGTGTTTCCTACCTTGTGCATCTCAAATGCCACCAAGCTGATCTCTAGCTGGCCATGTTAACTTTCTGCCCCACAGGTTTATGCTGGAGAACATTGTTCAAGTTGTGTCTGCTTCACTTCCCCAGGAGTCCAGAGCACCACCCACCCTACCTTCCCTGCCTTCTTCTTCTTTGCTATTTTACTTTAGGTGCTCATGAAATTTCCTTTTTTTTTTTTTCTTTTGAGATAGGGTCTTGCCCTGTCACCCAGGCTAGAGTGCAGTGGTGCAATTACGGCTCACTGTGGCCTTGACTTTCCAGGGTCAAGTGATCTTTCCTCAGCCACTCAAGTAGCTGGGACTACACACCTGTGCCATCACACCCAGCTAATTTTTTATTTTTAGTGGTGATTGGAGTCTCACTATGTTGTCCAGGCTGGTCTCAAACTCCTGACCTCAAGCAATCCTCTCCCTCTGGCCTCCCAAAGTGCTGGGATTATAGGCATGAGCCACCATACCTGGCCAACATTTTCTTCTTTTCTTTCTCTTTCTCTTTCTTTCCTTCTTTTCTTCCTTGCTTGCTTTTTCTGCCCAGGCTGAAGTGCAGTGGTATGATCATGTCTCACTGTAGCCTCAATCTCCTGGGCTCAAGGAATCCTCCTGCCTGTCTCCTGAGGGACTGGAACTACAGATGTGCACCAAGTAGTCAGCTAATTTTTTAGTTTTTTGTTTTGTTTTGTAGAAAGGGTCTCACTATGTTCTGGCTGATATTTTCAACTTAAGAAATGAATTTCTAGGCTTCAGTAACCTAAAAGGGCTCACTTATTTAAAACTCACTGATATCTCAGTGAAAATCTTAGTTGAAAAGGTGAAAATGTGCTATAAGTCTTGGTCTCATTTGAGTGCTTTTCATAGAGCATTTGAAAACCAAACACTTGAAAACCCAGATGAGAATACATCTGTGTGTGCTTTGTGGTTCTTCATTCTTCTCTCCTTTTTTCTTTTGTAGCCCCATCAGTAGCACCTTTAAATGTCACTGTGTTTCTGAATGAATCTAGTGATAATGTGGACATCAGATGGATGAAGCCTCCGACTAAGCAGCAGGATGGAGAACTGGTGGGCTACCGGATATCCCACGTGTGGCAGAGTGCAGGGATTTCCGTAAGTCTAAACCCTAGAAGAGCACGATTAGTCATCTCCTTTCAACTTGCTGGTTTACTTCAGTTTTAGAAGCTTTCATTTGGTTTTGAAAAGACCTGGTGTGATTGAGTTAGGCAAGGCACCTTTCAGGGGAACATAAAGAATATAGTAAATATTAGAGGTGACTGAACAGTTACAAAATTCTAAGGTATCTTTTGGGACTTTCCTCACTTACTCATTCATTCATTCATTCTTTTACTTATTCATGAGATAGACATAGAATTCATCCTCTGTTATCACCTGACTTTTGCCCTCATGGAATTTAGGCTCTTATAGGATGACAGTGTGGAATACCCAAGTTGTAGCATTAGGTCAGGGAGCTACAGGGCTTAGCAGTCCAGCAATTCATGGCCTTTTGGAAATTTCATGGGACTTTGCAAAAGAAGAAGATAAGGGAATAACCTCATCCTCATAGAGAATGGCAAGAAGTAAGCAGACACCAAAGGAGGAGACCGAGCAAGCTCTCTGGCCAGCCTGGCACAGCTGCGGGCAAGCCGAAATTAGACATCAGAATTACTGGATCAGGACATGCAGTCTGACACTACATAACACAACCAGGTGCATCAGCCAGGTGGCACAGGTTCCCTGCTCCACCAAGTCCCATTGGGCAATGTGATGTACCCACTTGGTGGATTGTGCACCTGAGGGTACTAGGGTCAAGGGCTCAGCACCCTGTGTAGTGAACAGCAAACAAGCTGATCCTCTGTGCAGTTGCACGGTCGTCATGCTGTGGCCACCTTGACCTACTTCACTGCCCACGTGACTAGCCCCAGCATGGCTCGGGGTTGGGGATGGTTAGGCCTTGCAGTTTGTCACACTCAGCAAGGATGAACAAAGATGCTTGGAGCCTGTGGCAGACTGCCTCTCCCAGAAAAGGTGGTACTTGAATTGGGCTTGTGTGTTAGTCAAGATTCTTTAGAGAAACAGCTAATTGAACATGTATGTATAGAAGGAGATTTATGATAAGAAATTGACTCATGCAATTACAGAGGCTGAGAAGTCTCACGATCTGCCATCTGGAAGCTGGAGACCCAGGAGCCAGTGGTGTAATTTAGTCAGAGTCTGAAGGCCTGAGAAACAGGGGCAGTGGTGTAGATCTCAGTCCAAGGATAGGAGAGTACTGATGTCTCAGCTCAAGCATTCAGGCAGAAGAAAAGGGGAGAATTCCTCCTTTCTTTACCTTTTGTTCTTGTCAGGCCCTCCATGGATTGAATGAGGCCCAGCCACACTGAAGAGGGCAGTCTGCATTATGAGTCCCCTGTTTCAAATAATAATCTCACTGGAAACACCTTCACAGACACACCCAGAAATCATGTTGAGCCACATAGCTGGGCACCTCTGTCACCCAGTCAAGTTGACACATAATATTAACCATCGCAGCTTAGAGTAATTTTGACAGATGAAATTTGAGGAGTCTCAGATGGGAAAAGATAACATGAGAGAAGGCACAACGTGGCAGCTTTAAATTCTGACTCACTTGAAGGTCTGGAACATAACGCTTTTGTGAGAGCGAGGTGTGAGATGAAGCTGGATTGAGGAGTTCTGACCCTAAAATGCAGGGCCCTGAAAGTGAAGCCAAGGCAGGTAGAAATTTGTTGATAGCAGGGGAGCCAATGATAAGCATGAGCTCAGGAGCACAACTTGAGACTTACAGATCATGATGATGACCTAGATGATTCTTCTTTCATGAATAATTACATTGAGTTTGCTGATATAAGTAACCTTCTAACCTGCCTTCTTTCCACCAGAGCATATTTGCTGAGCACATTCCACTCTGGTCTTCCAAGACTGAGCAGGCAACTCAGCAGCAGGCTCCTGCCAGCTACAGAGGTTTTCTTGCTTCCTGAAAATGTATATCAGAATCATCCACAATGTTTATTTGGAATACCACTGTGTGCTTGGAACTGGGTAGGGGTATCGTAGGGGAGCATCAATATGTCAGGTAATTCCTGCCTTATAATCAATCTAAAGCTGGCAAGATCCTTTAGATTTTTGCTAAAGCTGGCAAGTTCAGTGAAGACTCTCTAGTGTAAGTACTGGTTTCATTTCACAGTGGCAAACAAAAGGCAAAGGGAATCTATGTGTGAAATAGTGGCTTCCTCCCCAAGTACCAGCCAGTGCCCTTCCAATGACTTTGCTAGGCATGACTCCAGTCAAACCCAGAGGGACATTTGATTTTGATTTCTATGAAGTCTAAAGACCACTGCTATGATGTGAACCCTGGACCCAATACAGCAGCAGGAAAGGCAGCTGGGTGATGATGCCTGGGTGTGATTAGGTGGGCAGCTTCTAGACAGGTTCCCTTCCCACCTGGGAAAGGAAGAGAGTGGGGTATTGCTGCCTCCTTTTGTGACACAGAACATCCGTGGAAGGGCAGATGCACTGGTTTCATTATCAAGTCTGTCTCTTCTTTACTGTGATCATGGAAAGCATGCTTCTTCTGTGTTGCCATATTCCTGATCAATCTAACCCTAGTGACAGATTGTATTAGTCTGTTTTCACACTGCTAATAAAGACATACCTGAGACTAGGTAATTATAAAGAAAAATAGGTTTAATGGACTCACAGTTCCACATGGCTGGGGAGCCCTCACAATCATGGCAGGAGGCAGAGAAGGAGCAAAGGCACGTCTTACATGGTGACAGGCAAGAGAGTGTGCAGGGGAACTCCCCTTTATAAAACCATAGGATCTCACGAGACTCACTGTCAAGAGAACAGCACGGGAAAACCCCGCCCCCATGACTCAATTACCTCCCACCAGGACCCTCCCATGGCACTACAAGTCAAAATGAGGTTTGGGTGGGGACACAGCCAAACCATATAATAGATCCAAATTTTAGCTTCTTCATGGTATCTATATGGAGCATCAGATATAGATGCTGCATATAGAGATGAACAGGGTGAATGGGTGAGCAGATGCATCCACTGATGATGCTCAAGCTTTGTTGTAATCATTTTTAGCCACATATCATCCAGCATTTATCAAAACTGCCATTTTCTGAAAGGACACTTAAAATTTATTTTAATTTCCCTGCCTCAGTTTACCTATCAGGAAGCAGACTGTTGGAAGCAGTAGGTGATGGAAGTAGAGAAAAAGAAGGCTTAGAAGTCCGTGTTGTTCTGCCTCATAGTAAATGATCATGGTATTAATTCATTTTAAGTAGCAATCCTGCTTAAAAGTCACAGCTGCGAGAGAAGCAGCCTTTCCTTTTGTCTTTTGCCCCAAGGCATTTGTGCGAGGTGCCTCTGGATTAACTGCATTTCTCCATTGGCTGAGTTGCAGGAATCAAATGCCTCTTTGAGAGAAGGGCTTTTGTTCACAATGCTGAATGCTTGGTATAGCTATACTAAGCATAAAGGTTCAGTAGGAATTTTATCTTTCTCTATTTGGCAGAAAATAGTGATTACCAGCAGACACTTAGGCTGTCTAAAAACAAGCCAGTTTGTTTAAAGAGCTGCAGGTCATCCTTTCTCCTTCTACTTCTGGCTTGGGTGAAAGCTGCTTTTCTGAAGGGGGCCTCTTGAGCCGAGGCGTTCTGAAGGGCAGCAATGATGAAAACCTTATGAATGACTGTGGCTGGAGAGCCTTGTGCACTAAATGCCATTAGCACTCAGCTAGGCTGTGCATTCTCATTGCCCTTTGTTCAGAACGGTCCCCTCTGCAGGGAGAACAGAACTGCCACAGTTAAGGCTGTGACCTTTCCAGTCACTTACCTCCTTAGGGATGCCAGATCATCCCAGTGAGATCATTTATTATGCTTTACACTATATTTTATGCATCATGACAGTCTTGTGACCACAAAGACACAGTGGCTCACTTTACTTTGGAAAACATTCTCTGATGCAGCTAAGTTTCAAGCTTATGATCCAAAACTAGGGACAAATAAGAACATGGAAGAAAGGTGGACCCTGGGAGTCCCCTGAAACCCACACCCAAAAGGAAGTTTAAGATGATCTTGGCATCTGTCACTTTGATTTCCTTCAATTTCCTTCATCTCAGAAGGGCAAAGCTTAGACAAAACCTTGTCTCAAAATTATCCGTTCATTTTCATTTTTAGATAACTGATACTAAAGCTACTTCCTTATGCAGGACAGAGCAGTTGGATATTTTTGAAAGATATTTCTCATTATAACTGTAATTAAGGGTGGGGTTTTTCATGTGCATGCAGTTTCAGAACTTTCTTGGCAGTCGTTTTTCCTTGGCTTATCGCAGCTACACAGAAGACAGGTTTGTAGCTTTGCATTCCCGCAACAGTCATGTCACTTTCAGACTAAGAATCCTTTGATCTTTACTGAATGGATATTTATTATATCTCAAACGATGATACCTACCTTTTTTGTTCTATTTTTCTTGCGATTCCTTGCCTTCCAAATCAGAGTTTAAAATCCAAAGATAAGGAACAAATACAATGTGTTCTCTTTGAAGTTGGAGGCAGGTCTTGCTCGTCTTTGTACTGTCTGAACACAGGGCCTTGACCTTGCTTTGTAGGCATTTGTGGCACTATGGATTTGATGTGTGGGCCCAGCTACACCATCTAAACCAGCTGGAGAATTTCTCTCCATGAATGGGACAGTCTTTTATTAAGTGTGGACTAGTATTTCCCAACCCACCCTCATTCCCGTAAAGTGTCAGTGGATCTTCTGTGAAAAAAGAGTTCAGTGAGCAAATAGAATTACAAAATATTGCATATTATACCACCTTGAAGGCCCACCATGTATACTGGCAAGTTCAAGCCTCTTTGAAGTTCAACAGAAAATAACTCTGTTTAACTTTGACCCAGAATCGTCTAAATGTTAGGCAGAGACACATTTTTATACGTGCGGTTTTTATGGAGTTCGTTGCTTTGGGTTTATTGCTCTAATGCTAGTTTACTCTTCGTTTTCAAAGGTATAGATCTTGGAAGTCTCATAGCAGAGATTATTATAGCCTTGAGACAGCATGATATATAGAACTAACTTTTTTTTTTTTTTTTTTGAGACAGAGTCTCACTCTGTCATTCAGGCTGGAATGCAGTGGCACGATCTCGGCTCACTGCAACATCTGCCTCCCAGAGAACCAAGTTCTTTGGAGACTCAGGGAAGCTGCAGTGTACTTGGCCCAAGACCTCGGCCTCCTAACAAGCTCCCCTAATGAGCAGAGCTATGTGCCTGGATGTTGGCATGTGCCCACCGCCTCTTCCTGTCTCCTTTTCTCCCTCTTTCTCACTGTCAAAGGAGAGCAGAGCATTTGAACTGGTGTTGTCTTAAAGTATGAGGAATAGGCAAGGTTCTCATGGCCAGCCAGGGATCTGAACCTCTTCTGAAACCCAGGGATTGATCAAATAGGGTACATTTTGCCTGGAGGAGAAACTTAACATGGAGGTAAACTCCATGAGTAGGTCAAATAAGCTTCTTGGTTTGGGGAACTAGACAGCCTTGATGATTTTCTCTAATGCACTAAGACTTGAAAGATACCACAAGCTCAATTCTGTAAGAAGGTTTTGTATTTATTTACAGGGAAAGAAGACCCAACTGTAGCACCACCTTGAACATGATATAAGAATAATCATAGCCACCACTGATTACTTGCAGCATGCCAGATCGTGTACTATGTGTTTTACATAAAGGAACTCATTTAACCCTTAACTGTGAGGCCAGGCGTGGTGGCTCACGCCTATAATCTCAGCACTTTGGGAGGCCAAGGCAGGTGGATCACCTGAGGTTAGGAGTTCGACGAGACCAGCCTAGCCAACATGGTGAAACCCTGTCTTTACTAAAAATACAAAAATTAGCCCAGCCTGGTGGCGGGCACCTGTAGTCCCAGCTACTTGGGCAGCTGAGGCAGGAGAATCGCTTGAATCTAGGAGGCGGAGGTTGCAGTAAGCCAAGATGGCGCCACTGCACTCCAGCCTAGGGGACAGAGCGAGACTCCATTTCAAAAACCACTGTGAGAAAGATAATATGCTCAATTTTCAGTTGAGGAAACTAAAGCTCAGAGATGCTGGGTAACTGCCGCAGAGTCATAAAGGTTGGGCTAAAAACCTCACTCCGACTGACTCCAAAACCAGGGCTTTTCAGAACCCCCCTACTCGTTCCCAGGCGCCCCTGGCTTTCTTCATAATACAGTCTCATTCAAATTCCACAGTGTGGCCTCTCCGTAGAAAGAAGGAAGAACAGGACGTGTTTTGCAGAGTTAGATGTGAGAGTTTTGTGTTGATGCCTGTGAATTTGAAACCCCTTTGAACGAGTCACCTTTGTTGTTGTCATGAGACAGAAACTTTTATCTCATTGAGGTTATAGAACAGGCCAGAGTCTTAAATACAGTTACGAGTTATAGGGTTGTGAATTCTTTTTTTTTTTTTTCAGACAGAGTCTCGCTCTGTCACCCAGGCTGGAGTGCAGTGGTGCGGTCTCCACTCACTGCAAGTTCCGCCTTCCAGGTTCACGCCATTCTCCTGCCTCAGCCTCCCGAGTACTGGGACTACAGGCGCCCGCCACCACGCCCGGCTAATTTTCTGTATTTTTAGTAGAGACAGGGTTTCACCGTGTTAGCCAGGATGGTCTTGATCTCCTGACCTCGTGATCCACCCGCCTCGGCCTCCCAAAGTGCTGGGATTACAGGCGTAAGCCACCACTCCTGGACGGGTTGTGAATTCTTATAAAGTAGTTGGGGATATTTAAGTCCTTTGATCATTGAAAACAAGTACCACCGCAGTTGCCCTGCCTAACTCTAATGCCACACATAGGATAAAAAACAAATTGACTTTCCAAAGATGTGTTATTACTTTTCTGACTGTCAAGATACACTGTGTCTTATCTTACATGTAAGTAAAGTTGCAATCAAGTGCCATATTATAAATCTGATTTTATTACCAGGAAATGCTTTCAGATGTTTAAGTCCTTGAGGCTATGAACCTGGTGTTGGTGAAAAATGAAAACTCACTCAATGAAAAATATGCAGTTGGCCCGTGGCATACACCCCATGACCAGACCACCTCATGTCAGAGAAATGTCCCCAACTTATGTGATCTGTACCCTGACAGCACCAGAGATAATACACATGGGGTAGCGCCTGTGTGCATCTGATTTTAGTGGATTTCTCTGACAACTTGAAAAATCAGACTTAAATACTTGGGGATATGAATTGGGGCACACCGTTCTTTACATACTTGGCACCAAAACAGTATGGATAAATTACATCCATTTTAAAAAAACATGAATCATTTTAAAACTATATTTAAGTTTACCATTTAAGGATATCCTTAGAGAAAATTGTTAAACCTCTTTTAAAATATATGTCATATATCTTTCTAATCACTATGGCAACATTTATTATAATTCCACCCCTAAAATGTGATAACCCTTGACCATCTCCAAAATGTGTGACTGATAAACACTGGCCAGCATCTTTGTCATATTTTGATATTCAGAATGATGGCAACGGCTATGATGCTGGCCATCATCGAACGGTGGGTGCATTTGCTCTGGGCCAGGCACTGTTACACATTTGTTAACTCACTTAGGAGAATAAGAAGTGGAAATTCAAAAAGTAACCTTTCTGGGGTTTCCTACTGAGTCATAGGCCCTAAGTGAGTAGACACAGGTTAAGTATCCCTTATCCAAAGTGTCTGGGGACCAGAAGTGTTTCAGATTGTGGATTCTTTCTGATTTTGGAATATTTGCATTATATTTACCAGTTGGGCATCCTAAATCTCAACTTATTTACTTAGCATTTCCTTTGTGTCATGTCAGTGCTCAAAAAGTTTTGGATTTTGGAACATTTCAGATTTCAGATTTTGGGATATGGGATGCTCAAACTGTATTATAGCCTACTTGAATGTTTATTTCCAAAAGAATAATTTGTTTTTGTTAGGGTTTCTATTCTTCTATTCATTTAATTCTTTCCCAATCGTGTAATTCCTCTTATTTTGAGATGATTCTCTCATAAGTGAGGTATCATATTTGAGCCTGCAGCCAGAAGCAGGCCAGTGTTCCGCATCAGGCCGTGAGGCTTGTCCTTTGGAGGAGCTGTCTACCGTGAAGCAGATGTGTTAGTTATGTCTCAGCAATGGCCTGAGTCACCAAACGGCTCCATGACCGTGGGGGTTTGGTCCATGGAGTTACTCTACCTGATGATTTTCTGCCTCGCTCCCAAATTAAACACAGAATGACCAACTAACTCATAATCAAAACTAGTTTGCAGTAAATACAATGCTCTATTTATGTTTTTTTGTTGCTTGTTTTGAAACGGAGTCTCAGGCTGGAGTGTGGTGGCGTGATCTTGGCTCACTGCATCCTCCGTGTCCTGGGTTAACGCTTTTCTCCTGTCTCAGCCACCCGAGTAGCTGGGATTACAGGTGCATGCCACTACACCCTGCTAATTTTTGTACTTTTAGTAGAGATGGAGTTTTGCCATGTTGGCCTGGCTGGCCTCGAACTCCTGACCTCAGGTTATCTGCCCACCTCAGCCTCCCAAAGTGCTGGGATTACAGGTGTGAGCCACCTCGCCCAGCCCAATGCTGTATTTCTGAAAAAGGTATCACCAGAATATTAAAAAAAAAGGTTAATTATTAATTTGTTCACTTAATTAACAAAAAAAAGTCTATGGCAAATCTCATAGACTCGGAGTCCAGTGGGGTAGAAAAACCAACATTCTTAACGGTCATATTTTCCCTTTCATCCCTTGTCTGGGGGTGTGATATTACGATATACTGTGTGTCTGGTTGTGTGTGTACACACACAATATATATATAATGTGTGTGGAGGGGAGCTTTCCATCCCGGGGTCCTGGCTTATTACTCCCATAGCCCTTGTTGTTTCCTAAGGGACTAAAACAACAAGCATATCTTTTGTTGAAGTATTGGCCTTTTGTCCTTGGTTTCTGAAGTAGCTTCAGAGCTTTAACGGTGAAAGACGGTCTTTCGCTATAATGTTTGGGCACTTTAGGCCTCAGAAAACAGAATCTCTCTTGCTGATCTTCTCCTGCCCTCCTTTCATGTACTCCTCTGTCTCCCCAAGGCAGGGCTCTAATTTTCCCCTGCCCTCATCCATAAAGAAATTCTTTGACCTACCTGATCTGATTAGAAGTCATAAGACTCACATTTCGGAAGGAGTCCTGTTTCCATTCCCTGGAGGAAGGAGCCACGCACAGAGAGGCCAAGAAGAATCTGAACAGATAGGTCTTGTTGGGTTTCCTCGCTCAGTCTAATAGTACTAGATCATGCCTTTTTTGTCCAATCACAGTTCTACATGGTTGTCAATCACGCCTATCCAATGGAGCCTCCATGAAAGGCCCATGAGGATGGGGTTCAGAGAGCTTCCAGGTAGTGGAATACGTGGAGGTTTCCAGAGGGTGGTGCACCCAGGGCGGGCATGAAAGCTCTGCACCCCTTCCCATGTGCCTTGCCCTGTATAGCTCTTCATCTGTATCTTCTGCAATATCCTTAATAATAAACCAGTGACCAGGCATGGTGGGTCACGCCTGTAATCCCAGCACTTTGGGAGGCTGAGGCAGGTGGATCGCCAGGTCAAGAGATCGAGACCATCATGGCCAACATGGTGAAACCCCGTCTCTACTGAAAATACAAAAATTAGCTTGGTGTGGTGGTGTGCACCTGTAGTCCCAGCTACTCAGGAGGCTGAGGAAGGAGAATTGCTTGAACCTGGGAGGTGGAGGTTGCAGTGAGCTGAGATAGCGCTACTGCACTCCAGCCTGGGTGACAGAGCAAGACTCCGTCTCAAAAAAAAAAAAAAAAGAAAGAAAAAAGAAAAAAATAATAAACCAGTGAATGTCTTTTCCTAAGTTCTGTGAGCCACTCTAGCAAATTAAACAAACTCAAGGAGGGGGTCATGGGGTCCCTGATTTATATAGCCAGCCAGTCAGAAGTACAGGTCAAACAACCTGGGGCTTGTGATTTGTGCCTGAAACTTGGGGGACTCTTGGGGGCTGAGCCCACACCCTGTGGGATCTGACACTATCTCCAGATGATAGTGTTGGAATTGAACTGGGTTGGAGAATGCCCAGCTGGTGTCTGCTGTGGAATTGACTGATTGGTTTTTGGTAGGGAAAAATTCTCATACACTTCTTGGTGACCAGAGGTCACAGAAGCCTTCTGTGTTGACTATTGTGGTGTGGGAGCAGAGAAAACTGCTTGTTTTTTTCTGCAGGGGGCATTTCTGGGCCATGATGTCCACTGCCTGTTTAAATTTAGAAACAGTCTCTGGATGGCCAACCCAGGTGCCCCCTTGGTCATGAATGATGGACTGCTCTCTCCTTAAGGGTTGAGATGGTTCTATCCTTCACCATTGCTAGGAAAGTGACTGGCTTGAGAGTGAGTGACCAGGAAATAAAGTTACCAATAGCACTGCCTTTGCTGTTCATTGATGACCTGTGACATCTGTGACCTGTGACATCTGTGACCTGCATGACCTGAGATCTCTTTCTGTCTCTGCAATCAAATTTCCAAAATTCAGAGATAAAGACATGTTCCTAGAACTTCATTTCAGCTTTCACAACCCCTATAATTTCCATTTGAAAAGCCAGCCCAAACACAAAATTAGTTTCCTACGCCAGAGAACATTATGATTACAGAGGTTTGGAAAAGGGGAGGAAGGTGTTGTATAAACCCTTAGTTCTGGTTATTTTTTCCCCTTTATTTGAATGACAGTGACTTTAAAATAACATACAAATAAAAGTAAAACCAGAGTTTTGAAAATTGAGCAAGTTGTACATTTGTCACACTGAAAGAAAAAAAAAAGTGTCAGTGCCCTCTTCCAGGTAGATTTTAGTCAAAATTCTAATAATTTCAAGGAACAGGAGCCCACTCGTGCTGGTTCAAGGGCAGGTGGCAGGTGGACAATGTCAAGGGATAGTGTGACTGGCGTATTGTGCTGTGGGTGGTTCTGAGGATCGAGGGCTTGAGGAGTCAGGCTTGCTCTGCCGTCCGGGTGCATCTGCTACGTGCTCCCTCTCTTCCAGAAGCTTCTTTAGGACCACTCTAAGTGCCATGCCCTCATGGCCCTAGCTTGCCAATGCCCCCCAAAACTTGATGTTACATCCTGTCCCTACCTGACTTTTGGTTCCATTGGCCATGGCCTGAGTGACAAAGGAATGCTGTGGAAGTGTGGCTTCTGGCCTCGGACGTGGGCGGGATGGCTTCCCTCAGAAGGAACTGTAGATGCACCTGCAGTTTGCCCAGACCTCAGTGTTTTCATTTCCTCTCTTCCTCTCTGTCTCCAGAAAGAGCTCTTGGAGGAAGTTGGCCAGAATGGCAGCCGAGCTCGGATCTCTGTTCAAGTCCACAATGCTACGTGCACAGTGAGGATTGCAGCCGTCACCAGAGGGGGAGTTGGGCCCTTCAGTGATCCAGTGAAAATATTTATCCCTGCACACGGTGAGAGCTATACCCAGTAAGGGCTGATAGGATGTGATGGTCCAGGCAGTGCACAGATTGCCAGAAAGTAACCTGGGGGATGGATGGCTGATTAAAGAATGAAAAATAAGGCTGGGCTTATCTCAACACTTCAGGAGGCAAAAGCAGGAGGAGTTTGAGAACAACCTGGGCAATGGGCAACATAGTGAGACCCTGTCTCTACAAAAAATATATGTATTTTTAAAATTTGCTGGGCATGGTGGATCATGCCTGTTGTCCCAGCTACTTGGGAGGCTGAGGTGGGAGAAGTGCTTGAACCCAGGAGGCAGAGATTGCAGTGAGTTATGATCACACCACTGTACTCTAGCTAGGTAACAGAGTGAGACCCTGTCTCAAAAAAAGAAAAAAAAAAAAAAGAAGGGAAAAATAAGAATCAAAAATAATTTTTCCAATGATAAAGATATGATATGATAACATGCTTTACAGAACTGCTGATACCCATAGGTCCCTCCTATAGTTACTATTAATGGTAATAACTTACTTGGAAGATTAGTCTTTTCAGATGCCAACTTTGGCTTTACTTATTGAACTTAGTTGCAATGATGTATACTGTACATGACTGAATTTTAGACAGGCAATATAGCTAACCCTTAGCTGTCTACAATTGGGACAGTTTATTTGCTGTTGCTTGTTTTGCTGTGTTTGAAATAGTACTGCTTTGCCATGTTTTTACCCATTCAAGCCTTGGGTAACATGCTTTGTGCTTTGGTCTGCACGGAACATGAAATATTTCCTATGGAAGCCATCCTCAGACTGCCCTGGGCCCACGGAGCTAAATGCCCAGCCATGCGTGTTGGCTTTTGCATGTTGCTGGAATGTCCTTTGGCACGGTGCCACTGTGGTACCCCAAGTGAACCAAGTGCTGTGCTCACTCCATAACCCAATGGAGCCACCTTTGTTTGACTCTCACCTGCCCTAGGTTGTTTAATGTTAAACGGCTGTCATAAAGTCCATGCATAGGCATCTAGATCAGTGTGCTTATACATTAAGTTTTTGCCAAACATGACCTTTGTACCCAATAGCAGACAGAACTTGTGAGCAAATGATTGAGTTCCCACCTGTCTGTTCCCAGTGACACTGAAACTTGCTCTCCCTTTTGGTGCTGAAATGGAACCATATTACGTTCTTGCAGCACATAGGCACAGTTTCTGGGAAACATTAGTAACTGGTGATGGGGAGGCAAGATGTGTCTACCTGGTAGAAATTCAATGACCCTGAGATTCTGGCTGGACGCAGTGACTCACGCCTGTAATTCCAACACTTTGGGAGGCCAAGGCAGGCAGATCACTTGAACTCAGGAGTTCAAGACCAGCCTAGCCAACATGGTGAAACCCCATCTCTATCTAAAATAACGACAACAACAAAAATTAGCAGGGTGTGGTGGCATGCGCCTGTGGTCCCAGCTACTTGGGAGGATAGCTTGAGCCCAGGAGGTGGAGGTTGCAGTGAGCCAAGATCACACCATTGTACTCCTGGCTGGGTGACAGAGTGAGACCCCCATCTCCAAAACAAAACAAAACAAAACAAGAACAAAGACAATGAGATTCTGATTCTAAAGGGACAGCTTAAAAAAATTGGAGTTTAGGCTGGGCGCAGTGGCTCATGCCTATAATCCCGGCACTTTCGGAGGCCGAGGCAGTTGGATCACTTGAGGTCAGGAGTCCCAGACCAACCTGGCCAACGTGGGGAAGCCATGTTTGCTATGCAGGCAGTCCTTACCTTGCAGGGCTCCAGTATGCACAAATTTCAATTACCACAGTTAAATAACACCCATTCCCCAAAAATATAGTTCCAATTTTAGTTACCATTCTATATTAACCATAATGGCATAAAGCATAAACTCGGGCTGCTGGCTCTTCAGGCCACCAACCATCGTAGAAATAACAGATGCACATCCTATCATGACCAACGGCATCATTTCTTTCAAAGGCTGTTGTGATCGGTCACTGCGCCCTTGTCATTCTTTTTGTGCCCACCTTGCGGAGACATGTGGCTGTGTTGCCTCCTTGTCTCCCAGGGACAAACCCACATGACATTTTACAAAAATGGGTAATTGAAAGAGGGAGTTGGTGAACAAAGGTAAAAGTGCAGTAAAGAAATGCAAAGTGATAGTGTTCAACGTAAAATTTGAATTGAATGCAAGACTGTGGGAAGTTGATAACTGCCCCTGCTGATGTGAACCAGCGGTCCTTAGTGAAGGTGAACTTATGCACATACATCAAGAGGTTGTGACAAAAAGGTTGAAAATGTCCCAGAGAAAGCGACACTGTCAAAAAACAGCATTGAAGGAATACTGGGAGATATTTTACAACATTGAAAGAACAAAAGCTAAAACATTAGCAGTCGATCCAAACTTAGAAAGGAATGTGACAATTCTTCAAAACAGAGAAACTATATTTTCTCTGTATCATAAGTTACATGACTAGAAGGCAAACTATTTAACCTACTCTCGATCGTTTTTTTACAAAGAAATGACACTTTAATTTTTCATGTTTCTAACATTTTAAACTACAGTAGAAGTAAATATTAGTTGTAATTTTGTTATTTTCTTGTACGTGTATAATGACATGAGTTTTCTCATTGATTTTAAAATTACTATTTTTAATTAATAATTGAAAAATTGTATATACCTGTGGAGTACAGTGTGACATTTTGATCTATGTATATGTTATGGAATGAGTAAATCAAGCTAGTTTCCCATCAGTTATTAAGATCTCTTCGCATGGTCTCAGCTTACACAAAGTGAGACCTGCCTATATTTGTAGATTATAAAAGATTTAACTGAGTTCTGAAAGCTTTGACTATTTGTTCTTCCCTGTTACAAGCCAGTGTTTCTCATATATTTCAAACCCATGACTGGTCTATTGGTATCTCACCAGGTTGGGTAGATTATGCCCCCTCTTCAACTCCGGCGCCTGGCAACGCAGATCCTGTGCTCATCATCTTTGGCTGCTTTTGTGGATTTATTTTGATTGGGTTGATTTTATACATCTCCTTGGCCATCAGAAAAAGAGTCCAGGAGACAAAGTTTGGGTAAGTCTCCCAGCTAAAAATGTTTGCCCACTGGTATTGACAAGGTTGTTATACCAAGTGATTATGCCTTTCCTGTTGGGCCAGCTGCTTACATTGCTCCCAGATGGCTGCCCTGCCTTATGCATACCCTGGGCTCAGGCAGCTTCCTGACTTACGCCATGGTCTACAGAAGCAGCTGCCAGCAAAAGCCAGGCCTGAAAAGGGTTCCTTTACAGAGAAGAGTATCAGTAGGCCTTTGCTACTCAAACTGGATTGCTGTTAAGTGAGGACTTTTATTAGAAGCCTTAAAAATAGGCCGAGTGCGGTGGCTCACACCTGTAATCCCAGCACTTTGGGAGGCCAAGGCAGGCGGATCACTTGAGGTCAGGAGTTTGAGACCAGCCTGGCCACCATGGCAAAATGTCATCTCTACAGAAAATACAAAAATTAGCTGGGCATGATGGCACACGCCTGTAATCCCAGCTACTTTAGAGGCTGAGGCACAGGAATTGCTTGAACCCAGGAGGGTTGTTGGCAGGTTGGAGTGGGACAGAATGAGTGAGGGGTGTATGGCTATACTTTGGAGGGGGCTGAGCCTCCCTCTTTCATTGCTCCACCTTCAGAATGCTACTAGAACATCCCACTCGCTCCAAGACTTGCCATAGGCGTGGGAAGGGCTTAAGATTGGCAGCCAGGCTACGCTTTATTTGTGTTCATCCCAGTCTTAGGGGTCAGTTACTTTAGTCTTTATAAGCCTATTCTTACAATTGTTATACCTTAGTATGTGAATTCTAAGAATGACTATTTTAAAGAAGTGGACAAAATCTGATCTAAATCTTGAACATATAATTGACTAAAATACATCCCAGGATCTTGGTGTGACATGTGGGTTCATCATAAAACAAGTACAGAGAACCTCTGCAGAAGCTGCAAGAGTAGCTCATTAATATGTATTAAAGGCCTGCTAGGCACTGGGCACTGCGGTAGCCTGGAATACAGTGGTGAACAAAATCCTGCCCTCATGGGGTTCACAGTTCATGGGGAGTCAGGCAGTAGTCAAGCAGTCACAAAATAGATTAAAAATGGCAACTGTAATACATTCTATATAAAGGGGTAAGAATGTGTCAGAAAAATTTGGCTGCATTAAGAAAGTCAGGGAAGGCCTTTGTGCAGAAGTGGCTGACACCAGAGCTAAGATCTGAAGAAAGAGCAGGTATTCATTAGATGAGAGAGAAGAAGAGCATTACAGCCAGAAGGAGCAGCACATGCCACATTACCAAAAAGTGGGGCTGCTGAGTACAGCAAATATATTAACAAGATTACAATACTATTTCAAATATTTAGAAATAAAACTATTTCCAGGAACCATTAAACTCAGCAGAAGCTTAAAACAAATGAAAGACTTGTAACAGGTTATTGTTATCTATGTCGAAGTCAGTTCCCATGGATCCTTACTACAAGATCTATTCATTTGTTCCTTTTGTAAAACCACTTTCCAGCTCATTTTTAAATGAAAATACTTTTATTTTTACTTATAAAAGTAACATTATATTTTTTTAAAAATCAGATTATATCGAATAGTCAAAAGGAGAAAGTGAGGCCCATTTCAGGCCCATAGATGGTGTTGGTTGCTATTTTGGCATACGTCTTTCCAAGTGCTTTGCTTTGTGTACATCAGTATTTTTTTCAAAATTGTGTTATCTCTTTAAAATAATCTATGTACCTAAGGTAACTTGAGATTAAATCTGTAATCTAGACTTTCAAATTCATAATACTTTCCCACCAATTAGTCTAAAACAGTGACTAAATGGATTATTAAAATAGACTTCATTTTTTATTTTTAAAATTAATTTATTTTTTTGAGACAGGATCTTGCTCTGTCGTCCAGGCTGGAGTGCAGTGGTGCATTCATGGCTCACTGCAGCCTTGTCCTCCAGAACCCAAGTGATCCTCCCATCTCAGCCTCCCGATTAGCTGGGACCACAGTCACATACCACCATGTCTGGCTAATTTTCTTACTTTTTATAGAGATGAGGCATCTCACTTTGTTTCCCTCGCTGGTCTTGAACTCCTGGGCTCAAGTGATCCTCCTGCCTCAGCTTCCCAAAGTGCTGGGATTACAGGCATGAATCCCAGCCTTATTTTTTAGAACAGTTTTAATTTTACAGAAACATTGAGAAGATAGTACAGAGATTTCTCATATGCTCCATACCTAGTTTCCCCTATTATTAACAGCTTACATTATTAGTGTCACACGTGTCCATGTGAAGAGACCACCAACAGGTTTTGTGTGAGCAGTAAAGCTTTTTAATCACCCGGGTGCAGGTGGGCTGAGTCCGAAAAAGGAGTCAGCAAAGGATGGTGGAATTATCATTAGTTCTTACAGGTTTGGTATAGGCAGTGGAGTTATCCAATATCCAATATCCACTGGAGGACCAATTTTTTGTAAGCAGGGGGTGGATCTTGCAAAGTACATTCTCAAGGGCCCGGGAGAATATTACAAAGTACCTTCTCAAGGGTAGGGAGGGTGTATCATACAAAGTACATTCGCAAGGGTGGGGGAATACCACAAAGTACATTATCCCAAGGGCAGGGAGGGTGTATTGTCACAAAGTCAATTGATCAGTTAGGGTGGGGCAGGAACAAATCACAATGGTGGAATGTCATCAGGTAAGGCAGGAACTGGCTATTTTCACTTCTTTTGTGGATCTTCGGTTGCTTCAGGCCATCTGGGTGTATACGTGCAGGTCACAGGGGATATGATGGCTTAGCTTGGGCTCAGGGTCCTGACAATTAGTACAATACATTTGTTACAGTTAATGAGCCAATATTGATCCATTGTCATTAACTAACATCTCTACTTTCTTGAGATTTCCTTAATTTTCACCTAATGTCCCTTTAGTGTTCTGGGATCCCTTCCAGGATGCCACATTTTACAGTCAGTCATCACATCTCCTTAGGCTCCTCTTGGCTGTGGCCATTTCTTAGACCTTCCTTGTCTTTGATGATCTTGCCAGTTTTCAGAAGTGTTAGTCGGGTGTTTTGTAGGATGCCCCTCTATTGCAATGTGTTCGATGTTTTGCTGATAATGAGCAGGGGTTATGGGTGATTGAGAGGAGGAGCACAGAATTAAAATGCCATTGTCATCACTTCTTATCAAGGGTGCATATTAACATGATGTATCACTGTTGATGTTGACATTGATCACCTGGCTGAAGTAGTATTTGCTGGGTTTCTCTACCATGAAGTTATTTTTTCTCCCTTTCCCTACTGTTCTTTGGAAGCAAGTCACTATGCATAGCCCATATTGACAGCATGAGGGTTTAACTCCCTCCACCCCTTACTAGCTACATAAAATATTTGGAATTCTTCACCACAGGAGATTGGTGTCTTTTCTTCCATTCATTCATTCAATCATATTTTCATAAGTATAGACTTATGGATATTCATTTTATACTCATAGTCTAGTATTACTTTAGTTTCTTGCTCAGACTGTTACAGCTTTGGCCACTGGGAGCTTATCTGTTATTCTCTGTTCTTGGCGGTACCTGGCTAGAGTAGTTTCAATATTGCCAAGTAAGTCTAAAATAAATCAAAGGAAAGAAACACGTTTCTTCTAGGGGGAAAGCTTTTGTTGTAGAAGAGCCCATTGAAAAGCGGAAGCTCTGTAGCATCCTTGTGGAATCAGTGCCTGCCCCAGTAGCCCTGTTTTTATAGTGAAGTATCTTTGTTTTCATTCACCCAGGAATGCATTCACAGAGGAGGATTCTGAATTAGTGGTGAATTATATAGCAAAGAAATCCTTCTGTCGGCGAGCCATTGAACTTACCTGTAAGTTGACTTTCATTTCCCTTTTTGGCAAAAGTTAAAATAGTTGAGAACAAAGAAGGATCAATAGACAGATTTCTAACAAAAGCCAAAGATGTCGAAGAAGAATGGATATTTTTAATGTACAAAATGTCTTTAAAAGCAGCAAGTAGATAGCCAGACATTGCCATGCACAGCTCTGTGGGCTAATTTACTGCAATCAGGAGCTTGACCTGGGGTTAAAAGGACTCACAATGTCATGAAATGTGGCAGAAAAGAGGAACCTTCTAGGGTGACAGAAGATGGGTAGAGGCCAGGGATTTAAAGAAAACTTCTAACTAGTGAACATAATCTCAAGCCTCATTTCCTGTTTTCCTGGCAACCAACTCCGAGGATGATTTGCCAACATGCTTTATAGTAATTATGGTTTGAGCTTTGCTGAATCAGAGAGTGGGGGCTTCTGGTTTAAACAGCGGAAATAAACAGACACTAGTGTTCCTGAATAATTTCAGAAAAAGTATAGAAAGGACATGCAAATATTAACAAATTCATGCTTCTGGATGTTTGCCCCCAATAAAGAAAATAGATAAGAATGACAGAATACAGGTTGCTATGAAATAGAAACTTGCTTGGTGTAGAATATTATTAATTTCTTTACCTTTCTAGTCTGTAAGTTTTGACTTTTAGATATCCTCAATTTTTTTTTTAATTTAAAATTTTAAAATTTGTCATTTAGACCACTTTCTTTCCTTTATTGGAGAACCACTGGATAAAGCTTTTTCTCTGAGAACTAATGTGTCCTAATTATCCACATTTTTTTGATCTTTCAAGAGCTTGTTCATGCCTTAACTGTGGTCCAGACTGAATCATTTGCCAAGAGTTGTTGAACTGGTCCCCTTCTGGTTAATTTCTCTTGTTGCCAACATGACTCATCTATTATATACCTTACTATATTATATATTTTATTATAGAAAAATCTTTTTCTCCAATTCCTCAAAGTGCTCAATTTAGCCCTTGCTATGCTGTTATAATAGGTTTCATATACAGTATGTAAAATAAGAGCTTATTCTCTAGATGTTTCCTGTGGTTTGTGAGACTCCGTCCATGGCATGGGAGGGTAGGGGACGTGTGGTTCTTTTGTATACTGTAGTCAAGGGTATAATATTAATAGTAAAGAATTCACCAGAAATTACCTATTGACTTATCTTCCTTACCCCTTTAAGTCAAAGGCAAACCACCCCTACATGAATCTGATTACCGGCTGCTGCTACCACACAACAGAATGAGAAATGTGGTTCTGATTTTTGTAATTCTTCAGAATTAACCTTGCCCTGAAGGATTCATTATACTTAGTTTAATCATTCTAAAGTATGAAATTTTATTACTGGCATTTTTGGGAGAGAAATAATAGATACAAAATGAAAAAAGGGGCCGGCTATGGTGGTTCACACCTGTAATCCCAGCACTTTGGGAGGCCGAGGTGGGTAGATCACTTGAGGTCAGGAGTTCGAGACCAGCCTGGCCCAGATGATAAAACCCGTCTCTACTGAAAATACATAAATTAGCTGGGTGTGGTGGTGCATGCCTGCAGTCCCAGCTACTTGGGAGGCTGAGGCACAAGAATCGCTTGAACCCAGGAGGCAGAGGTTGCAGTGAGCCAAGGTTGCACCATTGCACTCCAGCCTGGGCAACAGAGCTAGACTCTGGCTCAATAAATAAATAAATAAATAAGGAATGTTTTATTATACAGGACTTTATTTCATTTTAATTATCAAGTGAAAGAAAACACGCTGACAATTTTTGTACATACTATGTTACTCCTTTTTCAGTACATAGCTTGGGAGTCAGTGAGGAACTACAAAATAAACTAGAAGATGTTGTGATTGACAGGAATCTTCTAATTCTTGGAAAAATTCTGGGTGAAGGTAAGCAATTTAAAGTAATTCTTTTAAAATGTGGGATAAGAAGGTAGCAGTTTAGAATAATTCTTTAACATATATTTATTAAATAAAATAGCATCTCAGGACTCTGAGTTATACTATGGATAGTTATATTTTATTATTTAAAATGATAGACTATTGATTTTTGAAACTCAGATCTGGCACATGAAAAGATTCTCTTCAATGCCTAGCACATACAGGTCCTTGAAAAATATTAATTTTCTTTCTTCATTGAAAAGCATGTAATTCATTGAGTAGTTTCCTATGTACTTTAAGTTTATTCCTCTAGTTCTTAAGTTCATTGTTCTTGGCACCTTTCTAATTAGGAACAAAAATGAAAATACGTATTTAACTTGTTAAGTTGTTCTTAGGATGAATGATAATGGTATTAAAAGTTTGTGCTTTAAAAACTTCAATAATATTTTTCATGTTCTCTTCTAAGTGTCTTGGATTGGTTATAATGCTTAATAAAGTGATGAGCAAAGGTAGGCCCAAGCCACCCAAGCTCGTGACAAGCAGGAGACTAGAGCGTGGCGCATCACCCTGGTTTGCGATGTGGGTGGCCTGGGCAGGCTCTGCCTGGCTGCCCGTGGGTGAGTTGCTCTCATACCACATGAAACCAGCAGCTCTGGCACTGTAGCATTTCTGTGGTCAGGGAAGAGTTTGCACAGTGTCCATACAGGTGTTCTTTCACTTCACAGGAGAGTTTGGGTCTGTAATGGAAGGAAATCTTAAGCAGGAAGATGGGACCTCTCTGAAAGTGGCAGTGAAGACCATGAAGTGTGAGTTATCAGTGATGAATCCCATTCTTCTAGGGTGGGCAGTTGCTTCAGTATTGGGTGCTCCATGAGGCCATATGTCACAATCTCAGTTCCCAGTGGGCCAGAAGGCAATGTGGAACACTGGTCACCAAGGGGGACTTACTTTAATGAGCTCTTCATGCATGCATTACATATTCTTTATACTCAAGGCAATAACATTTTTTATTTTTACTAACTCCTGCATGCCTATGCATACATACTGTCTGTCTTGCTCTCTCTCCTTCTCTCACTGTCTCTCTTTCTCTCACTCTCATCTAGTAGAGCTAACAACTCCAAAGTAGAGCATCAATTGCTGAGGCAGGGGTGATCTAATAGCAACATCTGACCCCAGGGGTTGTTCTGGCCGGCCTGTCTAGTGTGGTGGGGCCACTTCCTCATTTGAGGATGATTGCATGGCCCTGAGGAAGCTGCGGGCTGCCTGGCAAGTAAGTTCCCCAGAAAGAGGAGAAATATTTGGTCAAGGCATATGAAGAGTTGCTATCATAAGCTAGAACTTCCAAGCAAGCTGGGAAGAGAGCCAGCAGTGAGACAGGGAGAGTCTTGTAAGTCACAGCCAAGAACCTGCTTTATCCTGCAAGGAGTAGAGCGCTATTAAGAGGCTTAACCAGCCGGGCACGGTGGCTCACGCCTGGAATCCCAGCACTTTGGGAGGCTGAGGCGGGCAGATCACAAGGTCAGGAGTTTGAGACCAGCCTGACCAACTTGGTGAAACCCCGTCTCCACTAAAAATACAAAAATTAGCCGGGCGTGGTGACACACACCTGTAATCCCAGGTGACTGAGGCAGGAGAATCACTTGAACTCGGGAGGCGGAAGTTGCATTGAGCCGAGATCACACCACTGCATTCCAGCCTGGGTGACAGAGTGAGACTCCGTCTCAAAAAAAAAAAGAGTCTTAGCCAAATGAAGAATAGAGCAGGTTAAATTCCAGAAAGTTCACTTTGATGTCAGTGTGGAGGAGAACAAATTACAGTGTTGACAAAAATAGTGGTAGATGCCAGTTAGGACACTGTAAAATCTATGCAGTCTAGGCCCTCTCAAATACTTTCTTTTTTTTTTAATTGAGATGGAGTCTCACTGTGTCACACAGGCTGGCGTGCAGTGGCGCCATCTTGGCTCACTGCAGCCTGCACCTCCTGGGTTCAGGTGATTCTCCCGCCTCAGTCTCCTGAGTAGCTGGGATTACAGGCACCCACCAACACGCCTGGCTAAATTTTTGAATTTTTAGTAGAGAAGATGGGGTTTCTCCATGTTGGCCAGGCTGGTTTCGAACTCCTAACCTCAAGTGATCCACCTGCCTTGGCCTCCCAAAGTTCTGGGATTACAGGCATGAGCCACTTCACCCAGCTTAAAATCTATATAGTTAAGGAAACTATAGTGACTTGCTGACTTGTCTAATTGAAATAGCTAGAAAGGGGGCAGGTTGTGCTGGGCTTCTTCATTACCATAAGATGACCAGATTTCACTGGCAGAGCAAGGCAGCATTTCCTCTCCATGTCCTTCTTCCAGGAAGTGCATTTCTGGAGCTGGGGCCACACAGCTGTATAAGTTTGATTCTATAGGTGTCTGGCTGGGCATGGCCTATCACTGGGGAACTTAGAAAATAGGTCGTGGTCACGTGGCATTTCACCCAGTCTTCATCATGAATCATGGATGGAGATTATTTGGTGCTCAGTTTGTCAATATTCTTGATGTTGCTTCCTTATTAACCCCTTGTACCTATTCAATACTATTTTTGATCAGGGAATAAAGTAAAATTGGATTCTTCCTAAAATTTAAATCCACTATTTACTGGACATTAAAGCATAAGTTAGATTGTAAGCATGTACTGAGACTCTTAAATGAAAAGGCTGAAGTTTATTTATTTTTTTCTTTTTGAGACAGAGTATTGCTCTGTCGCCCAGGCTGGAGTGCAGTGGCATGAACTCGGCTCACTGCAACCTCTGCCTCTGGGTTCGAGCAATTCTTCTGCCTCAGCCTCCTGAGTAGCTGGGATTACAGGCATGCACCACCATGCCTGGCTAATTTTTGTATTTTTTTCTAGAGATGGGGTTTCACCATGTTGGCCAGGCTGGTCTTGAACTCTTGGCCTCAAGTAATCCGCCCACCTTGGCCTCCCAAAGTGCTGGGATTACAGCCGTGAGCTACCACGCCTGGCCTGGAGGCTGAAGCTTAATTCAGCTATAAAAAGGAACCACAATAACCAACAAGTCACATGAACCGGTACTTTTTAAGTAGACCATAATGACTAATATTTATGTAATACTCACTGTTAGCCAAAGGACATTGCAGTTATTCCTGTATTTCATCAGGACAACAGGAAGAGAAAATGAACATAACTAAAAAGGAGGTTCAGGAACTAGCCCCCAGAAACTAAAACACCCTGAAGTTAGAATACTCACTGGAGCTGAACCAAGCACTGAGCCATATTCTGCACTGTTCCTGCCTCTTGTATGATTTTATCTGAGCCTCACAGTGCATCTGTGGGGAGTCCTTCCATAATTCCTATTAGGGATATAAGGCAGGTATATTAGGAGGCCTGGTGGGAGGAGCTGGGCCTGGAACCCACTTTTTCTCTGGCTTGACTCTGCAGTTATTTAATTTCATTAGGGTAAATTGCATAGGGATTACACCCCTGCTAATTGTCAAAGATTGAGAGTATAATCTCTAGCTTCAAAATCCCCAGGCTCAGCTACATTTACCTGCAGGTTGGACCCCTGGGGAATAGTCTGCAGGCAGAGCCCTACCCCTGTATTCCCCCACCTGGTTGTTTGCAGCAAAAGGAATAGGTGAGGGCAAATTTTTGCAGATGTATAGATTTTCTTTTAATTAGAAAAATTTTTAAATTTTTCTAAATTTCCTTCAGTAGAAAGAAGATTAATATATATTAAGCCAATAGGATGGTATAGACACTGCATTAGATGCCCTCATGCATGATTTTAATCAGTAGTTTTACCCTGTTAACGCAAATTCCCTAAGGCAAGCCAGACTTTTTATTTGTTTTTAATTGTGGCAACATATACATAATATAAAATTTACCATTTTAACCATTTTAAGTGTACAATTCAGTGGTATTAAGAACCATATTCATAATGTTATACAACCATCACTACCATCCATCTCCAAAACTTTTCTTTTCTTTTTTTCTTTGAGACGGAGTCTCGCTCTGTTGCCCAGGCTGGAGTGCGGTAGCACGATCTCAGCTCACTGCAAACTCCGCCTCCCGGATTCAGGCCATTCTCTTGCCTCAGCCTCACAAGTAGCTGGAACTACAGGCGCCCGCCACCACGCCCGCCTAATTTTTTGTATTTTTAGTAGAGACAGGATTTCACCTTGTTAGCCAGGATGGTCTCGATCTCCTGACCTCGTGATCCACCCACCTCAGCCTCCCAAAGTGCTGGGATTACAGGCGTGAGCCACTGCGCCCAGCCCCAAGACTTTTCATCTTGCAAAACTGAACCTCTACACCTACCGAACAATGACTCCCCACTACCCTTTCTCCCCAGCCCTGGCAAGCACTATTCTATTTTCTGTCTCTGATTTTGACTCTCTAGGTACTTCATGTAAGTGGAATCATAGAGTATTCATCCTTTTGTGACAGGCTTGTTTCACTTAGCATAATACAGAATTTTAAATGTCTCTCTCTTAAGCCAGTTTAATTCAAAAAATTTGGTATGAAAATGCATCCAACTCACAAGGCGTGGTTGAGCAACCAGACTTGCAGGACATACAACAATAGAAACAGAGAGGTGTGGGGTTCTTTCTTTTTTTAAAAAAAGCAAATATAATTGCAACAGATCAGTTAGAATTGTTCTTTGTTTTGGTGTTGGGGTTTTTTTTTTGGAATTTTTTTTCTTTACCATTAGACTTTAACTTTGTAGAGCAGTTTCAGGTTTGCAGAAAAATTGGGCAGAAAGTACAGAGAATGCCCATAGGTCCCCTCCTGACACACATAATTTCTCCTATTATTAATGTCTTTTATTAGTGAGCTGCATTTTTTGCAATTGATGAACCCATACTGATACATTATTATTAACCAGAGTCCATATTTTACATTAGGGTTCACTCTTGGTGTTATACAGCTCTGTGGGTTTTGACAAATGTGTAGTGTCATGCATCCATCATTATAGTATCATACAGAATTATTTCTTGGCCCCAAAAGTCCCCTGTGCTTTGCCTGTTTGCCCCTCTCTTATCTCCCCTAGCCCTACTAGCCCCTGACAACCACTCATCTGTTTCCTGTCTCTATACTTTCATCTCTTCCTGACCTGGGTTTTAGAGAACAGAACTGCTGTTGCCCACCCACTCCCCTTAATTGAGTAAATTATCCATACTTAACCTTTTCTATTTTCTCCTCTAGTGGACAACTCTTCACAGCGGGAGATCGAGGAGTTTCTCAGTGAGGCAGCGTGCATGAAAGACTTCAGCCACCCAAATGTCATTCGACTTCTAGGTACTTCCGAGAAATGCAGGAGTGGGTGGCCAAGAGGGCTCTGCTGATCTGCTCTGTGCCAAAGGAAAAAATCTCTGGTGTAGATAAGTTTACACTTCGTATAACCCCAACATAACTTATAACATTGAGGTTTTCACCCAGACTTTTCTTCATAATGATGTTTTCTGAGGCTAATAGTAATAATGAGTTTGCATTTTCTGGACGCTGATAGGCTCAGGAATGATTTGAGTTTTCCACAGAATTCTAGGAGAGTGTGAATTAAATTGTCCTCAGTTACTCAAAGGCAAGACACAGAGGTGGTTGTGTTATAATTTTTATTAATTTAAGGTTATGCATGAGTTAGATAGCAGTGGGATAAAGGTGAAAAAGTAGGCAAATTCCGTAGGTTTATCTTTGAGAAATAATTTATTAACCTGTTTGAAAGTACTGATTTCTTAAGATCATGATACATTGATGATTTCATGGAATATGATTTAACAGTTCCATAGAACATGATTTAACGTAATTTGGCTTTGCAGCTCCATTAGCCAAAAATTACAAAAGAGGAGATTAAGTATGGAGTGGATGCTGTGTAAGTGGCTCTGTCCCAAGAGAGAAGAGTAACCTGGAAATAATTGAATTTTCTGCTGACCTTGGTGTTTTGTTTTTGCTTTGCCATCCTGTGACTGCATACATGCTAAGTTCTTTTGGGATCTTTCAAAGTTTCATATGATTGGCACTGCAGAGAGATGTGAAAATCAATGTTTGTATACAGTATTATGTCAAATAAGCTACTGTTATTCATTCACTGCTATTGGCTTCAGCCGACTATGAGAACAATTGCACTTTGTGATCACACCACAGAGTGCAGGAGCTTTGCAAGCATGGGATCAGGTGATAGCCTCTGGCTCTCAGATTCCATGATAAATGATATTATAGCTTCTCTTTTGCAAAACTGTTAAAATTTAGGGATGTGAATTTTACCTATAGCCCTTCAAAGTTATTGTAATAGTTTAAGCATTTGCAGTGGACTTCTTCACGTGATTAAATATCTATCACATGAAACTAGTTCGCCCTAGTTCAATACTAGTTCAGTATTGACTTTGAGGGTTGTAGCGTTAAGGAATCATAGCCACTGGGGACATTGTGTCTTTCATTTCCTAGGCCTCCTTATCTGAAACAAAAATCTTATGGGGTCACTACCCCTCAGACTCAGTGGAACAGAAATTCCTAGGTTTCTAGATGGCTATACTTGTTACAGTTTAATTTGTGACAGCCCTCATGCCCTCATTAATCTGAAAGGGGGAAAAATACCAGTAGTGGACCCTGTGTGTGTTCCATTTTCTAGAACAGAGTGTGAGTTAGGCGCTCTTGATTTTTTCAAACTGTTAACTTGGTAACACACGGCTTCAGTTTTTCCAGTGGTCCACGAGGGCTTTTCTGGTCACAGTAACAAGGACTCTTTGTAATTGATGCTGTGTTTGTAATTTCAGGTGTGTGTATAGAAATGAGCTCTCAAGGCATCCCAAAGCCCATGGTAATTTTACCCTTCATGAAATACGGGGACCTGCATACTTACTTACTTTATTCCCGATTGGAGACAGGACCAAAGGTAATGATCTCCTTGTGTTACCCCTGAACACTTCTCAGGGCTTATGTGACTTAGCCAGGACAACCAAATCATCTAATCTTGAAAGTGAAGCCAGGAAGGAGAGGACGTTGACTTTTGTTCAGTGCTCCCTGTGTGTCCAGGGTTGAAATGTGGGGTCTATCCTCACAGCAGGCCTGCTCCAGGTATTATTATCCTGCTTTATGGTGGGTAAGTGGCTGCGTGCACAGTCTTATGGACAAAGCCTTACCAACTTGAGTTGGGTGGCCCAGGCTCCTGGTTCTGCACTTCACAACCCTCATGGCCGCATACTCCCCAGAGCTTGCAGACTATGGGAAGGCCATTGAAGGTGGCTCTCCTAAAAGAAATTTTACAGAGCTCATTCTGGATTTCAACCTTTGAAGAAGTGTTGGTGACCAAGAAGACTGCACAACTGACATTCTGAAAACTGTTTGTAACATTTTACTCCCTATGTTGACTTACCCACCATGAGCACTGTGAAGCCCTGGGAATGTTGGATGTAGCTGTAGAGGCAGTTACGGATCATCTAGGAAATTTAGGACCATGGAGACGCTTGCCTTTCTTCAGGGTCAATTTTCAGTATTGACTTTGAGGGCTGTAGCGTTAAGGAATCATAGCCACTGGGGACATTGTATCTTTCATTTCCTAGGCCTCCTTATCTGAAACAAAAACAGTATCCTCCTGTTATGTTTTGTGGACAAACGGTAGACTGCGAGCAGGCGGTGTGTGTCCTGACTACATGCCCAGCTAAGCAGGACGCCCCTTCCTGCCTTGCACGCATCTTCTCTGTTGCAAAAGGCAGCGATCCTGCGGGGTTCTGGTTGGGACACATGTGGGAACAGGGTGTGGCTGGCCTCTGTCAACAGTCATTCTCTGACTGGGCAAAAGGCAAAAGTCACTCCAGATCATCACTGCCCTTAATCACAGCTGTAAGAAACCACAGGTCCTGGGAAGGAACCGAACCACCCAGTCTACACCTTGGCATTCTCGGACACACCCCACCTTTGTCCCTTTAGCTGCCATCAGTATGAGGACCGCTGAGTGCAGTGGTGCAATTAGGAACAACTGCTTCCTTCACTGCATCAGCGATGGCTCCAGGAAAGAATTCTTGCTGCTCTTGCTTGATGGTCTGATGAGTCCACAGGATGAAAGTGCAAGGAAATTAGTTCTTAGGGACCATGAAAACTCACTCCCACTGGCTCTGCAGACAAAACACAGGGGAAAATGTCCCATGCAGCACCAGTGTGGTGGAGTTCTGCACACTCCCCTGTATCTACAAACCTGGGGTGACAGTGGCCTAGGGTCAGCCAGGTCGCTTTTCCAAGTGAAGCAGTGCCATGGGACTCACTCACAAACTATTAACCAAAGGAAGTTTATTAAGTTCTGCCCAGGTGCGGTGGCTCATGCCTGTAATCCCAGCACATTGGGAGGCTGAGGCGGGGGAATCACTTGAGGTCAGTTCGAGACCAGCCTGACCAACATGGTGAAACCCCATCTCTCATGAAAAAATACAAAAATTAGCCAGGTGTGGTGGCAGGCACCAGTAATCCCAGCTACTTGGGAGGCTGAAGCAGGAGAATCATTTGAACTAGGAAGGCTGAGGTTGCAGTGAGCCAAGATCACGCCACTGCAATCCAGCCTGGGCGACAGAGTGAGACTCCATCTGAAAAAAATAAAAAAAACAAGGTTTATTAAGTTCATTAGTTCACTCTGTGAACAAGTGCTGACTCTAAGGTGGGCACTGAGCTCTGGGGACACTGGAGGGAACATGACAGATGTGGTTCCTGCCCCATGGAGCTGAGCTGCTGGTGGTGAGTGAGAGGAGAACAGGAGACAGACAATTGGTTATTCACAGTGAGGGAGCTATGGGCACCAGGAGCACAGGGGCTCAAATGCCCAGTGGGCCAGGCAGAGCCCAGTGGGGGCATAGGGGCAGGAAGTGTGCAAGGTAACTAGACTGGGGGGTGTGGTGTCTGCGCACAGATGCAGAACCTCATGGTGGCAGGGCCAGGACTTCTTCGTTTCAGTAACCTGGAGAATGTTGGCAGATAGATCAGAGGTGGTGATTGGAATATGAAGCCCCATATGCTGTGGGGTCTGCTGTTTAGAAGGAGGGATTGTGCAGAGAAATGTGCATTCCCTTCCCCCCGCCCCCCACATCAGTCACTGAGCATCCTCATGTCAGGGAAGCCACACACAGAAATGTGCATTCACTTCCCCCCCACCCCCACACCCAGTCATTGAGCATCTTCATGTCAGGGAAGCCACATTCCTTCTAAAAGATGTTTGGGCCCCATGTGCTGTCAGAGAAGCTTCTTGTTTTTGGAGTCCCCTCTTCTTGGCTTGTTCATTATAACATCTCTGGATGCAGGGTGCCTTTCAGTTCCCCGGTGGAGGCTGCATGGAGTTGCTTTCTAGTTGTTCACTGAGGGTGAACATGCTCCCTCCATTCATCTTCTCTTTGTCATGAGCGTATCCATCCTCAGGATCAGAAGATGTGTTGGGAATTGGTAGGCCAGCTTGCTTGCCTCAGCAGTGCCCCTAAGAGGGGCAGCAACCCCTGCCCTGAATCCTTCCAGCATGGAGAAACTAGAGAGAAGCGGAACCTCAGACTGAAGTGCCCCGACCTCCGGTAACTTATGAACTTAATAACCACAAGTCACAGGTGACTGATAGAGTTACAGTGAACCATGATGACAAGAATGACAACTGAGGGCCTTCATGGGGGAAGTCGGCTTAGAAAAACACTAGTCCTCATCCCAAGAGACAGGTCCATCTGTAGAAACAGCCCTTTATTTAAAATTTGGGAAAGCTGAAACAAATAGGCAAAAATGTGAGACCCAATTTAGGGTCAGCACATGCTGGAGCCTCCTTTTCCACTTCCAGCTGACGTTGTTGGTATCTTACGCCTGTGTGTGATGGAGGGGAGGGTACTTTTGCTTTGCTTTTTTTCCCCCTTTTACTCTTTCTCTTCTTCCTAGGGACAGCTTAAGTGATCAGGACAGGAGAGTGGCCCCCTTTCTTTTTTCCAGTTCCCCCCTGGCCCCATGCCCACATGTACTCCTGTTCTCTTCCATGAGAATGCACTTGTCTTTCACCAACATGAGTACTAACCGTAGAGACAGGAGGCTGCAGCTGCATCACACAGCTGTTATAAAATCACCGAGACTCTTCCAAAGAGGTGAGGGGCCTAGTCCTACACAGAAAATATAATAGACAGGGCTGAGTATTTTCCTTCTCTTTTTCCCCCAAAAAGAAAGATGATTGCATTATAGGAAGTCTGTAAAAGGATAAAAAATTACCCACAATTCCCAACACCTTAGTACAATTGTTGGCGATTTCAGACATTCATCTCTCATTGTTCACTCAATGCCTACATTTCTCATGGCCTTCACGTCACTACATACACACTTGCCCCTGGGATGACAGTGGCTAACCTTTCTCAAGCATGTAGCATAGGCCAGCCTGTATTTTGTATGTATTAATGCACCAGTGGCACAACAGCCCTAAAAAGTAGTTACTAGTGGAATCTAAGCTGAGGAAACTGAGGCACAGGGGGCCATGGTGAAAGCAGGATTGGCCCCCAGGCTGCAGACTGTGAGCCTTCAATGCTCTTCTGACTGCCCCATTCTGTGTGCACCCCTCTCCAGCAGGGCAGCCCCCACACAGATCCCTGTGAGTGGCGGCACCACATCATTTCAGTGGGTTTTGTTTCATGTTGATGGGTGATTTTACTCACATTTAATTTATGGTACGTTGTATAATTTGGGAGGGGGGTGGTGGCGGGGGGATGGAATTTCACTCTTGTTGTCCAGGCTGGAGTGCCATGGCTCAATCTCGGCTCACCACAGCCTCCGCCTCCCGGGTTCAAGTGATTCTCCTGCCTCAGCTTCCTGAGTAGCTGGGATTACAGGCATGCGCTATCATGCCTGGCTTATTTTTTTTTTTTTTTTTTGAGACAGAGTCTCGCTCTGTCGCCCAGGCTGGAGTGCAGTGGCGTGATCTCAGCTCACTGCAAGCTCCACCTCCTGGGTTCACGCCATTCTCCTGCCTCAGCCTCCCGAGTACCTGGGATTAAAGGTGCCCGCCACCACACCCAGCTAATTTTTTGTATTTTTAGTAGAGACGGGGTTTCACTGTTTTAGCCAGGATGGTCTCGATCTCCTGACCTTGTGATCTGCCCACTTCGGCCTCCCAAAGTGCTGGGATTACAGGCATGAGCCACCGTGCCCGGCCATGCCTGGCTAATTTTGTATTTTTAGTAGAGACAGGGTTTCTCCATGTTGGTCAGGCTGGTCTCAAACTCCCGACCTCAAGTGATCAGCCGCCTCGGCCTCCCGAAGTGCTGGGATGACAGGCGTGAGCCACCGTGCCTAGCTGTTACGTTGTATAATTTTTCTAATAATTTCTTGGGGGTGTGGAAATTTCATGTTATTGTACAAGAGTGCATTTTGTAGCAAAAAAGATTAAAAATACACAGGGCTATTTGGTGGCCCAAATAGTTTTGTCTATTCAAGAATGTTACATAAATGGAGTCATACATTTATAACCTTTTTTTTTTTTCTTTTTGAGACAGAGTCTCACTCTGTCACCCAGGCTGGAGTGCAGGGGCACAATCTTGGCTCACTGCCACCTATGCCTCCCGGGTTCTAGCAATTCTCCTGCCTTAGCCTCCTGAGTAGCTGGGACTACAGGCGCCTGCCACCACGCCTGGCTAATTTTTTTTGTATTTGTACTAGAGACGGGGTTTCACCATGTTGGTCAGGCTGGTCTCAAACTTCTGACCTTAAATGATCCACCCGCTTTGGCCTCCCAAAATGCTGGGATTACAGGTGTGAGCCACTGCACCCGGCCATTTTATAACCTTTTGAGACTGGCTTCCTTCACTCAGCATTATGTCTTTGAGATCCAACCAAGCTGTGTATATCAATAGTTCATTCCTTCTTTATTGCTGTGTAGTATTCCATTGTATGCTTCTACCACAGTTTATCTTTTCACCTGTTTAGGGACATATGGGTTGTTTCTAGGTTTTAGCAATCATGAATGAGACTGCTATAAAATTCATGTACAGATTTGTGGATGAAGTCTTCATTTTTCTAAAGTAAATGCCCAAGAGTAGGATGCTGGGTCATATGGTAAGTGCATATTTAACCTTATAAGAACTGTTTTCCAGAGAGGCCATTCCATTTTACATTCTCACCAGCAGTGTGTGAGAAATGCAGTGCTCCCCATTCTTATTAGGACTTAATATTGTTGCTGGCTTTTCTGGTTTTTCCTTATAGCTGTCCTGATTGATGTAGAGTGATATCTCATCATGGTTTTTATTTGCATTTCCCGAATGACTAATGATGTTGAGCATCTTGCCATGTGCTTATTTGCCATCCTTACATCCGCTTTGATGAGTGTCTGTTGTTCAAGTATTTTGTTTATTTTTTAATTGAGTTGTTGATTTTCTCGTCATATTTTGAGAGTTCTTTATATGTTCTAAATATAGTTCTTTTGTTGGATATGTGGTTTCCAGAGACTGTTTTCCAAGTTTGTAGCTTGTCATTGCATTCTCTTAACACGGGCAAAAATATTTTAATTTTGATAAAGCCCAATTTATCAGTTTTTTTTTAATGAGTCATGCTTTTGCTCTCATGTCTAAGAACTCTTTGCCTAACCCCTAGTAAAAAGATTTTCTCCTATTTCTTTTCTAAAGATTATGTTCTTTTACATTTTACATTTAAGTATATGACCAATTCTGAGTTATTTTTTGTATAGGGTTTGAGATTTAGTTTAAGGTTTGCTTTTTTTGCGTATAGATGACCAATAGCAAAAGACTATCTTAATCCATGAAAAGACTGTCCTTAATCCATTGAGTTGCTCTTGTACCTTTGTCTAAAAGCAGTTGGTTGTACATTTCTGAGTCCTCTGTTCTGTTTCATTAAACTCTGTGCCCATCCTTTGCCCCTATCACATTGTCTTGATTACTGAAGCTTGTTATAAATCTTAAAATCACCCAGTGTGATTCTTCCTACTTTGTTCTACTTTTTCAGAATTGTTTTAACTATTCTGGTTTCATTGCCCTTCCACTGAAACTTTAGAATCAGCTTATCTGTGTCTGGCAAAAGTTCTGCTGTAATCTTATATCCTTTTGAACAAAATAACAAGTAAGGGAAACAAGTACACAACATTTTACTGACTGATGAATAGTTTCCATTTGCAAAAAAATACAAGTGTATTTTCAATGATGGAAAATAACTTTCAAGTATTAAAAAGATAAAAAGGAATGTAGTTTCCTATTTTGTTGCTTAGTAGCCACAGATAAGGTGGAAGACACAAAGTGCATAGACAAACAGAAAAATCAAGCTTTTATTCAGATCTTTTCTTTGCTGCCTGGAATAAATAGCTCCTGCTCCTGCTAGAGCAGCCCAAGACTATTATCAGTGCATTTGATACTGCGATGGCCCAATATCAATGTATTTAAACATGCTTCTCCAGGAGGGCTAGGGTGCTGGACCCATAGTGCCACTCTGCCCAGGGCAGACATTGTCTCTGGAGCTGTGCAGGGCAGACAGGTAGATGATGAGACATGACCCCCAGTTCTCATGGAGATCGATAGTACAAAGGGAGATAGGCTGTAATAACATATGCATCACACAGTGATGTGAGCAGCCTGCTAGAGCTTCAGGGAAGAAATGAGTTCTGACTGGAGAAATGTTTAAAATATTCTACACTGCTGACTGGGTGTGGTGGCTCACGCCTGTAATCCCAGCAGTTTGGGAGGCCAAGGCGGGTGGATCACCTGAGGTCAGGATGTGTCCGGAGTTGGTTCCTTCTGGTGGGTTCTTGGTCTCGCTGACTTCAAGAATGAAGCCGCGGACCTTTGCAGTGAGTGTTACAGCTCTTAAAGATGGCATGGACCCAAAGAGTGAGCAGCAGCAAGATTTATTGTGAAGAGTGAAAGAACAAAGCTTCTACAGTGTGGAAGGGGACTCAAGCGGGTTGCCACTGCTGGCTGGGGGTGGCCAGCTTTTATTCCCTTATTTGTCCCCACCCACATCCTGCTGATTAGTCCATTTTACAGAGTGCTGATTGGTCCATTTTACAGAGTGCTGATTGGTGCATTTACAACCCTCTAGCTAGACACAGAGTGCTGATTGGTGCATTTACAGTCCTTTGGCTAGACACAGAGCACCAATTGATGCGTTTTTACAGAGTGCTGAATGGTGCATTTACAATCCTTTAGCTAGACACGGAGCACTGATTGGTGCATTTACAATCCTCTAGCTAGACAGAAAAGTTCTCTAAGTCCCCACTCAACCCAGAAAGTCCAGCTGGCTTCACCTTTCAAGGAGTTTGAGACTGGCCTGGCCAACATGGAGAAACCCCATCTCTACTAAAAACATAAAAATTACCCGGGCGTGGTGGTGCATGCCTGTAATACCAGCTACTTGGGAGGCTGAGGCAGGAGAATCGCTTGAACCTGGGAGGGAGAGTTTGCAGTGAGCTCAGATCGCGCCACTGCACCACTCCAGTCTGGGTGACAGAGCACGACTTCGTCTCAAAAAAAAAAAAATTCCACACTGCCATCATGGATATCCTCAAAAGAGTGGTAGGAGGAGTACAGTGGAAAATTAAGAGCAGCACACAAGATCAGAATGAGCAAAGACCAAATGATCTGGGAGCATACCTATGTTTTAAGAAAAGCAGATTGTCTCACATGGCAACAGCAAAGCAATGGAAGGATAGGAGGAGGGGTGATAAAACAGGAAAGAGAAGTTGGGGTCAATGTTTAGGTTCTACAACAAGTAGAATGACTTCACCAGCATGTAATACAAAACCCAACTCAAAATGACTTTCAACGGAGATACAGGATCTCATGCAATAAAGCCCAGAAGTAGCACAGTTCCAGAGTTGGCTAGGTGGGTGCTTGAGGAATTAATTGAGAAATTAAAGGGCTACAATTGCATTTGTAGCCCAAGCTATTAAAACAGCTCCTACACAAGAAGAAGGAGGAGGAGAAGAAAGAATTTTCTTAATTTCATTTTCAGATTATTCATCACTAGTATATAAAAATACAGTTGATTTTTGTATGTCCATCTTGTATCCTACAACCTTGCTGAACTCATTTATTAATTCTGCTATACAATTATTTTTTAAGTGACTTTTGGTCACAGTCTCCAGGAATAACAGAAGTGTTCTAGGAAAAAACAGCACAAATGAATAGTACCTGATACTCATTACATCTTCATGAATGACAGCAAGATGCAATATTTCTTATGACCCAAATCCTTTCCTGGAAATCAGTATCTAGAAAACCAAATACCCAAATAATACAGAATAGAGGCATAAAACTTCCATACTTAAAGATTAAGACATTTCATTTATTTATACAGTATGTAATTGACATGTGTCTTGGAGTATAAAATCATTGAAAATGCAATGTCTTTCCAAAATGAGTACCATTTTGGAAAACTCATGTTTGGAAAGGAAGCCATGGCAAATTCAGTGCCTTGGGGAGGGTACATAATGGATGGACCCATTCATGACTGCCAGGGACTTGTGCAAATCCTTTTCTGCAGGGCCATGATTGCACTAAAACACTTAATTACTACATGGAAGTTTTATCAGCAGTCATCCTCATAACTGATTCCAACAGTGGCTGGTTTTCTAACACAGCAATCTAGTTTGATTTTTATAAGCTAGAGAAAACACTAGACTGTTGAAACTTATAGGCAGGGCCTACGGGAGCAAAATGAAAATTCCTGAATATGTACTTGTGGTGCTTTGGTCCTGTGATAATTGGTGAAGACTCTCCTAATTTCTGTTTAGAAGAAACGAGTATCTTTCAAAACATTTCGTAGTAAAATGGTAGCAGATAGGGGTGCCTAATTGGAAACAGCTCATCCTAAGTGGACTTTTCCCCTCCGAAACATTAGACCCCTGACACACACACACACACACACCTCGCCGCTGCTGAAGCCAGACCACCTGTCCCTTTCCCTCCTCTGTGCAATGCGTGTGCTCTGTCCCACTCTGAAGGATACACGGAAGGATCACGTTTGACCTCATACCTTCTAAAAAGAAACAATGTCATTCACTGTAAATACTTTTAAAGATGGGGAAAAGAGAATATGATGTTTGCCAAGAAGTTTAAGGTTTTTCTCATTCCTTTTTAAAAACCTTATTTGTGATATTAGTGATATGGAAATAAAAGATTTGTTTCCTTATTTCATCACTACACTGTAATAAATTAAAGCATCCTTTCCCCCCCCGGCAGAAACTGCTTGCAAGTTTTCCTTTTTAAAAGATAGTCTTTCTTCTTGTTTCCTCTATCATCTAGCATATTCCTCTGCAGACACTATTGAAGTTCATGGTGGATATTGCCCTGGGAATGGAGTATCTGAGCAACAGGAATTTTCTTCATCGAGATTTAGCTGCTCGAAACTGCATGTAAGAGTCCTCGGCTATCCTGGAAGGGTTTGGACCTCATGGTGTTTGGTCTTTGCAGGGTTAGTGAGAGGACCTGTTCCTGTTTAGATAGGCAAGGAAGCTGCAGTCAGCGGGGGATGGTGTGGCTTGCTCCGAAGATGGAAATATGGCTGGGTGTTTGGGAGTTTTCACTGCCTCTGTATCTGAGAGTCTGGTTGGCTTCCAAAGCTTTCCCTTATGACTCCAGTTTTACCTTCACTCTCTCACTCGGTAGGAATGCAAGGTGTGACCCTTGTGATCCTTCCCCAGCCATCAGCTAGCTTTGGACCTAGAGTTATGTGTACGTCAGCTCCTCTTAAAGACAGCAGTGAAAATCATAAAGGCTTTTCCCTAAGTTTTCACAACACTTCCTTAGGAAGAAGTTTTGTACTTTGAATACATGGAAGCTGTCCTTTCACAGCAGACAATGGCTTCATTATACAAGAAATGTGGACTTAGGTTCTCCCTATTTCTTCAACCTGCTTCAGCAGAGCCATTGTCTGCTGTAAATCTTCAAAAACAATAACTATGTCTTGATTTTAAGTTTTTTATTGCAAGAAGAGGGAGTGGTCCTTCAATGTATTTTGTCATTTGTTTTTCTTGGTCAGAGATGTGACAATGGGGCCTGCCCCCTCCCGCCTCCCAGCCGACCCTGCCCCTAGGGCTCCTACCTCTTTCACCTCATTTTTGAAAACACTAAAGGGGTTTTGGTTTTGTTATTGTTATTATTTAAATAATTTTTCGACCATGGAGGGAGAATCATGAAAACTCTTTTTCCCTTACTGTTTCCTTCATGTTTTCCCAGCAGGTAGGGTGACCAGCTTTGCAGTTTACCCTGGCCTGAGGGGTTTCTCAGGACAAGGGATTTTGAGTGTAAAAAGGCAGTGTCAAGCAAACAGGGACAAGTTAGTCACCTTCCCCAGACTACTTTATATCTATTTCTTCTCCTTCTCTTCCTTTTATTCTTTCTTCTCCTCTTCCTTCTTCTTGTGTAGGAGCTGTTTTAGTAGCTTGGGCTACAAATGCAGTTGTAGCCCTTTAATTTCTCATTTAATTCCTCAAGCACCCACCTGGCCATCTTAGCAAGAAGCCCAGCATCTTGCTCTTACTGCAGGTAATTCCCCATCTTCCCCAAACTCTCAGGGGGCTTACTTAGTCCTCAGGGCCAGTGCTGCTTCCAGACCTCTGGGAGGAAGGCTGCTGGGGTCCTGGATCAGTCCACCAGAGGGCTCTGGTTTTGAGCTGCTGCTCTTTCTGCTCCTGCTATGCTGCGTCTCCATGTTCTCCAGCTGTTTCTATCCACTGTGCACAGGTGCCCTTGCTAGTCCACATCCCACACAGATCAGAGCGATGCAAGACTGCATCACTTGAGGCTAGGCGTGGTAGCTCATACCTGTAATCCCAGCACTTTGGAATGCCAAGGCGGGCAGATCACTTGAGATCAGGAGTCCGAGACCAGCCTGGCCAACATGGTGACACTCCATGTCTACTAAAAAAAAAAAAAAAAAAATTAGCCGGCTGTGGTAGTGTGTACCTGTAATCCCAGCTACTCGGGAGACTGAGGCAGGAAAATTGCTTGAACCCGGGAAGCAGAGTTTGCTGTGAGCCGAGATCATGCCACTGCACACCAGCCTGGGTGACAGGGTGAGACTCTATCTCAAAAGTCTCAAAAAAAAAATTGCATCACTTGCTCTTGCTCTTGCTCTGCTGTTGGTCCTCACTTGCTCTGCCATTGGTCCCAATGCAGCATGCTCACAGGCTGGTGGTGTCTCTGTGTTCTTTTGGTCAATTATCATAAGTGTTTTCACCTGTGTCTGATACAGACCAGTAATTTAAGGCATTGCCTCTGACGCTGCTGAAGACGTAACCTGCTCTCTGTAGGTTGCGAGATGACATGACTGTCTGTGTTGCGGACTTCGGCCTCTCTAAGAAGATTTACAGTGGCGATTATTACCGCCAAGGCCGCATTGCTAAGATGCCTGTTAAATGGATCGCCATAGAAAGTCTTGCAGACCGAGTCTACACAAGTAAAAGTGATGTGGTATGTACACAGCTTTGATTCAGGGGTCCCACAGCACAAAGAGGAGGGCATATTGAAAGAAATGACCTCAGCTGGTATGGCAAGACATTTTACTCTTTGATAAACTGAGGGTTGGCAGCTTGCTCAGATCTCTTTTATATCTTACCATCAGATACTTTAATTCAAGTGGAACAGTAGATTCTGATGAAGTGTCCTGACATTCAGAAGATGTGTGCTTTGCAAAAGCCCTTAATTTCTTCCCATTTTTCCTTGCCGTCAAAGGATGACTCATTGCCCACAACTAGGATATTTCATAGTCACATTAAATTGAATGAGTTCATCCACTGGCTCTTGGAACCTAGATGCTATATGAAAGGTGCTGTGTAATTACGCCCTTGACCCGAGATAAGGAAAAAAAAGCACCTCACAGCAACAGTGGAGGAGAGCACTAAGCAGATGTGTGACGAGGCTGTTTCTGCCTTTGCCAGATTTCCCAGAACAGCTTTTGTAGAAGTGGGGAACTGTGACACTCCAACCCCACGTTATTGCCGCGTTGGGAGAGCAGTGCGTCTCACACATAATTGCCAGCTTTGTGCATGATCATCAGTGTTTAAGGAAATGACCTTTCCCAGTGAAAAAGTCCATTCAGGCTTTGTGGAAAGGCTTGCATCCTAACTTGTTGTTGCTTTGTTCCCAGTGGGCATTTGGCGTGACCATGTGGGAAATAGCTACGCGGGGAATGACTCCCTATCCTGGGGTCCAGAACCATGAGATGTATGACTATCTTCTCCATGGCCACAGGTTGAAGCAGCCCGAAGACTGCCTGGATGAACTGTGAGTGGGCTTCTCTGTCTCCCTTCCATACTCTGCATGGGGCAGCCACCTGGCTCTGCACTGACCTCGGAAACACAGCCATGGGAGGGGAAAGGGACTGCTGTTAGCCAGGTGGGCATGTGCAGAGGGGTGGAACCCACAGACACCCCAGCCCAGGAGCCATTCCTGATGTGGGAGATAGTGTGTGGTATCTCCAGTGAGCCCACTGAGGCTCACTCATCCAAAGGGCCTCAGTCTCGAACGACAGGCACGGTCAAGACAAGGCAATGGCACCTGTCCTAAAATTCCTTACACACCTCTAGGAAATATATCCACAGATAATAGCTTCGCCTTGTAGTGCATGAGGTCCTTGAATGATTCCTCACCCTCTTTTGGTCCAGTTATCTTTCTCCTTCTATGTAGCATTTCAAACACTCCACTCACAGTAGTAGCCTTCATCAGGAAACTCAGAAATCTAAACCAATGACTTTGGGGTCAGGCTGCTCATCAGAATCGCTTGGGAGATAGTGTAACAATACGATTCCTCGGCCCTGTTCCCGGAAATTATGATGCTTTCGGTACAAAGTGGGCCCAGAAATGTGTGTTTTAGAATGCTCCCTGGGGCTGGGCGCAGTGGCTCATGCACGTTATCCCAACACTTTGGGAGGCCAAAGAGGGCAGATCGTTTGAGCCCAGGAGTTTAAGACCAGCCTGGGCAACATAGAGAGACCCTGTCTTTATTAAAAAATAATAAAATAAGGCCGAGTGCGGTGGCTCACGCTTGTAATCCCAGCACTTTGGGAGGCCGACGCGGGTGGATCACGAGGTCAGGAGTTCGAGACCATCCTCGCTAACACAGTGAAACCCCGTCTCCGCTAAAAATACAAAAAATTAGCCGGGTGTGGTGGCGGGCGCCTGTAGTCCCAGCTACTCGGGAGGCTGAGGCAGGAGAATGGCGTGAACCCGGGAGGCGGAGCTTGCGGTGAGCTGAGATCGTGCCACTGCACTCCAGCCTGGGCGGCAGAGTAAAACTCCATCTCAAAAAAAATAAAAAATAATAAAATAATAAAATAAAGTGCTCCCTGAGAGATCATGTGTTTAGACAGGAGAAAGAACTACCAGCTGTGACACACACACAGCACACATCCCATCCTGACAGGGCCCCCGTCTTCAAGGCCAGGCAGTATGGGGAAGAGACCCAGGCCTCGGAGTCAATAGGCCACGCTCTGCTTCCTAACTGGCCCTGTGAGTGGCTATGGCAATTAATCTCCCCCAAGCACTTTGCTGACCTTATTAAAATAATTTCTTGTGGCATTGCTGGTAGCTTGGTGATGGTGATTTGAACCTTCCTAATGGGGAGTCTCCTCCCTGTATAATAAGGGCCATGGGCTTGGAGAGGGGCATTCTCACCATATTTAGCAAGAACATTTCAGGACTGTGGGCCTGCGCTGGCTCTGTCATGGAGTGCCATGCCTGGGCTGGGACAGGTGAGTGTGGACAGCACCCTCCCTACACACACACACACAGACACACACACACACGCCCTGCTGCCTCACATGGGAGAGAGAGCCTGGGTCCCTTTGCCCACAGGCTTTCCGGGTCCCTTCTAAGCCAAAAAGAAGGACACTGTTTTAATCAGAGCTTCGTCCCGTTGGTAGTGGTTGGTTTTTATTGTGGTGGTAGATGTATAACATTAAGAAGAGAAACAAGCACTGTAAAACCTTTAAAACATCCTGAAATGCTAATAAAATTAGTTCTAGGGTTTCATGGTAGTTTTTAAAAGTGCCATGTTTATGAAGTGCCTGCTTCTGAAAATAAGGAAGCATTTCAGTCAAACAATGTTGACTATGGAAAGAGTTTTGTTGCAGTTTCTTTCTGAGCTTTCCTTGCCCACCAAAATAAGTTGATATTTGCGGTGATTATGTTGGGTCTTAGCAGGGTCTAAGCTGTGTCACGTTGTGGTTTTTAGAGCCAAAACAAGTGAATGCTGAGTCGGTTTTCTGTGAGACATTTTAGGGGACAAAGCAGCAGAGTCAGCACACGCCGTGTGGCTGGGGAAGTCAGGCAGAGAGGGGCGAACCTGCCACCCCCGCCTCCTGTGGGCTCTGTGCCCTGGGTGTGCCAAGGGGGCTATGGCTGTGCTGTGGCCTCGGGGCCCCTGTGAGCCAGGCTTCCTTCCATCTCCTCTCGAATCTAGATGCTGGGTAACAACAGCATCCCCCAAAGAGGCCTCTGTTCCATTTCTGAGACATTTCCTTTGTAAAATGAACTCAGGCTGAGTGCAGTGGCTCATGCCTGTAATCCTAGCACTTTGGGAGGCCAAGACAGGAGGATTGCTTGAGGCCAGGAGTTTGAAATCAGCCTGGGCAACACAGTGAGACCCCATCTCTACAAAAAATAAACAAAATTAGCTGGGTGTTGTAGGGCATGCCTGTAGTCCCAGCTGCTCAAGAGGCTGAGGTGGGAGGATCACTTGAGTTTAGGAGGTCGAGGTTGCAGTGAGCTATGATTGTGCCACCAGACTCCAGCCTGGGAAACAGAGCAAGATCCTGTCTCAAAAAAAGAAACAACAACAACAAAAACCCAAAAAACAAATCTAAAGTGTTTCACATGATGGCTGAAATAGTAAACGTGAGGGAAAGGTCAGTGACTCTTCTTCATAGTGAAGGAGGTCGAGGTCACGGATGAGAGCAGGTGCCCTGTGTTAGATGGACTGGCACTGCCGCCGACTGTTGGCGTGACTTCAGTCAGTTCCTCTCCTCTCCAGGCCTCAGCTGCCCTGTCTGTGAGTGTGACTGCATCTCTTCCTTCGTGGGGCTGCAGTGAGGAGTGATCGGTTAGGGCCCATCAACCCACACACAGCTGGCACTTGCTGGTCATGTTCTACCTGCATCAGCCACCTTGAAGCTGCAGTTGCGTGGACTCAGGGGCTCCTCTCCGGGACTCACCTGATGCCCATCCCAGCACCACCCTCGCGCTTCACACACCTGACCAGCCTAGCATTGCCCTCACACTATTATTTACCCTGGCACCCAGGACCTGGTGTGTTGGCTGGCACAGAGCTGGCCCTGCCTCTTGCCTGCTTCTTGTCTGCCCCAAGAACCCCAGCTTATATCCACCTTCCCCATCTCAGAAACCCTCCTCTACCCATTGATGTATCCCTCCCTCCACTGCCACCTGAAGCATCTGAGATCTGGAGAAGGGACAAGGTGGGAGTCACAGTGGGCTGAGTGGCAGAGCTGGGTAGATACTGGCTAGCACAGTGGAAGCACAGCTGATAGGAGATGGGCATCATTTCCCTGTGCAGACTTGCAGCCTGCACTCAGCCATCCTCAGAGCCAGGAGCAAAGCAGGTGCTTGAAAAATATGAGTAAAGTCATACATTTACAAATTTTGTAAATTCATATGATTGCATTTAATTGTGATAAAATATACATAACATAAAATGTACTCTTAACCAGTGCGTACAGCTCAGTGGCGTGAAGTACATTCACACTGTTGTATAACCATCACCACCATCTATCTCCAAAACTCTTCTTATCTTGTAAATCTGAAAGTCTCTACCCATTAAACTAATCCCATTCTCTCCTCAATACAGCCCATGGCAACCTATATGATCACATCTTTTATAAAATCTCAGCAGAAAAATAAAAATGACCATTTACAAAAGCAATTACCAAACTTATTTTTCTTTCCATCCATAAAATTTTATAAAGTCTAAATCACTAAATATCACAGCCCTCCTATTACTTACCAGATGGGGGCTTCTTGTTAATCTTCTTGTTCTACTACGATGAAATTGCCCATTTGTGGGAGTAGGTTAGACAGTATACATGTTCACCATGTCTTTAAAAGTCATATTTATATTTTTATACATTTGATAAGGTATTGAATATTAAAGGAAAAGAAGTTTCAAAGTGATATTGATACTATTCTACTTGGAAATAAAGATAAATTATTTAAATACTTTCTCCTAAGACATGAAATAAATGAAAGTAAGTTAAATACCACAGCCTCTTGATGAAATAATGAAAAGGAGATTATGTCCCTAAGAACAGAATGTCTCAAAGCTCATCTTAGATGGCAAACAATCAAGGCTGTTTGGAAAACAGAGTCATGCAAATTGACTTACGCCTGAAAACCTCAAAAATAAAAACAGAAACCGTCTGTCAAGTCTAAGTGACCATCTAAAGAAGGTAAGACAGGGAAACAAAACAGAACCCCTAAGCCTGAGATGAGAACAAGGATTGTGAGACAGGGAAATGCGCCGTGCCGTTGTCTAGGCCTACATTCAGGATCAAGCTCTTTACATGCATGGCACTTTGCCAGCCTCCAGCTTCCGGATGCGTGTGCAAGTGTTGATAAAGGCTGGAAAGTGGACAGATGAAAAGATATTATTATACATCTACGTGAATGAGATCTGCATGTTGTGTGTGAAGTAACATGTTAGTAGAATTAGCCAAAAGTTCTATAGGCTGTAACTAAATGTCAATATGGAAATTGCATATTTCTGTTCGTAAGATGCTAGTAATTTATTGCATGGGTCAGATGATTTAAATTTGGGTCATTTTTTTGTCCAATGACGTATGAATTATCAGTTTCTCAAAACAGAAAAGCATCAAAATGAAATGATGCCTAGGCATGCTGGTGTGTACCTGTAATTCCAGCTACTCTGGAGGCTGAGGCAGAAGATCACTTGAGCCCAGGAGTTCAGGGGTTCTCCACCAGCCTGGGCAAAATAGCAAGACTTCGTCTTATTAAAAAAATAAATACATCTATTTTTAAAATTTTATATATATATATACACACACACACACACACATTTTTATATATATACACATTTTCAGGCCAGGCATATTAATTGGCATGCATATATATATATGCCATATATGTGTATATATATGCCATATATGTGTGTGTATATGTGTGTGTGTGTGTATATATATACACACACATATGGCATATATATACACACATGCCAATTAATATGCCTGGCCCTGAAATGTCAGGTCTATCAATTATAAGAAAAAAAACATTTTTAATGAAATGATGGTATAACTCACTCTTCATCTCAGCCTATTGATTCCTAATTGTCATCTGTCTTACTGTGCTCCATTAAATGTCCCTCCATTGGAATTCTTAACTATATTAGACACTGGGATGAAAAAACCACCCAGAAGAGAGTTGCCCTCTATAAAACAAAGTGGAAGGAGTTGTGAGGAGCACTTGGACGCAGGAGTTGTCCAATCTGAATCTGAATCCCTGGCTACCCACATGGCCATGGCATGTTCTGTAATGTCCCTGAGCCCACTGTCATCTTCATTACAAAGTGACAATGACAGGGCTGTTGAGAAGACTAGATGGAGTGATACGCAGCACACAACTACCCCCTGCCCTCACCCCTGCTCCTGATCTTCTTAGCCCTAGCCCCAGGGCCCCAACTAACTCAGCTGTCCTGGTAACAACTCAGTTTGATGGCATAGGACAGAGGTCAGCAAACTTTTCCTATAAAGTGCCAAATAGCAAATATTTTTGGCTTTGCAGGCCTTTTAGCACCTGCTCAACTCTGCCATTGTGACATAAGAAGTCATAGATAACGTGTAAACAAATAAGGATAGCTGTGTTCCAATAAAACTTTATTTACAAAGTAGACAGTGGGCTGGATTTGGCTCATGGGCCATAGTTTGCCCGCCGCCATATAAAGAAAGAGACCTAAATACTCCTTATCTGCAAAGTTAGATATAACTGCCACATATGTGCTCTTCCTAGAAACAGAATCACTTTTTTGTCAAATACCATGGAACATTTACAAAAGTTGTATAAATATTAGGCCACCAAAAAAGTCTCAATAATTTTTATAAAAAGTAGAATGAATGCTGATTAAAATGTGATAAAGATTCTGTAAAAACAAAGGCATGGATTGCACAAAGAGATGGGTGCCATGCTGGGAGACAATCCACTTCTTTTTAACTTTCAGGTATGAAATAATGTACTCTTGCTGGAGAACCGATCCCTTAGACCGCCCCACCTTTTCAGTATTGAGGCTGCAGCTAGAAAAACTCTTAGAAAGTTTGCCTGACGTTCGGAACCAAGCAGACGTTATTTACGTCAATACACAGTTGCTGGAGAGCTCTGAGGGCCTGGCCCAGGGCTCCACCCTTGCTCCACTGGACTTGAACATCGACCCTGACTCTATAATTGCCTCCTGCACTCCCCGCGCTGCCATCAGTGTGGTCACAGCAGAAGTTCATGACAGCAAACCTCATGAAGGACGGTACATCCTGAATGGGGGCAGTGAGGAATGGGAAGATCTGACTTCTGCCCCCTCTGCTGCAGTCACAGCTGAAAAGAACAGTGTTTTACCGGGGGAGAGACTTGTTAGGAATGGGGTCTCCTGGTCCCATTCGAGCATGCTGCCCTTGGGAAGCTCATTGCCCGATGAACTTTTGTTTGCTGACGACTCCTCAGAAGGCTCAGAAGTCCTGATGTGAGGAGAGGTGCGGGGAGACATTCCAAAAATCAAGCCAATTCTTCTGCTGTAGGAGAATCCAATTGTACCTGATGTTTTTGGTATTTGTCTTCCTTACCAAGTGAACTCCATGGCCCCAAAGCACCAGATGAATGTTGTTAAGTAAGCTGTCATTAAAAATACATAATATATATTTATTTAAAGAGAAAAAATATGTGTATATCATGGAAAAAGACAAGGATATTTTAATAAAACATTACTTATTTCATTTCACTTATCTTGCATATCTTAAAATTAAGCTTCAGCTGCTCCTTGATATTAACATTTGTACAGAGTTGAAGTTGTTTTTTCAAGTTCTTTTCTTTTTCATGACTATTAAATGTAAAAATATTTGTAAAATGAAATGCCATATTTGACTTGGCTTCTGGTCTTGATGTATTTGATAAGAATGATTCATTCAATGTTTAAAGTTGTATAACTGATTAATTTTCTGATATGGCTTCCTAATAAAATATGAATAAGGAAGGATATGTTGAACTTACTTGAGACTTGAAAGACAGTGGTCGGCAGCGGCCTTGTGGCCTTTGCAAAGGAATTCCCTTAATGCCTGGTCCTTGGGGCAATTGCTCTGACCATTCTTGGCATTGCTTTATAGAGATATGGAAAAACCACACCAGGGTCTGTAGATAAGGAATAAAGAATATTGAAGGATTGAAAAATACTGTGTGAATGGAAAGATTTAAAATCAGCTGAAGAAGAGAATCTGGCAGGTGAAGCACTTTTCTGTTTGGGAGGGGTAGCTCATGGGAGGTAGGCATGGGCAGTGGGGCAGGGCATAGCTGAGCTCACGTTCTGCCTCTGCCACTTCGTAATAGCTATCATTTGTAGAGTACTTGTTTCAGGAACTTTATGTGAACCATCTTATTTAATCTGTATGTCATTATAACATGGTACAAATGCCATCATCATGTATGAGCCAAGAAATCCAGGCTTAGAGAGACTGAGTAACCTGCTTGTAGCCCACATCTAAACAGTGGGGGAGCCAGAATTTAGAACATCTGATTCTGGCTAGTTCTATGCCTGTGATTTGGGGGTTGTATTAGTCCATTCTTGTATTGCTATAAAGAAATACTTGGGACTGTGTAATTTATAAAGTAGTTTAATTGGCTCACAATTCTGCAGGTTATATAGGAGGCACAGTGCTGGCATCTGCTCAGCTTCTGGGGAGGCCTCAGGAAGCTTGCCATCATGGCAGAAGGCAAAAGGGGAGCAGATGTCTCACATGCAGGAGCAGGAGCAAGAGGGAGAGGGGAGGTACTCCACACTTTTCAACGACCAGATCTCACAAGAACTCACTCGGTATCACGAGAACAGCACCAAGGGGCAGATACCAAATCATTCATGAGAAATCCACCCCCATGATCCAATCACCTCCCTCCAGACCCCACCTTCAACGCTGGAGATTACAACTGAACAAGAAGTTTGGGTGGGGACACAGATCAAAACCATATTAGAAATCTACTCCAGAGCTTCTCAACATTTTTACTTTATTTAATAAACATATATCTCTTACTCTGTGCCAGGCATGGCACTCATTTAATTTTCATAACGACACTACCAGATAGGTACTACTATTATCTCCACTTCACAGATGGGCAGACTGAGGCAGGAAGAGCCTAACTTATGCTGCTAGTAAGGGCAGCAGAATTATGCAGTCAGTTGAATTGTTGATTTCCCAGCCTTCGGGGCAGCTGAGCAGGCCCAGAGCCACTGGCATCTTCAGGCCTGTTTACTCCCCACCAGTAAGCAGCCTCGCCTAGGCCTCTCCCACAGTCTTCAAGAATCAGAATCTACATGGGGTCCAACAGTGTGGCTCTCACCCAGGTTCTGGTCCCAGCTGCCCACCCAGGCACCCAATCTCCAGGGTGAGCCGGCTCCTCTGTTACTGTGAAATGCTCCATATGAAAAAGTTCTGGCCAGATGTGGGGATTCACAACTGTAATCCCAACACTTCAGGAGGCAAGGCAGGAGGATCACTTGAGCTCAGGAGTTCAAGACCAGCCTGGACGACATAGTGAGACCCTATATCTACAAGAAAAAATTAGCCAGAAATGGTGGTGTGTGCCTGTAGTCCTAGCTACTCTGGAGGCTGAGGCAGGAGGATCACTTGAGCCCAGGAGTTTGAGGTTACAATGAGCTGTGATTGTGCCACTGCACTCTAGCCTGGGTGACAGAGGGAGACTGTGTCTCTAAAAATTAAAAAAAAAAGTTCTGAGGGTTTGAAAAGAATCTGTAAAATGCCACCATTACATTTTATTCGTGAAAGAAAAAAAGCTGTAGCTCCTATAAAGATAACTTACACTGTTGAAAATTTTTGGTCATTAAAAAATAAAAAAATTTATCACCTACTTGTATAAACAGTTTCTTATCGATGGTAAGTAGCAGGAAGTTGAAGAACTGATCATTAAAGTCTTGATCAGAACCTGATGGTGACTAGTTCAAACAAAAAAAACCCACCCCAAAATAGAAAGGTATGCTCATATCTATGAGCAAAATAAGTAATTATAAACATTGAAAAATGTTATTTGGAAGTTTAATATAAACTTAATATTAAATATCTATGCTCATATACAGTACTTTGTATTTTATATTTCTAATTTTAACAGCATAATGTAAAAAATGTACAATGAATAGTTCATCAAACACCCCACAGCCCTCTAAATCCTGTCCAGTATCTTCTGTGTGGTCTGAGCAGGGCTGGGGAGCCCGGGCCAGTTCTGCCGCAGGAGAGTGTAGAAAGCTGAGCCAGCTGTGGCTTCTGGCTTTTCTTGAGACATCAAGAAACGTAGCAGAGAAATTCACTTCAGCACACAGCGTGATGCACCCAAGTGTTGGTTAAAAGTGGTGTGATGAATGAGAATGAAGCTGGGCTACCATTGTTCTTCACATTTAAATCTCCGCACTGAGAATGTTGGTGTTCTTCTTAGCCACATCTGAATATTTGAAAATTTGGAAAGAACTAACTTTCAGATGATCCAGTCATTGGCAAACTCTCATACTGTCTTCTGAGCATAAACTGAAAACAGCGTTTCAAATTCTCTTTCATAGAAACTCAAATTACTTTTGTAAGTGGCTCTTGTAGGCAAAAAAAAGGGAGAGAGGAAACAGGAAGAAACAAGTCGGGTTAATTGTCTTAACCGTGCTGGGGCTCAGGATCAGGAGGTCGAAAGGACAAGGAAACAGACATATGCCAGAAGCACTCGTGACTGGCACGTTGAGACTTGCCCTCCCTTGTGAGGATTTTCTTTCTTTTGTGTTGTTTTTTTTTTCCTTTCTGTTGCTTTTCTTAATGAGTAGAAATGAGAATCAAGCGTCAGGGCAACTCTTGGAAAACAAAAAAAAAAAGACACCAAAGCACTCTTCATGGTGAGCCAGGCCATATGGTCAGAGGTGGGCTGGATAGGAGCTCACCCTGCCAGATGTCCTTGGGCAATCGTGGGCAGGTCACTTGACTTTCCTTGAGCCCCAGTTTTCTCAAGTGTTCAGTAAACATACCAATGCCTTTTTCTGCAACACCCTGTGTAAGAAGGGGAGGAGGCAAGGTCTTCGAAAGAATATTATACTCACAAGAGGCTGTTCTCAATTTGTGGCATCATTCCTTATGCAGTGCAAACCCAGCAACATTTGTCATATTCAAAATATTTTCAGCCAGGCGTGGTGGCTCACGCCTGTAATCCCAACACTTTTGATGGCCGAGGAGAGAGGATTGCTTGAACCTAGTAGTTCAAGACCAGCCTGGGCAACATAGGGAGACCCTGTCTCTATAAAAAATAAAAAAGAAATTAGCCAGGGATGGTGGCATGCAATTGTGGTCCCAGCTGCTCAGGAAGCTGAGGTGGGAGGATCACTTGAGCCTCAAAGCTCAAGGCTGCACTGGGCTGTAATCACACCATGGCACTCTAGATGGGGCAACAGAGCAAGACTCCATCTCAAAAAAAAAAAGAAAAAGAAACATTTTCCCTGATTGTTTCATCAACTCCCTCCAAAATAAACACAGTCATTCATAATTTGAAAAGAGAAAGAGATAGTATTTCGCCTTAGCCAGAAACGCACAGTTGGGGAAGTTCAGAGTGAAGGAGGAGGCCCTCAGTCCTCACCTCAAACAGCCACTGGGCTCAGGAGCTGGAACTACCTTCCTCTTGTCTATCCTGGGGTTTAGCTACTGATGATACAAGCCTCATTGCGCCTCTCCCCAATATGTGGGTTATGACAAGCAATGGTGGCTTGCTTTACCAGGAGCATTTGGGGACATGTGGTGGGTCAGAATGCTATCCCAGGAAGGGGATATTCCCTCTCTGCCTCCATGTCTGCCAGACCTAGCAGAGGTTCCCCACCTGGGAAATGGGCCAAACCACAGTCTCTTCTTTTACAGAGCAGGCTGATTCTAGCCAGACCAGTTCTGATTCATGAAAGTCAAGACTTTTGTAACTTTTCCTGGTCAATGGCAAAAGCAAGTTGGAACTTCTGCTGAGTCCGTGGGAAAGTAACTGACCCAATAATAAACTAGCTACAACAGCAACTTAACTTCTCTAAAGATGTTTAGTAACTGAGTGACAAATGAGAAAATGGGAAGTTTTGTTTTCTTTAATAAATGTTTCAATGATGCACAATGTTCCTATCCTTAGATTTTATTTTCTTTCTTTTAAAGCTCTAAGTGAGAATAGCAGCAAAACTCCCATTCTATTTAACTTTAAAAGGCATATATAATTACTTAATTTTTTGTTATTTAAATGCAATAATTCTGGGCATGGTGGCTCATGCCTGTAATATCAGCACTTTGGAAGGCAGAGGTGGGAGGATTGCTTGAGCCCAGGAGTTCAAGACCAGTCTGGGCAACATGGTGCAATCCCATCTCTACAAAAAACACAAAAATTAGCTGGGCATGGTGCCACATGCCTGCAGTCTCAGCAACTTCAGAGGCTGAGGTGGGAGGATCACTTGAGCCACAGAGGTCGAGGCAGCAGTGAGTCATAATCATGCCACTGCACTTCAGCCTGGGCAACAGAGACCCTGTCTCAAAATAAATAAATGTAATAATTACTTCTAGAAACTGTAACCTGTGGACCACTATTTTAGAATATTTTTACATACAATCTCTCTTATTTAAATGGGATTCCATGGATAGATATATGAAAGAGAAACCAGAGAATTATATCTATTAACTCTTTCTATTCCTTAAGGACATGATAACTGTTAATTAATAGATTTATTGAGACTATACACTTAAACATTCTAATGAAGAAAGTGTTTTCGAACAACAATCATATGAGGTCACCTATAACCCACTCATCCATTTGCAAATATTCACTGAGAGGAAGGCCCTGTTCTGGGCATTGGGATCTTGCAAAGAAAGGCAGTCTAGGCCTTATCACTTCTTGGCCTTTTGGCTAAGATCAAGTGTAGAAAGGCAGTCTAGTCCTTGCTGTCTTGAATAACAGTCCAAAGGAGGGAACAGGTGGCTTTGGATGAATCATTTTCTTTTAACTATAGTCTTCTTTTTTTTTTTTTTTGAGATGGAGTCTCGCTCTGTTGCCCAGGCTGGAGTGTAGAGGCACGATCTCGGCTCACTGCAACCTCTGCCTCCTAGGTTCAAGCGATTCTTCTGCCTCAGCCTCCCAAGTAGCTGGGACTACAGGCATACACCACTACGCCCAGCTGATTTTTGTATTTTTAGTAGAGACGGGGTTTCACCATATTGGCCAGGCTGGTCTCGAACTCCTGACCTCGTGATCTGCCCACCTCGGCCTCCCAAAGTGCTGGGATTATAGGCATGAGCCACCACACCCAGCCATCATTTTCTTTTAAAGAATATTCTTCAGAATACTCTGACTTCCACATTTTGTTGAAGTCCATTCGTAGCATAGTGAAGCAGAGCAGCCACACCTGTAGATGCTATTTAGAGACTCTACAAGAAACCTCCAGAAAAGGGACAGAATGCCTTTCCTGGAAGCAAGCTCCAAGGCCCGGCCCCACATGACTTAAAATTAAAGGGCCATCAGCTGGGGCTTAAAAATCAAAATCCCATTATACCACAGTCTGAGCAGTTCAAGGGGATGCAGGCTGCTGATTTAACTCCACAAGTAGTAATGGCTTGTTTTAACAAACATAGTTTCTCATCATAAAAATGTGTAATTCGCCAGTTTTTTCATCCATACTTCATACTAGATTAT